>NC_000014.9:99914713-100217713 GCF_000001405.40 Homo sapiens
CATTTCCATTTTTCTTACAGAAATTCATCTGGAACATGTTTATTTATTTTTTGCATGAAATCAACAGTGATACAAAGTTGTCCCAAAGCAAATGTTATTTATCTATTTAGAGTTGCCTTAACATTGCAATTGCATTTAACAGTGTTACTTTTAACATTGCCTCGTGGCCTCAGCCATGTAATTTTGAAGTTTACTGTTGAAATTTTCTGACAAGAAGTTGTTCTTTCTGAGTTCATTGTCAGATTTTCTGAGTACAGTCTCTCAACCATCCTAAGAGCTGAAAAATACTTGTTATGAGCCTGCATTCTATTTACAGTGTACCCTTTGAATGGGAATTTACAAGCTGTACTAAACACACGATTGAATATATCTCTACATTTTGAGTTTGATGGTAAAGTGAACTTTCGTTTGAAAGTCAGCTGGGCACGGTGGCTCATGCCTGTAATCCCAGCACTTTGGGAGGCCAAGGCAGGCAGATCACCTGAGGTTGGGAGCTCGAGACCAGCCTGACCAACATGGAGAAACCCCGTCTCTACTAAAAACACAAAATTAGCCGGGCATGGTGGTGCATGCCTATACTCCCAGCTCCTTGGAAGGCTGAGGCAGGAGAATTGCTTGAACCCGGAAGGTGGAGGTTGCAGTGAGCCAAGATCACGCCATTGCACTCCAGCCTGGGCAACAAGAGCAAAATTCTGTCTCAAAAAAAAAAAAAAAAAAAAAAGTCAACATCTCTGTGAATTTTGCAAAAGAAACTCTGATGACCTGTCAGAGTGTTGAAATGCCCTTTCCCCACGTGTATTACTTGAGCACTGACTGTTTGCATGCCAAGCACTGTGCGTGTATTATCCTTAATCCCTGTAGCAGCTCTGCAGGTTGAAGAGGTTTTTTTTTTAACTCTGATTTTATTGAATAGGAAATTGAGGTGTAGAGAAGTTAAATAACTTGCCAAGGTCACTAAGTTAGTGAGTGACCTAGCTAGTGTTAGAACCCAGCTCAGTCTGACTCCTAAACTCTGGTTCTTTCCACTGCATTGCACTGCAGCGAATCGGAAGCTCATTCTCTGTTGCCGGTGCCCTAATGATCTGTGCAATCCCATTGCACAGAGGAAATAGCCCTTCTGTAAACCAACACATCATCCTTTCATCCCCCATAGAGTTACTGGCATGTCCCAGGTGCTAGGTTCAAGTTTTGGCTCCCTTCCCTTCATTTTCACGGAAGGGGTGCTGGTCACTGGTGGCCAGCTGAGCCGTGAGGTGGAAGGGCCCAAGGGGCAGGCACTGCCACTCAGAGAGCAGGTGTGGCCCGTGATGGCAGGAAAGGGCTAAAGGGAACAGTGTTATATGTTCTACCTATGCCCTGGTGGTCCAGGAGGGCTGAAGGCAATGACAGCTCCTTTACCAGGCTGTTAATCATTTAGCCTAACATAAGGGTTGGAGCTCTAAGCTGGAAGCCAGGGAACTGCAATGAAGTTCTAGCTCCTCTGCCTACTGGCCTTGTGACCTTGGACATCTGTAACTCAGTGTCCACTTCTCAAAATTGTTACGAGGCTTAGATGAATGACACAGACAGAAGTGCTTTGTAAATGGTAAAGCTTCAAGTGAACACGATTTCTGTTTGTGTATTAGTGGCAGCTCTGAGCTTAATTACAGCTCCCACTGTAGAAAGAAAGCATTGAAATAATGTAATCATATATCAAGTTTCTTTCTCTTGGTTTTTTAGATTATCCAGTGGATCTCAGGGCCTCCTATTTTCATTCCCATTGCTACTTTTCTTCCTGATCTTCCTTAATCTCTTCTCTCTTCATCCTAAACACTCCTGCAAAGTGCCCTTTATCTAAAACACATGTTCAATCATGTCACTCTTTTTATTGAAAGGACAAGACCATTCAAAGTGTTCTTATTTCCTAGTGATCAAAGTCCTTACCATGGCAGTGACATCACTAATGTGATATACTCTGTGCTGTAAGCCCATTGACCTATCTGCCACTCCTCAAATATGCCCACAGCTGTGTTGCTTCCATCACTTTTACTATATTACTGCCCCCTTCACCATGGTCCAAAAAACGACTGGAGTGGCCACATCTCACCTTCACCAGTGATAATTCTTCCTCTCCTGGGAGGCCCAAGTCCAGTCGTCTGTACCGCGAAGCCTTGGCCCAGCTTCCCAGTGTCACCTCATCCCTCCCTCCCCTGTGTATCTCTTTCATGGATCTCTTTCATGGATCATTCCATCTTGTATCCGAGTTAGTGATGACTGTGTGTGTGTTCCACTGGATCAAAACCTAGAACATGCCTTGCTCATCTCATGATCCTTCCAGGCCTCCATAGTGTTTTGCACCCAGTGGGCACTCACCCAGTCTCCGTGTCATGGAGTTGGGTGCCGTGGTTGTCTTTCTGGAGCAATCAAGCACACTATTCAGTGAGCTTACCACTCAGCACGGGGAGTCAACTGAAGGGGCTGGGTTCTATAAGCTGTGACTTTGTAGAAGGGCATTTACCTGTCTTTCATCAGATTACTGTAGAAATGAGAGGATGTAAGACAAAAAGGGAAAAATCCTAAAAGGACAGAAATTTAAGTCAGGCTCAATGGCTTACACCTATAATCCCAGCACTTTGGGAGGCAGAGACAGGAGGATCACTTGAGCCCAGGAATTCGAGACCAGCCTGGGCAGCATAGGGAGACTCCATCTCTACAAAATTAAAAATTAAAAAATTAGCCAGGTGTGGTGACACACACCTGTAGTCCCAGCTGCTTCAGAGGCTGAGCCAGGAGTGTCACTTGTGCTGCAATAAGTCATGATCATGCCATTGTACTCCAGCCTGTGCAATAGAGTGAGATCCTGCCTCAAAAAAGGGTGGGGGTAGGTAGAAATTTAGCATTATTGAAACGCAGCATTCATTCAAGCAGGAAAACATTTTTCTCTAGAAAAGAGACTTTTCAAATAGAGCCATATAGCCCTAAGGAATTAGAAGTGTGAGCGTTTGTGTGTGCACGCACTCACGTGTGTGTGTTTTATGCTATAGTGTTCTATCTGTTCATCAATTTACACTTCCTTTAAAATATTTTAGGATCCAGCTCAGTCTTCTGGTTTTCATCCTTCAGGGTCTGTGGTTGCAGTCGGAACACTCACTGGGAGGTAAGTCCATGCCAACAGCGCTTGTGCTTGCAAAGCTTATGGAAAAGAGGCCTGTTGTTTCTATTTCCCCAGGAACAGGCCCCCGTTCAGCTCTTGGCTACATGTTCGAAGCTTCTAATGACTTACCAAGAATTAAGTTAAAAGCGAAACTTGAAACAGTGGCCCATTACATTTTGAGCCTTGGGGAATCTGAGGAAAGCCATAGACCCTCTCTCCTGGAAAAGGACCCTCTACCTCCACTAGACACACACACACTTTTTTTGTTTGTTTTTTGAGACAGGTCTCTCCTTGTCACCCAGACTGAAGTGCAGTGGCACAATCACAGCTTACTGCAGCCTCCAGGGCTTAAGTGATCCTCCCACCTCAGCCTCCCAAGTAGCTGGGACTACAGGCATGCACTGCCATGCTCAACTAATATTTTATCTTTTGTAGAGACGCAGGTCTCACTGTGTTGCCCAGGCTGGTCTTGAGCTCTAGCTCAAGCAGTCCTCCCACCTCGGTCTCCCAAAGTGCTGAGATCACAGGCATGAGGCACCACACCCAGCCACACACACATTTTGCCTACAATCTCGAGGATTTGTGGAGCTTCTCAAGCCCTGATCTTGAGGCTGTGGGAGAAGCCTTGATTTTGGAATGAAGCAAGAAAACATTTCAAAGTGCTGAGCATTTAAAAATGCTTTTTCTACTCCTGGTCACAGTGGCTCACACTTGTAATCCCAACCCTTTGAGAGGCCTAGGCAGGAAGATCGTTTGAGGCTAGGAGTTCGAGACCAGCCTGGGCAACACAGCAAGACCCTATCTCTATAAAAAATTTAAAATTGAGCTGGATATGGTGGTCCACATCTGTATTAGCTACTCAGGAGGCTAAGGCAGGGGGATCTCTTAAGATCAGGAGTTCGAGGCTGCATCGCACTATGATTGCACCACTGTACCCTCGCCTAAGCCACACAGCGAGACCCCATCTCTAAAAAAAATTAAAAATAGAAAATAAATGCTTTTTCTAGCTGCCCTTTCAAAATTTCAGGAACTGCCCAGACCCTGAGCCTCATATTCCAATTGAGTTAATACCTATTCACCTGGCACCTCCTACACACCGGATGGTGGGTCTGCGTTTGCAGCTCAGCTTTGCCACTTAGCAGCAGTGTCTTTGAGCCGGTTACATAAGCTCTCTGAATTTGTTTCTTTTTCTGTAAATTGTGATATTCCCTGCCTGGCTGTGTTGCACTGAGGATCGAAGGAGACAGTGCACACAGCACCTGCCAGGGCTGCCCATCAGGCACTGCAGGGGTTATTATTATCATTGCTTTCCAGGTTTTGATTGAACATTTATGCTGCTCATTGTACTGTATACATTTACTGTGGTTTCAGTCAAATATTTTTCCTCCCACCCTTCCTCTCTAAAAAAGCGTAGCACTTAAATTCTGTTGCTATGACTGCAGAGCCTATATGGATAAAGAAAGTGTAGCCCTTTGCAGGTCATAGGTAGCAATATCTTAAGTATTGGGCTCCATGTAGCCAACAGAATTCTTCATGAAAACGTTTGTATAGCCACACACACACATACGCATGCACACAGACACACACACACACACACACACACACACACACACACACTCCACCTCCCATTTGACTCTCTTTGAGACAGGTAAACCTTCTAACTCATCAGGCTCCCACCTTCTGATGACTGGCCTCCCAATAGGCTGACGGATGCCAGCATGCCTACTGTGTGTGTAGGACACGGTGACAGTGCTCAGAATCACAGTGTCCCATGGTGGAGGAGATGGATCGGGTCACCTAATCCAGCCCCTCATCTGTACCTCTTGCCATTCAGGTCCTAGGTTAGGCTTAGCTCCCGATGCTGTTGATTTAACAGGTCACTTCAAAGCCATGTTCTAATCAGCCCCAGCCTTTATTAAGGTTAAATAGCACATTAAAGGTAAATGGTTGTTGAAGATGCAAGAAATTGGCACTGAAAAGCAAAATCCACATTTCTGGGGGGCAGGACATCTGACAGTGCCTGGCTAGGGGGGCTCCTGTGGAAGACAAGGGACACTCACTCTGCGTCAGTGGACATGCTGATGGGATGTCCTCAGGCAGGTTAGAAACTGCAGCAACAGTTTATCCATTTATCCTTATCCATTTATCCATTTATCCTGAAAACACCAGGGGCTCACCACCACCCCTTGAGAATATAACAGGCAGGAGAGTTCAGTCATTCTGATGTTAACACTCATTTAGTGGGTACTGTGTGCTTATCAGAGGATACAAAGCACTTCCATGTCCATTATCATTCGACTTTAATATTGAGCCTGCAGAGTAGACCTGGGCTCTTCTCCCCATCTCACCACTGAGGAAATGGCCCAGCGAGGTGAAATTAGAAGACCAGTCCTCCACTCCAATTTCTCCCATTTGCTCTGTGCTTTCCCTCGCCCTGTTGGTTGCAGGCTAGCATCCCCATAAGGCCTGTACTCTTGGCCTGCTCTGTCTGCAGCACCATTGGGAACACCACCACCCCGGAG
The DNA here is from genome assembly GCF_000001405.40 of Homo sapiens. Taxonomy (NCBI): domain Eukaryota; kingdom Metazoa; phylum Chordata; class Mammalia; order Primates; family Hominidae; genus Homo; species Homo sapiens. The sequence goes on from NC_000014.9 coordinate 99,920,369, forward strand.
TTGTCCCAGCCCCATCCTCCTGCATGGTCCTGCTTCGCCCTGGAAACCTGGGTGAGCTCTTGCAGGTGGTCCTTCACTGCTTCCTCTCACCATATGCCCTGGCACTAGGTATTGGCATCTTCCCTGCCCAGAGCTTTCTCTCCATGTGTAAATGACAAAGCACAAACACAGAGAAACCATGTCATAGTGTTGATAATGGCATAGTTTTGAATGCTAGCCAATATGCTGTTCCTTTCATTAGAAAATGCTTATATATAGGAAATTTTCTTTGAATGAAAGCTGGGAACAAGCTTTCTTATTAAGCAAATTCTGAGTATTTATTAAGCTTTTATGATTAACAATTTTTATTCATCCCACTATTATATAATCTTCATTTTCTTATTAAACAACTTACTGTGCTTTTTCTCATGTTGATAACAGGTGGTTTGTGTTTGACACAGAAACAAAAGACTTGGTCACCGTTCACACAGATGGAAACGAACAGCTCTCTGTAATGCGATACTCACCAGGTTAGACTCCAAACCATTCACTACTTTATTTTTTTAATCAACTTTTATTTTAAGTTCTGGAGTCCATGTGCAGGATGTGTCGGTTTGTTACATAGGTAAACGTGTGCCATGGTGGTTTAACGCACAGATCAACCCATCACCCACGTATTAAGCCCAGCACCCATTAGCTGTTGTTCCTGATGCTCTCCCTCCCCCTCGCCCCCCTCCAACAGGCCCCAGTGTGTCTTGTTCCCCGCCCAGTGTGTCCATGTGTTCTCATCATTCAGCTCCCACTTATAAGTGAGCCCATGCGGTATTTGGTTTTCTGTTCCTACATTGGTATGCTGAGGATAACAGCTTCCAGCTCCATCCATATCCCCACAAAGGACATGGTCTTGTTCCTTTTTATGGCTGCATATTATTCCATGGTGTATATATACCACATTTTCTTCATCCAGTCTACTATTGATGGGCATTTGGGTTGATTCTGTGTCTTTGCTATTGTATTCACTACTTTAAAATCCCAACAGAATTGAGATTCTGTGTCAGTGTCTTTAAAGAAAAAATTTCACAAGCCTCCTCAGAGTAAAATTTAAATTAGACATGCACATAATTATGGCATTTAGGGTTCTTTTCCCTCCTTTGGGTCACTGTGCTTGTGTTATGGAAAATTTCAAACATAGACAAAATTAAACAGAATGGAATAATGAACCCCATGTACTCATCCGCCAGCTTCAATGATGATCAGCTCTCAGCCAGTTTCCTGCGTCTGGAGCCCCACCCACCACCCGCCTCCCATATTCTGAAGCAGTTCCCAGACATCTCATCATTTCATCTGTTAATAATTGTATATATCCCAAAAAGATGAGGACTCTTTTTAACAGCTTTATTGAGGAGTAATTTACATACAATAATGAACCATTATAAATGTACAGCTCATCGATTCTTTATAAGCTTGTGGAGCTATGCAACAACCATCACTACAGTCCAGTTTTTTAACCTTTTCATCATCCAAAAAGTTTCCTCCATGCCCATTAGCAGTTCACTTCCACCCTCACCCCCAGTCCGAGGAAACTACTGATCTGTTTTCTGTTTCCAAAAATTGCTTTTTCTGGACATATCGTGTAAATGGATTCCTACAATATGTAGTTGGTTGCATCTGACTTCATTCACGTAGAATGATGTTTTTGAGATTAATCCATGTTACTGTGCACAGAGCAGTACTATATTCCTTCTAATTGCTGGGTAGTTTTCCATTTTATGGATATATACCACATCTTGTTTATCCATGCATCAGTTAATGATGGATTTTTTTTTTTTGAGACAGAGCCTCACTGCAACCTCTGCCTCCCAGGTTCAAGCGATTCTTCTGCCTCAGCCTCCCGAGTAGCTGGGATTACAGGTGCATGCCACCACACCTGGCTAATTTTTGTATTTTTAGTAGTGATGGGATTTCGCCATATTGGCCAGGCTGGTCTCAAACTCCTGACCTCAGGTGATCCACCCACCTCGGCCTCCCAAAGTGCTGGGTTTACAGGCGTGAGCCACCGCACCCTGGCCTTATGGATTTAGATTGTTTCTGGTTTTTTATTATTATTAATAATGCTATGAACATTCATGTATATGCCTTTTTGTGTTTGTTTTCATTTCTCGGGTAAATTCTTAGGAGTGAAATTGACGGATTGTATGGTAAACTTATGTTTAACATTTTATGAAACTGCCAGACTGCCTGTCCTATTTTACATTCTCGTCAGCCATGTGCTAGGGTTCTAGTATCATCACATCCTCCCAATACTTGTTATTGTCCTTTTGATTATAGTCATTCTAAAGAGGGTGTAATGGCATCTCATTGTGGTTTTAATTGGTGTTTCCCTAATGACTATTGATATTGAGCATTTTTTAATGTGCATATTAGTCATTCCAATATCTTCTTTGGTGAAATATCTATTCAGATATTTTGCCAATTTTTAATTGGGCTGTTTGTCTTACTGTTGAGTAGTAAGTCCTCTTTATATATTCCGTATATACAGTCTTTATCAGATAGATGATTTGCAAATATTTTTTCTGAATGTATGGCTTATCTTTTTTTCTGTTTGTTTGTTTTTGAGACAGCATCTCACTCTGTCACCCAGGCTGGAGTGCACTGGCATGATCATGGCTCATTGCAGCCTTGACCTCAGGTCCAAGCAATCCTCTCACCTCAGCCTCCCAAGTAGCTGGGAACACAGGCACACACCACCACGTCTGGCTAATTTTTGTATTTTTGTTAGAGACAGGGTTTCGCCATGTTGCCCAGGCTGGTCTTGAACTCCTGGGCCCAAGTGATCTGCCTGCCTCGGCCTCCCAAAACTGCTGGGATTATAGGTGTGAGCCACCATGCCCAGCCTTCATTTTCTTAATGGGGTTTTTTAAAGCACAAAAGCTTTCAATTCTGATGAAGTTCAGTTTATCAATTTTTCCTTTTGTGGATCATGCCTTTGGGGTCGTATCCAAGATCATGAATATTTCCTTGTATGCTTTCTTTTAGAAGAGTTGTTTTAGCCCTTGCATTCGAGTCTATGATCCATTTGAGTTAATTACACAAGAGTTACAAGAGTACACTAGACTTGTTTCTTGTGGATGGTGAGAAGGAAGAGCCTGTTTGCTCTGCATAGAGGTATCTAGTTGTCCCAAGCACTTTTTGTTGAAAACACAGTCTTTCCCTGTTGAATTATCAATGACACTTTTGTCAAAAATCAATCGATCAGAAATGTAAAGGTTTATTTCCGGATACTCAGTTCTGCCCCCTTCACCTGTGTTTATCCCCGATTACTGTGACCTTAGAGGAAATTTTCAAATTGAGTAGTGTCACTGCTGCAAATTTGTTGTTTTTTTCAAAATAGTGTTGGCTATTTTAGGTTCCTACTATATGTAAAATTGTATATAAATTTTAGGATCAGCTTGTCTTTTTTTATTATTTTGTTTTTTGAAATTTTTTTGTAGACACAGGGTCTTACTTTGTGGCCCAGGCCGGTCTCAAACGCCTGGTCTCCAGAGATCGTCTCACTTCGGCCTCCCAAAGTGTTGGGATTACAGGTGTGAGGCACCACACTAGGCCAGCTCGTCAATTTCTAACTTTGAAAAGCCTGTTAGGATTGTAAGAGGGATTATGTTTAATTTACAGATCAATATGGGGGAAATTGCCACCTGGACAATAGTGGCTCTTATCATGAGCAAAGACTGTCTCTCCATTTATTTAGGTCTTTACTTTTTCTCAGCAATGCTTTATAGTTGTAGGTGTACAAGTCTTGCACTTCCTTTGTTAAATTTATTCCAAAATAAGTGTTTTTTTTATGCCATTGTGAATGGAATTGTTTTCTGAATTTTGTTTTCAGTTGGTTGGCTGCTAGTATGTAAAAATAGGATTGAATTTTGCACGTAGATCTTATATCCTATGACCTTTCTAAACTTCTTTGATTAGTTTTAGTATAATAGTCCCTCCCAATCCACAGGGGCTACCTTCCAAGACCCCACACAGGTGCCTGAAACTATGGATAACAACAAATGCTAAGTGTACTATGTTTCTTCCTATATATACTTGCCTATGGCAAAGTTAAATGTATAAATCAGGTACAGTAAGAGATTAATGACAATAATAATAAAGTAGAACAATATAACAATATATTGTAATAAGAGTTATGTGAATATGGTTTCTCTTTCAGAATACTGTATTATACGTAATATTTGCAGACCACAATTGACCACAGGTTACTGAAACCACAGAAAGTTGTTTCAGTCTTATTATATTATATTAATATCACTACATTTTATTAAGTTTCTTCTGTTTTTCTGAGGAGAAAAAGCATTCAGTCTTTCATCATGAGGGATAAAGATGCCCTTTATCATAGTGAGAAAGTTCCCTTCTATTTCTAATTTGTTTGGAGGTTTTAGCATGAATGGGGTTGGAGTTTATCAGATGCTTTTTCTGCATCTGTTGGGATTATTATGTGGGTTTCATCCTTCATCTTATTTTATTAATATCACTACATTTTATTAATTTTCAGATGTTGAACCAACTTCACATTCCTGTGGTAAATTCCCCTTAATCATGGTGTATAATCCCTTTTACATGTGTTTGCTAGGATTCTATTAAGGATTTTTGCCTCCATGTTTCTAACAGATATTGGTGTATAGTTTTCTTTTCTTGTGGCATCTTTGTCTGTCTCAGTTATGAGAGTACTACCGGCCTTACAGAGCAAATTAGGAAGTGTTCTCTCCTCTGTTTTCTGAAAGAGTTTGTGAAAAGTTGGTGTTATATTAAATATTTGACAGAATGTATGTGAATTTGGTGAAACTACCTGGGCCTTTCTTTGTGGGAAGGTTTTTAATTACTAATTCAATTTCTTTACTTCTTACAAGTCTATTCAGATTTCTTTTTTCTTTTTTTTTTTTTTTTGCTCTGTCACCTGGGCTGGTGTACACTAGCACAAACACGGCACACTGCAGCCCTGACCTCCTGGGTTCAAGTGATTCTGCCACCTCAGCCTCCAAGTAGCTGGGACTGCAGGCAGGCACCACCACACCCAGCTAATTTTTTTTAGAGACAGGGTATTCCTATGTCTCTAAACTGAAACTCCTGGGCTCAAGCAGTCTTCCTGCCTCAGCCTCCCAAAGTGGGATTACAGGCAGGAGCCACCAAATTTCTCTTTTCAACTCTATTTTTGCTTCATGTAGTTTGAATGAATGATTGGGCAGAGGTTATGCACAAATAACTTAAGCCAGTAAGGCTCCGTCCTCTGCCAGTGGCTCTGTGGGCAGGTTGAAGGGCATGTTCAAAGTTCAGGCCGTTTCCATGTCGGCCTGGCTTTTACTTTCCACTCACCCTTTTACATCTCCTCTATGCACATGTACAGATTCAGATTGGCCGGAAGGGTGTCTGAATAGGCAGGATCCTTTCCTGCCTCCACTGTGCATGCACCAGCCTCCCGTCAGCCAGGAATGCGCTCACCCATCCAATAACCGTAACCTCAAGCCAGTAGAAACCTTGGCCCTCCCCACCCAACTGCCCTAGAGATGGTCACTTCCATCCCAGTGCTACTATTGCCCAGGGCTCCATATGGAGTGAGCCCTTTTACCACAGCCGCGTGGTCCTCAGAGCCTGTTCTTCCCTGCCAGGACCGCTGTGCTGGCCCAGCTGCTGCGAAGGAGTGAGGGCAGCCCAGGGAAGAACATGATGGATTCACCCTGTTTTTACCTGAAGTTGAGAAGATTTTCAAATAAACAACACTTCTCAGATTTTCATGTCTTGTTCAATTTACAGAGTCTGGAAATGGTTGTTTTTGTCAGTTTTATAGAATTTCATAATTGCTTTATGGGGAGAGGATTGGCCAACCTTCTCATTTGGCCACAGCTAGAAGAACTGCCCTCTTATTTTTTGTGTTTTTTGGGGTTTTTTTTTTCTTTTTTTGAGATGGAGTCTTGCACTGTTGTTCAGGCTGGAGTGCAGTGGCATGATTTCAGCTCACTGTAACCTCTGCCTCCCAGATTCAAGCAATTCTCCTGCCTCGGCCTCCTGAGTAGCTGGAACTACAGGCTTACGCCACCACACCTGGCTAATTTTTGTATTTTTAGTAGAGACAGGGTTTTGCCAGATTGGCCAGGCTGGTCTCAAGCTCCTAGCCTCAAGTGATCTGCCCGCCTCGGCCTCCCAAAGTGCTGCGATTATAGGCATAAGCCACTGCCCCTGGCAGCTCTTATTTTTTTTAATGACTGTTTTTTATTGTTAGAGATGAGGTCTTGCTATGTTGCAGGCTGGAGTGCAGTGGGTACTCACAGGTGTGATCACAGTACACTACAGCCTCAGCCCCTTGAATAGGTGGGACTACAGGCGTGTGCCACTGCACCCAGCTCTGCCTTTTTTTTTTTTTAGACAGAGCCTCACTCTGTCACCCAGGTTGGAGTGCAGTGGCGTGATCTCAGCTCACTGCAACCTCTATCCCTCAAGCTCAAGCAATCCTCCCACCTCAGCCTCCCGAGTAGCTGGGACTACAGGCATGCACCACCATACCTGGCTAATTTTTTGTATTTTTAGTAGAGATGAGGTTTTGCCATGTTGCCCAGGCTGGTCTTGAACTCCTGAGCTCAAGCAATTCACCCCTGCCCTTGGCCTTCCAAAGTGCTGGGATTACAGGCGTGAGCCACAGCACAGACCTGCCCTCTTATTTTTAATATAACCACAGTATCGTTGTCTCCTCCCCAACCCAAATCAGCATTGATGTCTTAATATCATCAGATGGCCAGTTATATGTTCCAGTTTTCAATTTACTTTTTTTTAACAATTTGTTTAAACCAGGAAGCAAAAAAAAGCCCACACAATGGTAATTGGTTGATATGACTTACTAGTTTCTGTTAATCCATAGGTGTTCTCTCTCTCCCTCTATTACAGTAAATTTGTTGATGAAACTGGCTCGTTTGTCCTGTAGCATTTTCCACACTGGATTTTGCTGAATGCATCTTTGTGGTGTTGTCTTCACGTGTTCCTCTGTCCCCTGTATTTCCCATAAAGTGATTGCTGGATATCGAGGCTTGGTCATATTCAAGCTGTATATGTGTTGCTGTATTTTTCCTTTAGGAGGCACATAATGGGTTTTTCTCACTTTTTGTGACATTAGTAGCTGTTGTTACCCAGTGCCTAGATCCATAAAGGTTGCCAACTATTGATTTCCAATGTTAGCTTTTCTTCTTCATTTATTAGATATAGTACTTCTATGAAGAAAAACTTTCCTTCATCTACAATTTTGGTACCCAGTGGTAGAGTTCATATAGGAAAGTCAGAATTAATGCTTGATTTCATTCACTTTATTTTCCAGTTTCTGAGATAATACATTTGCTTTCTGCTCCTCTAACAGTCACCGATCAGTGGTGGTGATAGTAGTGGTGGTGGTAGTGGTGGTGGTATTGGTGGTGGGGGGGGTGGGGGGGTGGTGGTGGTGGTGGTATTGGTGGTGGTGATGGTGGTGGTGGTAGTGGTAGTAGTGGTGGCGGTGGTGGTGGTGGTGGTGGTGGTGGTGGTGGTGGTATTGGTGGTGGTGGTGATGGTGGTGATGGTGGTGGTGGTGGAGGTGGTGGTGGTGGTGATGGTGGTGGTGGTGGTGATGGTGGTGGTGGTGGAGGTGGTGGTGGTGGTGGTGGTGGTGGTGGTGGTGGTGATGGTGATGGTGGTGGTGGTGGTGGTGGTGGTGGTGGTGATGGTGATGGTGGTGGTGGTGGAGGTGGTGGTGGTGGTGGAGGTGGTGGTGGTGGTGGTGGTGGTGGTGGTGGTGATGGTGGTGGTGGTGGAGGTGGTGGTGGTGGTGGTGGTGGTGGTGGTGGTGATGGTGATGGTGGTGGTGGTGGTGGTGGTGGTGGTGGTGGGTAGTGGTGTAGTTTTGGTGCCATTATGGATTGAAGTTTATTTGCTGTGTTCCTGTCTGTTATATTAGGTGGAAGTTACTCTAGTTGGCTCCTGGGTCCTTTTGACGTGACCTCAGGAGCCTTTAGTACTTGTTCTCTGGCATAACAAGTTGTTCCAGGATCCTTGTATACATTTCTTACCTATAGCCCTTTCTCTCAGGAGGCCCTCCTTCCTTTTTCATCTGAAGGGAGGAGATCACAATATGGGTGTTAGGAGTGCTTGTTGCCACAGGGTAGGGGATTGTCTTGCCTTTTCATTATATGATTATGTTGTGGGAAATACTGTTTCTTTCATGCACAGGCCATTTGGCTATGCTGACACTCTTGGAAACTGGAGTTTTGGTTCTGGGAAATACGTGGCTGACTCTGAGCTGCTGGTCTCTGTAGGGATCTTCTATTTTATAACCTTATTGACAGCGTCAACTCTGCCTCACAGTGGGACGTGTCCTCGAGCTTTAGAAGATCTGATAGAGCATCTCTTTTGGATGTTTTTTCGTTGTCTCTGAACCACGTTCATAACTTCTCACCCTAAACAGACAACTGCTCAGCCCCCTTGGCAGCCTTTTGTCCATGTTGAGAAGGAGCTTGACTTGGAATGCCTTTCATTCATAACCTCCTCAGTATCACATTTCTTTCTGTTAATTTAGCCAGTGTTCTGCATCTTATCTTGTGTTTCTCACCATTTTCTCAGTTATTTTGAACGTCTGCTGAAGGCACGAGGGCCTCATCTGCAGCCTCTTTCCTAGAAAGCCATCTGATACCTGTCAGCGCCTGCTAACTTGAGCAGGTCCATTGGGAAACATGTTTCTATTTCTTGTCAGTTACACTAATGACCATTCCCTGGAGAGCAGAGAGCTCTTCCTACTAGAACTCTGCCTCTCAGCTTCAGAGTCATTGCCTGGGAGCTGTGTGGGGCAAAAGTGAAAGCCCTAAGCCAGGGCCGGGCCAACCGCATTTGAATCTAGTGTTCTCCCTTAGTTAGCCAGGTGACCTTTTCAGAGCAGACAGTGAGTTACCATGAGGCCCAACTGAAAGAAGTGTGAATGAGTTCTCTGCAGAGCATTGTGCAGATGTCACAGGGGATGTGATATCATCATCAGTAACAGCAGCAGTGATGGCCCCTGGAACAGCACCCAGATGGTGGACTCAGACCCCTGGGGAGTGACCCACAGTTCCATGATGGGAGGGACCCTATTTTGTTCAGCACTGTGTGCCCAGCTAGCTCCTAGCATAGGGTTTATGACGGGTTAGTTGCATGCGTGAATGTAGCTATAACTAACTACAGTGCAACAGACACAAAGCAAAATGTGATCAGCAGTATGAGTTTTCTGGTTACACAAGATTTTTCCAGCATATAGGCTATACTGTTGTGGATTACTATCTCATTTTTGGATTTAAGTATTTACAGACCTAAGACTAAAGAGAGAGAGAGAGAAAGCATTCGATGCCCAAACACAGATTGTCATTGACATGGAATTTCAGAAACCTGCTGCCAAGATCCCGGCCGAGATCTGTAGCCCATCTCCAAGGTAGCAGCACCCTGCGCTGCCATGTGCTAAGAAGGGAAACCATGATGAAATGATGAGGGCTTTTTCTCATTCCGTCAGTCTCAGGAAAGCTATGAGGGTTCTGCTGATGGCCAGAGGAAAAGCTAGTAGCGGTTCTTGAGCTTTATAGGTGGAGCTGGCCCTCCTGGGCCTTCCCAGGATGTGGGAAGGACCAACGAGCCCCCAGCCAGAGGCCCCCTGCCCAAAGATAAATGCCACCTTCACACTCAGTGAGGCAGGTGGACACTGACCCTTTGCCACAGACTGGGGTTGTGGAGAGGAGCTTTAGGAGGAACTGGGGCTATTTTGCAAATCAAGGTTCAAGGTTGATGTTAACTGTGCAGGGGTGCGGGTCTGAGGGGTTACCTCATAAACTGGACAGTCGAAACTTTAGCAGCAGTTGAGAACTAAATGTTTCTGGCAATTTCTCGCTTCTCGCACAACAGGCAGGCCCAGGTTTCAGTTGTTGGTCTATACCTCACCGTGGGTGGAAGAGGGAGGTTCAGAAAGTCAGCACTGGAACTCTGGGCACACGCCTGGAACGCAACCACGAAGCCAAGCCCTCCAGGAGTGCATGTGGATCACCCAGAGCGGGTGGGGGTTCTTTGGCATGCTCAGAGCCATGAGCCTAGAGAATTTCCATGGACCATTGAATACCCATCTCAGGCATGTTTTAGCAACTGTCATTTATGGACTATTTTATATAACATGGTCTTTTGCTGATAAACTAATGTTACGTGAAAGTTTATCACAACCAGTCAGCTAAGTGTTGGCAAAATGCCAGCTCCCTCAGGCTTATTAAATACAGAAGCTTCATAGTGATAATTCTCATATTTAACATGCATGTCGAGAATCTTATAGAGCACTTTATGATTGGACAGGATGGAGTTTTGATTGAATTAAGATTGTACTTTTTTAAAGAACAGAAATAGGAAGAAAATAACTTCCTATTTATTAAGCCCAACTGCAGATCCTTAGCCTGCCTGTTCTAGTTTCAGCTCATTGAACCTAGGGTAAAAATCTGAATGTGAAGATGAAAGAGAGAAGCCCAGAAAGGACTAGGTGCAACTGGTCATGCAATTGTGTTTCTCTTCTTTGATCTTATCCATGTCATTGTTTGAAAGGTGGGGCTTTTTCTGCTTTTACTAGAATGAATCAGAATCTGGCACTTACTCCGTCACTTGCAGTATTAGATCCCCCATCTGCCTGGGTCTGAGCCCTGTGCTGATGCAACCCCTGCCACCCAGCCAACCCTTTCCCCTGTCATGTGGCATTCCCCCTCCCTGGGTTGATCCCCATGCAGATGCAGCAGTCTTGTCTCCAAGCCCAAAATTACAATCAGTGTGCCAGGAGAGAGGCTACACCATAGCTGCACGGCTGTTCCTACACCTGCAGACCATCTTCGCTGCCACCCCCTCCCTCCCCACCCCAGATCTCACTTGTCAGCTTACAGGTACTTTGCAAGCATGCAAGGATTTCTGTCTGTGCCACTCACCTGGCTGTGTTGCTGTACACAAATTACTAAGCCTCAGTTTCCTCATCTGCAGAGCAAGTCTAATTGAACCCTCTGCTGAGGCGCTGTTGGGCTTGACTGAAGCCCCCAGCCTCCAGCCTGGTGAAGAGTGAGCAATCAGTAGAAAACAGCCGTAAGGTTGTCCTTCTGCCCTGAGCACCTGGACTCTTGCTCCCGTGGCTTTATGAGTTCTCCAGCTGATTTTCATTTTGGGCCAAATCCTAGCTTATTTCAGTGGAGTAAGTTTAGGAATCTCAGTCTCCGAGAGAGCTGGGGAATGAGGCTTAGAGAGTTTTTGGAGGAGAGGAGAACAATTAGGGAAAGAAAAAGGGCTCTGTGGGACCCAAGAAACAGGCTGTGCTAGGTTTCTTCTGGCCTCTGGTTAGCATATTGACAAACGCTGGTTGGTTTTGATTTCTTAGGCAATTGTTTTTATATATTTATGGATGAATGTAGGTAAAAGAGCTAGGATTTGAACCCAGGTTTTTCTGCCTCGAAGGCCACATTCTAATCCTCACACTCTGCCGTCTTGCCGGGCAGTCGTCGCGGTCAACGGGAGAGTCATTTTGAGGTTTTTCGTGGTGGTTATGTCGGGGGCCAGGGGCTGGGAGGCACCTCCTCTGAGGAAGGGAACGTTTCTCCTGGTTCTGCCTTTGTCTCTGAGCCACTGCCTGCATTTCCACATCACGCACTGGTGGGTGCGTGCTAAGGACGTGGAAACCTGGGTGGGGTGGGGTGGTCAGAGTTGTTTACAAGGAAGATTAGGGCCTCCTGGGCCATCTTTTCGTGCCTGTGCAGAGGCCTGGGGTTGTGGATGGTACGATCAGCCGGTTCCCCTCTGCAGGGAGGACTTCCCCAGGCAGAGGTGAGCTTCAACTCCTGCATGAAGACCGTGGATTAGAATAGGAAAAAGGAATTACAATCTGATTAAGCCTGTCAGAGATAGAAGTGGATTGCTGAGAGAGATTGTGAAGTCCTGTTTCATTCATCTTTAAAAACAGATATGGGGGCCGGGCGCGGTGGCTCACATCTGTAATCCCAGCACTTTGGGAGGCCGAGGCAAGTGGATTACCTGAGGTCAGGAGTTTGAGACCAGCCTAGCCTACATGGTGAAACCCATCTCTACTAAAAATACGAAATAATTAGCCAGACGCGGTGGCAGGCGCCTGTAATCCCAGCTATCTGGAAGGCTGAGGCAGGAGAATCGCTTGAACTCAGGAGGCAGAGGGGCAGATGTTGCAGTGAGCTGAGATTGCACCATTGCACTCCAGCCTGGGCAACAGAGCAAGACTCCATCTTAAAAAAAAAAAAAAAAAGATATGGCGATGGTGATTATGCAGGTGTAGTTGTCAAAACTCCTCGAACCATGCACTTGAAATGTGTGCATTTTACTGCCCGAAAATTGTGGGATGATGTTGTAACATGACTTTTTTCCTTAAATAGCCAATTGCGTTAAACCTGTTTGTTAAATAACAAATAGTTCCATTATGGCCGGGCACAGTGGCTCACACCTGTAATCCCAGCACTTTGGGAGGCCAAGGATGTTTTGCTTGAGCACAGGAGTTCGAGACCAGCTTGGGCAACATAGTGAGACCCCCGTCTCAACAAAAAAATAAAAAAATTAGCTGGGCATAGTAGCGCACATCTGTAGTCCCAGCTACTCGGGAGACCATGGCAGGAGTCGAGGAGGTCAAGGCTGTAGTAAGCTGGGATTGTACTACTGCACTTCAGCCTGGGTGACACAGCGAGACCCCATCCCAAGAAACAAAACAAAACTAATGGTTCCATTATGAAAGACACCTCATTATGTTTTGAGTTCACAAATGATCAGGTAGTTCTTTTTTTTGAGATGGCGTGTCGCTCTGTCGCCCAGGCTAGAGTGCAGTGGCGCAATCTCGGCTCACTGCAACCTCTGCCTCCCGAGTTCAAGTGATTCTCCAGCCTTACCCTCCCGAGTAGCTGGGGCTACAGGTGTGTGCCACTGCCTCCAGCTAATTTTTGTATTTTTAGTAGAGACAGGGTTTCACCATGTTGGCCAGGCTGGTCTCAAACTCCTGATCTCAGGTGATCTGCCCACCTCAGCCTTCCAAAGTGCTGGGATTAGAAGCGTGAGCCACTGCACCTGGCCTGATGGGGTAGTTCCTTGAGACCTTTTGCATAAGAGTGGACAGCCAATCCCCTGCCGTGTCATGTGACAGATTTTCAGCTGTTCTTTACCCTAAAGCTGGTCGGAGGGGCAGTGCCCCTGGAGTCAGATTGCCTGGGTTTCAGCCAGTTTCAGGAAACCTGTGTGACCTTGGATGAGTTAGTTTATTGTACACGCCTCACTGTCCTCTCTTGAAAAATGGGGATAATTATATCTACTTCACGAGGTTGTTACGAAGATACGAAAATTAAATAAGTTAACACAGGAAGAGTTTAGAATTGGACCTAGCACATAGTAGGCTCTCAAACATATTGGCCAGGCCGGGCACGGTGGCTCACGCCTGTAATCCCAGCACTTCGGGGAGGCCAAGGCGGGTGGATCACCTGAGGTCAGGAGATCGAGACCATCCTGGCCAACATGGTAAAACCCCGTCTCTACTAAAAATACAAAAATTAGCCAGGCGCAGTGGCATGTGCCTGTAATCCCAGCTACTTGGGAGGCTGAGGCAGGAGAATCACTTGAACTCAGGAGGTGGAGGTTGCAGTGAGCTGAGATCGTGCCATTACACTCCAGCCTGATCAACAAGAGTGAAACTCCGTCTCAAAAAAAAACATATTGTCCATTTAATAATTGTAATTGGTATCATTAAGTGGCCATTGTTAGTAGCATTTTGTGTTTATTGCGGTCATCGTCACTGTTGCTGTCCAGGCATGGCCAGTTGCAGGCATTGAGTGCAGAGACGGTTGGTTTCTGGCGTGGTCACCTGGCCTTCTCAAGCCTCATCAGCAGCCGATGACAGCCTGTCTCCGGCTTCAGCAGTCCTTTTGTTTTTCTCAGCAAAAAATATGTATTTGCCCCATTCCTTCAGAATTCTTGATTTGGACAGGCTGCCTTGGTCTTACATCGCCCCTATTTTGTCCTGGCCTAGGCCAACACTTCCTAAAATACCATTCCCTGAGGCGCCAGGCCACCCTGGGTCCTGCAGGATTCCTGCCTGGCAGAAGGAAAATCACAGGAAAGAAGGAGGGGAGAAACAACCCTTACCTGATGCTTTACGCGCCTGTGAGCGCAAGGCCCTGTACAAATATTGTCCAAGTGGAGCCTCCCGACTGCTATGAAAATGCGCCGCTTGCTGTGTTTTGTGGATGGAGGACCTGCAGCCCCCTAGCTGGAGCAGAGAGACCCCTGCTACCCTGCATTCTATTCTGGGCCCTGCATGGCTCCAGGTTTCCAGTCCTTCTTTTTGCTTGCTGGCTCAGGAAAGTCTGACCTTTTCCCGGACTCACCTCCTGGCCGTGTTTCCTGTCCTGGGCATCGTGAGTCCCCCTCCCTGCATAGCGTGCACAGCATGGTTGCTTCCAGCCACCAGGGCTGCTGCTGCCTTTTGTTGCAAAGGGCTCCTTCCCATGTGTTTCCACACAAGCATCGCAGCCTGGGTCCTTAGGCCCTCCCAGAACCAGAAACCCAGGGGAAGAACATACCAAGATACCCCTGGGAAGAGAGGCAGGAAGGGCTGTCCAGGCAGAGAGCAGTGAGTGCAGAGGCCTGAGTGAACCCGTGTGTTCAGTGAGGAGCAACGTGGCTAGAAGGCTGTCCTGGTGGGCTTTCTGGGCCCTTCCAAGGAATTGAGTCTTCATCCTTCAGTGATTGGGACAGGGAGGGGCTTATAAGATTTCATAAAATTGTATGAAAAGAATTTGTAGGGGGCAGTGGCTCACTCCTGTAATCCCAGCACTTTGGGAGGCCAAGGCAGGCAGATCACTTGAGCTCAGGAGTTTGAGACCAACCTGGTCAACACAGCGAGACCCCAACTCTACAAAAAAATGTTTTTAAATTGGCCAAGTGTCATGGCACACGCCTGTAGTCCCAGATACTTCCCTAGGATCACTTGAGCCCAGGAGGTTGAGGCTGCAGTAAGCTGTGATCATACCACTGCACTCCAGCCTGGGTGACAAAGCAAAACCCTGTCTCAAAAGAAAAAAAAAAAGAGTTCATAAAAATTTATAAATCGCTGGACGCAGTGGCTCACACCTTAATCCCAGCACTTTGGGAGGCCGAGGCGGGCGGATCACGAGGTCACGAGATCGAGACCATCCTGGCTAACACGTTGAAACCTCGTCTCTACCGAAAATACAAAAAATTAGCCAAGCGTGGTGGCACGCACCTGTGGTCCCAGCTACTCGGGAGGCTGAGGCAGGAGAATGGCGTGAACCCGGGAGGCAGAGCTTGCCGTGAGTCGAGATCGCACCACTGCACTCCGGCCTGGCGACAGAGCGAGACTCCGTCTCAAAAAAAAAAAAAAAAAAAAAAAATTATAAACCTTTACCAGGTTTTATCATCTGGCCAGATGTGTGTTTTTCAAAAGATAGCTTTGGAAGTGGCAAAGGATTCATTGAAAAGCAGATTTTTCTCTTGGAAATAATTCATTAATCTGGTGATTTTGTCTAAATCTGTGGTGGCAGCTACCGTTATCCTTTGTAACGAACAAAATGTGTATTGTTAACATCTGAAATGTAATTTGTCATCTTTTTATAGATGGGAATTTCTTAGCCATAGGCTCACATGACAACTGCATCTATATATATGGCGTTAGTGACAACGGGAGGAAGTACACGCGAGTGGGCAAGTGCTCGGTAAGCGCTGACAGTGGACCTGTCGCTTCTCATGCACTGCGTATAGTTTAACTACCGTGGAACAGTGTTGGCAGGGACTTCTAAGGCCAATGAAATGAAGACAGTGTTTTACCCTCCCAGGGTCATTCCAGCTTCATTACTCACCTGGACTGGTCTGTAAACTCACAGTTCCTCGTGTCAAATTCCGGAGACTACGAAATCCTCTACTGTGAGTACCACCCCGGGGTTGTATGAAGTCTCGATCTCAGAAAGCGTTCACTCTGAGATCCAGGGGGCCTCTGTGAGAACCCACCTCCTGTATGACTTAGGCACGTGCCATCATCTCTAGGTCATGGTTTCCGCCTCTGTAACGTAGGGGAGTGGGGCTGCGTGGCTTCTTGGGTCCTTCCCGGTTTCCTGCTGACTGTGAGCCCCTATGGAGGAGAAGATCCAGGGCCTGCCCCAAGGGGAAGAAGGCCAAGCCCTGCAGAGGGGGGCTTGGGGCAGGCGGATGTGGCAGAAGGGGGCGGGTCCGGGTGGATGTGGCCGAAGTGGGTGGGTCCGGAGCTGTCCAGGCAGGAGGAGGGCCTGTAAAGGTGTTATCCTCACAGGAGGGACCATGAAGTCCATCCCCGCTGGGTGGACGGCAGCCCTGGGACCCCTCCTCCTCCCCTCCCAACCTGACCCTGGCCAGTCTCTGGGCCCAGGCAGTGCTTGGGAACAGCGAGGATGATCGTGGCGGGCACTTACAAGCACATCCTCATGCCACGCACTGGTTCCTTAGACACCCACCAGGCACCTGCCACGTGCCCCACTCTGGGCCACGCAGGGCGGCGCGTGGGCACAAGGAAGGCCTCGCTGCTCCCCTGCTGGAAGTTACTGGAAAGCGCAGCGCTCCTCCTCTGCGTCTTCTCAGATGACCTACAGCACTTTCTGGCTTGGCCGCATGATGCAGGGAAGGGCTCAGAGCCCAAAACACAGGCCCCAAGAGCCCACGGGGGTGGGCGGGTCACACTCACTTGAGCGTCCCCACTTGTTGAGGACCAGGACAGGCAGGACCACTGGCGGCAGGGAAAGCAGGGCAGTGTGTACCGAGACTGAGCTCGCTCCAGTGCGGAGGGCGGCCGCACCGTCTCACCTCCTCCCTGTCCAGCTCCTGCCTGACACAGGCACAGGAACGGTATGATTTTCAGGGACAAGCCCTGGGTCTAGAGCCTTCTCAGATGTGGTCTCGTACTCTGCTGGTGAGAGCTCATTTGGGGAACACACAAGTCCCCTGGGAGGCCCTTGGTTTGACTGGTTTCAATAACCTCCATTCCTGACACTGATCTGAAGGGACTGAGGGGTATAGGGAGGCGAGGGGGCCTGACCGCAGAGGCAGAGCTGTGTTCAGGGGCTCGGGTGGGGGTGGGCAGCAGGCGGAGACCCAGGAACCAGAGGCTAGAGAAGCCAGACTGTGGGAAACAGACTTGGACGGAGATGGGAAAAAAACAAAGAAGAGGGCACCTCCACCCAGGCCCATGGGCTCGGGCTCAGTTCCAGGGGAACTCACATCTGTGCACACGTGGTTCCTGCCCGACTGGGAAGTGGAAGGTCTCCCTCTCCAGGAAGGGCTCTGTACCCAACGGGGCACAGCTCTGGGGGCTCAGCCTTGCTTAGGGGAGGGGTGGGGCCTTGGCTTAGATGTTGCCAGACTGTTTGCTTTTTGCAGGGGTTCCCTCTGCCTGTAAGCAAGTCGTAAGTGTGGAAACTACAAGAGACATTGAATGGGCTACCTATACCTGCACTTTGGGATTCCATGTTTTTGGTAAGTTTGCTGCAGATTTCACTGGTTCCAACAAAAGAGTGTCTCCTTTTAAAATATTTCTTCAGTTGCTACGGAGTCTCATGGTCACCAGTCTTGTCAGATTGCTCGGCTGCTACGGGAGGCCCATGAGACACACCTCCTGCCGCACCCTGGGGTAGGGCCTGGGCTTGCCTGGCCGTGGCCCACTGAGAAGAACCAGAGAGATGGGTTTTTAACCCTTCTCCACTGTACAGGGCAGCAGGTCCTAAGATAATTCCCTGGAACCCTCTCCTATCAGGTTGTGCCACATGGACCTAGGTGGACCAGATGGCACTCAGTCAACTTACCATTTGTGAGGGTTATTATTTATATATTTTTTGTTCTTAAACTAAAAATTTCACTTTCTTCAACATTCACTTTAGGAATATTTTCATAAGTGAACTAAATTAAAGGGCTGCAAATTAATAGAATTTTTAAAGATAGTGTTTATTGTCTCTTTACGTAAGACTACAAGTCTTGTGAGAATTTGCAGTTTTGTGGTGTTCAGTGCTGAGGTCCGGAGGTTCACTCCAGAGCTCCCAGTCGAAAACCCAACGTGCATCCAGCCCTCTCCTAGCCACAGGTATTGTTGAAAGGGTTTCCCCGACAATGGTCAGAAGAGGGCGTCCCCCACCCACCCATTCTCCAGGCCCACCTGGGCTCACCCGACAATGGTCAGAAGAGGGTGTCCCCCACCCACCCATTCTCCAGGCCCACCTGGGCTCAGGGATGCAGAGCCTGGAGCCAGTAATGATGGGCACAGCTGCCAGGCTGCCCCAAGCAAGCAACAGCCACAGTGAGTGACCCCAAGAAACATGCGCACACCCAGGGTTAAAAGGCCTTTGGAGAGACCCACCCATGTAGAGTTACAGCAATAACAAGGAAACTGCAGGCTTGAGGACAGGGCAGCTTCCCACAAGATGCTTCAGAGATCAAGGAGAGGTGTCACTTTGGAACTGGGGTTCCTGGTACTGTCTGCCTTGGCCTCAAGATGAGGCCTCAAAAGACCTGGCAGCCCGGAAAGCTTGTCTTTGCTCCCCTTGCACAGCAGAGCATCAGAGGGTCTCCGAGACTGGCCTGAGTGAGAGGAGACTGGGCGCACAGCGAGAGGCCAGGAACTGAGGCTATTGTGCTTTTTTGACCCTTGTTTCTAAAGCTGGACTTCAGGCAGTTTCATGTTCAGGACCGTTCAGTGGGCGCTTCCTGCGCCATGTGGCCCTGTGGCCCCTGGTGTTTCCAGCGCCCTGTTTGTGGTCTTTGTTTTAGGAGTGTGGCCAGAAGGCTCGGACGGAACCGACATCAATGCCGTCTGTCGGGCCCATGAGAAGAAACTCCTGTCAACAGGCGACGACTTTGGCAAAGTGCACCTCTTCTCATACCCCTGCTCGCAGTTCAGGGTAAAGGACTTGTTTCTTCACTAATCTTATCCCCCATGGGGCATGCACGTACACCCGACCTGTTTGGAGACTAAGTGGAAATGGGCTGTGAGCGACTGCTGCCAGCCACAAAGGCAGATGTGACTCTGTTCTTTGCGCCCTGAGCACTTCCAGCCGCCCTTAGGGAAACCCCAAGCCCCACAGGACCCACAAAGCCGTTCAGAGCTGCTCATCCACCTCTGCAGCCCCACAGGCTCACGACCCCGCCCTCCCCCACGGCTCCCTTGCTCCGGCCCTGCTCAGCCGCGCCAGCCCTGAGCCCTGGGACGCCCTTCTTCATCCTCCGTGATCCTGACCCTGGAGACCCCTCACCCTCAGCCCCGGGCATCTGGTTAGGCCCACCTTTGGGGCGACCTCATACCTGGCACCTCTGATACTGAGCATATCTCTCGGCTGAGGGCGGTCATTTGCTCGTGTCTGTCCCCTACCAGGCCACGAGGACTGTGGGCTTTGTTTCTGTGTCCCTTCTGTGTCACACACAGAGCAGGTTCCCAAGTGAGAGCTGCCGAGCGGAGGGCGAGTAAAGGAATTAAGGCATGCAGTGAGAATTCAAGCACTTTCCCATCCCAGATGGTTCGCCTTGTAGTAAAGGAAGCTTTCCCCCGTATCATTCCCTCCAGGCTCCAAGCCACATCTACGGCGGGCACAGCAGCCATGTCACCAATGTCGATTTCCTCTGTGAAGACAGCCACCTCATCTCCACGGGCGGGAAAGACACAAGCATCATGCAGTGGCGCGTCATTTAGTACCCACCGAGAGCTGTGGGGAGCAGCATGGGCAAGGAAGACACAGACTCGCATTACCCTTGGTCACTGTGATTTCTGTTTTGTTTAAAAAATTCTTACAAACCTCAGGAAAACTGTGCCCTCCGCCGGCTACCTTAGCTTAGCGTGTCAGCGGGCGCCACAGCGGATCAGCGGTTCCGTGTTCACTTTTGTTGTACAATATATGACACAGTGCACATTGAATACCAACAAGGTTGCAACGTTTACATTATAGCCACATCAACAGAAGTAACTGGTATATTCTTAGTAACTTTTCTATGAACTCTTCAAAAATGGTCACAGAATGCCTTTTAAAACATTGTATATAATCTTCACTGTTTCACCATCTAGCTTGCTAAGTCAAATATTTATGATGATAATGAGGTACTGAACCACGATGGCTGTTGAGGAATTGGTCCTAAAAGGACAGATCACTTCAGAAGAGTGAATAACTGATTTGCACAGCTGAATCAGGAGACACAAAGATGAGACTGTGTTTGGTTACATTTTCCAAAGTTTCATTGCATTCTCCCTTGGGGAGGCTGTGAGAGAGGGCTTGTATCCCTCTTGTGCTAAGCAGACTCTACTCCTAACTGACTTCAATATTTCAGCAGGGTACACAGGCGTTTCCAAGTTTCAGTGACACCGTCCTGCCTAACCAGATGCGGTCAGCCTCTTCACACCCACCTGGCTTGCATCCCCCATCCCTTGTTCACACGCCCTGATTCACGGTGAGACATTTTGCCACCTTCTTGTGTATATTACTTGGCATGAGATGATATTGTACTTGTATAGGATTCTAGCAATTCATAATAAATATGTAAGACTAGGCTTTACTGTCTTATGCTTATGGACATTGTATATTTGTATTTTATGACCAAGTAGACCAAGTCAGAAAGATCTCTCTCGAGCGTACCATAAACCTGCAGAGAGAAGTCTCGAAAGGCTCCACCAGGTACCAAGGGCAGCTGCTTTTCCTGTCTTTTGTGCATGGGCGACCCATTACAGTATGAGATAAGATTGAGTTCTGATGCGTTAAACGGAGGTGGCAGAAATTTGTCAAGAAGGCCTTATCCATTTCGATTGTGTGACAGATTGAAATTTATTGTTTACATTGGGGAATGTATCTCAAATTTTTAAATAGAAGAGTAATAAACAGACTTTAAAGCAAATATTAAGATTTTTACTCATTCAAGGCAAGTAAATGAATGGAATTATCTGAGCTCTATGGCACTGGTTGTTTAGAGTGACTGATGAAGTGCAACTTTCAAAAACATTTTTGATGACATCACCAGCCTACTGCAGAAGTGCAGGGCACCAGTAAACACCATGTATTATTGAAGATGAATCTGTTTGTATGTATCCTTGTCAAATATATTCTATAATGAAATAAAATCTGAAAAGTGGATTTCTTATTGACCTATATTCATGAAAGCATATAAATTAAAATATTTAAAATTAGATATGATTCACACTATATTCTGTTTCATATGCAGATTTTATTCTCACCTGGGCCATTTGCAGATGAGACTGTAGTTTGCAGATGAGACTGTAGTTTGCAGATGGCGTGGAAGCATTCATCAGGGGAGATAACCATAAAGGATTTGGCCTAATTACCATACTCAATTGTCAGTTTACGTGGTTTTGTGAATACTGGCAAAAGCAATTGTTTTTAAATTAACAATGGAGAGAATGATAAGATGAGGGAAGGAAAAGGCATTCATTATTGACTTACATGTCAGTAAGGTCTGCTTTTATTTCTATGTACTCCTGTTTGCCAAGCTCAATAATGGACAAAGGATACAAACACACACACATCTACTATTTTAGATAAATGTACTGTTATATATATATGTAAACTACTATTGCTCTCTTTATAATGATTAATCACTTTATTATGAATGAATGAATGAATTTGATGGATTTAAAATGGCTTCATTTCATTTTAATTGAAATTCTTTAACCAGTGCAGTATTAACCTTGCAGGTGTTCACTGTTCACTCACTCACGCGTTAACACAGCGAGCAATGACCCTGTGCCACTGCTCAGCACCTCTCAGGCAAGCAAGGCCTTGAACCTCCAAGATTCTCCCGGAACGAGAGGCTCAGGAACCGCGCAGCTCTTAGCCCAGCTTCCCTGCAGCACGTAAGATGAGGAAAGATGAAAGGAAAGGAAAGATTACGATTTATTTGTAGTTACAATAATTAAGTTTGTTAGCATGAGAGAATTTTCCAGTGAACAAAAAGCCCTCAGGGGATTTTTTTTTATTTACCATTTGAAACTTTGTGAAGATGAAATTGTTGCTTTTGCAGAGTAAAGTCTCCGTGGCAGTCCTGTTTAGATAAGGTCAAGTATCAAGGGAACGCTGGATTTCCTCAAGAACAGGGTAGGTGCTGGCGTTCACATGCTTCAAAGCTTGCAAAAGAGCACAGTTGACCCTTGAACAACACAGGGGTTAGGGGTGCTGACCCCACACGCAGTCAAAGATCTATGTATAACTTTTTACTTTCCAAAAACCTAACTACTGATAGCCTACTGTTGACTGGATGCCTCACTGAGAACAATTTCCACATATTTTGTCAATATGTATTATATAGTACACGCTTGCAATAAAGTAAGCTAGAGAAGATAAAATGTTAAGAAAATTATAAAAGAGGCCAGGCACAGTGGCCCAGCCTGTAATCCCAGCACTTTGGGAGGCTGAGGTGGGAGGATCACTTGAGCCCAGGAGTTCACAACCAGCCTGGGCAACACAGCAGGACCCCATCTCTACCAAAAATTTTAAAAAGTAGCCGAGTATAGTGGTATGTGCCTGTAATCCCAGCTACTCCTGGAGGCTGAGGTGGGAGGATTGCTTGAGCCTGGGAGGTCGAGGTTGCAGTGAGCCTGGAGCAGACCACTGCACTCCAGCCTGGGTGACAAAATGAGACCCTGTCTCACTCTGGGGACTCTGAAGGCTGACAGCCTGCTGCCGCCTGCCTCCAGGGCCTGGGAAGTTGATTTGAAGAGTGACACTACCAGGGCAGGGAGGCCATCTGTCATTCTGCGGGTGTTTGTTTGGGGGATTTTGTAGGCTTGTGACAGCCTGCAGGGAAAGCAGGGCTATTTGATAGATACACTGAGGCTTGGAGAAGGAAATAACTTCCCCAAGACAGGCACTTGTTCCAAACTTGTCTTAATGACATGTGCTGGGCGCTGGGAATATAAGGACGGGCAAAACCACACCAGTGCCTGCCCTGGGGCGCCTACATGGCATCAGAAGAGCCAGAGGTTAGCAGAACGCATGCCCAGCCGCGTGCTAGATGACCACCATATGAGCCAGGAAGGAATTGAGAGCATCTAACTGGAAGACCCGAGTGAGTATGGGGACTCCGGAAAGTTTCCCTGGCAGAAAGAGAAGGAAATGACCCGGGAGAGCGGGGAGAGAGGCACTGGAGGCTGAGGCCAACACTCACAAAACCCTTTTGAGAGGGAAATTCAAGAGCACAGGGTAGGGGCACAGGAGTCCAGGGCAGTTTGTGAGAGGCAGGGCACGGGGGGCATGTTAAGGGCTTTATTCCAAATCCCAACAGCAAAGGGGGGCCGCTGGTGGGTTAGGCAGGGAAGGGTTCCCACTGCAATTCTGAAAGGGCTTCCAGGCCGGGGGCTGATGGGTGGGGGCTTTACTGTCATCTCAGTGGGCAGTGATGGTGGCGTGGAGTGGGGAGGTGGGAGCACTGTCCCAGAGAGGTTTGTGGGGTGGCGTCGGCAGAGCTCGCAGGTGGAGTGGATGTGGGCGGGGCTGAGTCCAAGGTCCCTGACTGCTTCTCTGGTGGGATGACAGTGCCAAGAGCTAAAATGCAGATCACTGACCGTCTGAAGGAGGGTAGTAAGGCCTGGAACAGGTGAAGCGAGTTGACATCCAACTGCAAGGGCAAAGTAGGCATTCGGCTTTGCAGGCCCAGCACAGACATCCTGTGGGAGGTGGACACGGGAGGCTCTCCCCGGAGGCTGGTTTTGGGAGCCAAGGTGTGCTTGAGATTGTAGGTTGCTCAACCCAGGCCAAAAGAGGCTCCCAAGCCAGCTTGGGGGACTCCAGAATCCAAGGGCAGGTAAGTGGGCTGCCGGAGAGGAGCGAGAGCCAGGAGGGCCATGGTGGAGCAGGAGACAGTCCCACACGTGGAGGATCTTGCGTCTGCAGCAGCAGGGCAGCTCGATGCAGTGCTTGCCAGGAGCCAGTGTGGACTCTGCACTGGCTTAGCAACCGGCATTCCAGCATCTCCATGCGCAGGCAGTGCCAGGCAGGAGATCCAGGCAAGGTGGGGACAGCCTCAGCCACGTAGGGAAGAGAGAACATGAGGCCACGGGTCGCACTGGGCTGTCAGCCCAGTGGGGGCGGGGGGTGTGGAGGTGGAGGAAGCTTCCAGGCCGGTTGGAACTGGGGAGAGGCAAAGTTCAGTGGATTCTTGGCATTGGTAGATCTTAGGTCCTGGCCGCCGGGGTGAGAGGGACTCCCTGGCAGGGGCTGTCTTTGCTTCACTGGAAAGCCCATTCTGGCATCTCCCCAGCCCCCCACATTTTTTTGAATGATTACTCCCACGCCCAAAGGTTGGCTATTCCATTCATTAGCCATCTCTTCTGTGGTTTGGGAACAGGCTGCTGTCATCCTATCTTACAGGCACAGGAGCGCATAGGAAAGGGTAGATGGGGATGGTCCAATCCACAACTAGGGGGACAGGTTTTGGTGAAAAGGAGCTAGGGAACATGCGCTTGATGCAAGGTGAAAACTGACTCCAGACCTGTTCTTCCTGCAGATTCTCTTTTTTAAAAAAAACTTTGGCCAGGCGTGGTGGCTCACGCCTGTAATCCTAGCACTTTGGGAGGCCGAGGCAGCAGATCACCTGAGGTCAGGAGTTTTGAGACCAGCCTGGCCAACATGGTGAAACCCAGTCTCTACTAAAAATACAAATTAGCCGGGTGTGGTGGCACATGCCTGTAATCCCAACTACTTGGGAGGCTGAGGCAGGAGAATCGCTTGAACCCAGGAAGCGGATGTTGCAGTGAGCCGACACCACAACACTGCACTCCAGCCTGGACAACAAGAGCGAAACTCAGTCTGAAAAAAAAAAAAAAAAAACTTTACAGAAAATTTCAAACATACACAAAAGTAGAGAGAGCCTCTCACCCAGACTAAAAATGATCAGCGTACTCACCTGGCAGGGGAGATGCCGTGATCACGAAAGTGGTCTTCCTGGGGTGAGGCTTATCCACTGCACTCCAGACGTGCTGACCCCTGCAATTTCCCCAAAAGTGGGAAACTCGGCTGCGTCATCTGTGGTCATGGGGGCTGTGTTCATGCTTTCCCCTGGTTAAAGAAAAAAAAAATCAAACATTTAGAAAATCTTGTTTCCTCTGTCTCCCCTAACTTTTGGGGGAGATGGAGTTTTTGTTTTTGTTTTTGTATTTTTGAGACAGAGTCTCGCCCTGTTGCCCAGGCTGGAGTGCAATGGCATGATCTCATCTCACTGCAACCTCCGTCTCCCAGGTTCAAGCAATTCTCCTGCCTCTGCCTCCCGAGTAGCTGGGATTACAGGCACGCACCACCACGCCCAGCTAACTTTTTGGTATCTTTAGTAGAGACAGGATTTCACCATGTTGGCCAGGCTGGTCTCAACTCCTGACCTCGTGATCTGCCCACCTCAGCCTCCCAACGTGCTGGGATTACAGGTGTGAGTCACCGTGCCTGGCCAAGATGGAGTATTTTTTAAAACAAGCCTACAGGACTTTGAGACCAGCCTGGGCAATATACCAAGACCTCATCTTTGCAAAAAACTAAAAACTCAGCTGAATGTGGTAGAGTGCACCTGTAGTCCCAGCTACTTCAGGGGCTGAAGAGGGAAGGTCGCTTGACCCCAGGAGGCTGCAGTGAGCTGTGATTGCGCCACTGCACTTCAGCCTGGGTGACAGAGCAAGACTTTGTCTCTAAAAAAAAAAAAAAAAAAAAAAAAAAGCAAGTCTAAGCCACCATGTCGTTTCACCTATAAATACTTCAGTCTGCCGCTGTGGTGAAGACACTTTGTGTGAGGACACCATGACATCATCACAGCTGACAAACTTGATGATTTCAGTTTCTCGGGCTGTCAAGCCTGATGCTGTGTCTCAGAGCCTGGCTGCACAGGAGCCTAGAACAGCTGCCTGGCCTCCCTGCTGAGCAGTTCAGGGTCGGGTGTCGAGCGTGCAGCCCCCAGTTCTGAACCCTTCTCCAGAGCCCAATTCTTCCCCCCTGACCCCGCTGCTCGATGCCTAGTGGCATCCCTGCCCCTCCCCATCTCCTGCAGACGGGATGCTCAGTGCTGTCTGAAACCTGGGCTCCTTCCATCTCCTGCCGGATCCCTGGCTGTGCTTTAGGCCACCTCAGGAGACCCCCTTCTGGGCCAGACAGCCTGGATCTTCCCTACCTTGCTGGCAAGCCAGACCGGACCACAGAAGCCTTTCGGAGTACCAAGTTCCCTCTTGAAGGAAGGAGGCTTGTTTAAGGGGAGCCTCCCCTGCAGGAAGTCCGTGCCCTCCTGGGGCGTTCCAGGGGGTCCGCAGGTCAACTCTAAGTTTCAATAAAAATGGGGCACACGCGCACACCACCCTGCGCTAGGGAGCTGGGGCGGGGCTGCGGGTAGCACACACTTTCTCGCTGACTGCCCCGGATCTCAGGGGACCCCGGCGTGCGGGAAGCCGGAGGGGACGTGAGATTCAGGGGCTCTGGAACACAGGTGACGCCTGGGCTTATAATGCGGGCCAGTTAAGAACAAATTTGGCTATTTAGGCTGAAAACACGAGTAGCTGCTCTAGCAGACTGAATAAGTAATTATGAAAAGACCTTGAACTTGGGTTATAAATTGAAAACCTCCCCTTCCCAAGCCCCCTCCAGCCCCGCGGCCAACTGCAGGTGCGCCACCTGGTGGCAGAAGAGCAGAGCACCGCCCCTCTCTCCAGCTTGCCAGGGCTGATTCTGACCTGGGGAGGGTTGGGGTGTGGAGAGAGAAAGGGAAACTCTAGTTGACTTTCTGGGTGGGGCGTATGTTTCAACTGACCTTCTGAGAGAGCTTTCAGAGGTTCTTGGAGAACCCCAACGTTGCTGATCGCCTCTCAGCTGCAGTCCCCTGGACCTGAATGAAGGTGTTCTGTTTAGGTGCGGCCTCCTTCTGCAGCCCTGAAGCACCGGGAGGGCTGCCTCCATCGGCCTCCTTCCTGCGGAGATCCCACCGCCCTCCGGGGAAGCCCGCTAGACAGGATCTTAGACGACCTTGCTTGGATCCTTGCTTGGAGGTTCACATCTGGTCTCAGGGGACACTTGTGCCTCCCACACCCACACCTTGCACCAGTGGGTGGGCAGTTACTGCCTTCCACATGCAGCCTTCTCTGGGCAGCTGGCGCTTTTGAGGCACTGGTCCACAAATCGCAGATGGCACACCTCAAGCCCTCCAAGTGGCTTAGGCAGAAGTACCCTCCCTGGTCCTCCCTCAGGAGAAGCAGGGTTGGAATCAGCAGCTCAACTTTCTCCCAAAGAAATCCTCCTTGCAAATATTACTTCTGAAAATGTCTAATTCCCAACGCTTTAGTACTCTTATCGTGGATGAGGATGCCCAGGAGGTGTCTCGGGAACCTCTTTTGTAACTGCTGCTCATGGTCTAACAGTGCCTCTGGAAGACACATCTATTGGATCTTGGCTCCTCGGCTGAACGCTCATTTCAACATCCAGTTACATAACCACAAACATTATTGCACAAGTTTTTTGTACATGTTTGCAAGAAATTATCTGGGATCCTACCTGGAAATGGGACTACTGATTTTCTGGGGCATGCATTAAATATTGCCAAACCATTCTCCACAGCAGCTCCACTGGCAGCCTGGGAGTCTCTGTTGCTCCACTTCCTCATCCATATTAGGAATTGTCATTTCATCTCATCTCATACAGACCCGAGAAGCAGGATCCATCGCCCCTCTTTGAAGAGAAGAAAGAGGGTATATTAGGCTGTTCTTAAACTGCTATAAAGAAATACCTGAAGGCCGGGTGCGGTGGCTCATGCCTGTAATGCCAGCACTTTGGGAGGCCGAGGCAAGCAGATCACTTGATGTTAGGAGTTCCAGACCAGCCTGGCCATGGTGAAACCCTGTCTCTATAAAAAATACAAAAAAATTAGCTGTGCATGGTGACCCATGCCTGTAATCCCAGCTACTTGGGAGGCAGAGGTGGGAGAATGGCTTGAACCTAGGAGGCAGAGGTCGCAATGAGCCGAGATCACCCCACTGCACTTCTGCCTGAGCAACAGAGTGAGACTCCGTTAAAAAAAAAAAAAAAAAAAGAAAGAAAGAAAGAAAAGAAGAGAAAGAAAGAAAAGGAAATACTCGAGACTGGGTAATTTATAAAGACAAGATGGCTGGGCATGGTGGCTCACACCAGTAATCCCAGCACTGTGGGAGGCCGAGGTGGATGGATCATTTGAGGTCAGGAGTTCGAGACCAGCCTGGCTGAAATGGTGAAACCCTGCCACTACTAAAATTACAAAAATTAGCTGGGCATGGCCAGGCACGGTGGCTCACGCCTGTAATCCCAGCACTTTGGTAGGCCAAGGCAGGTAGATCACGAGGTCAGGAGTTCGAGACCAGTCTGGCCAATATGGTGAAACCCCATCTCTACTAAAAATACAAAACTTAGCCAGGCACGGTGGAGCGCACCTGTAGTCCCAGCTACTCGGGAGGCTGAGGCAGGAGAATCGCTTGAACCTGGGAAGTGGAGGTTGCAGTGAGCTGAGATCATGCCACTGCACTCCAGCCTGGGCGACAGAGCAAGACTCTGTCTCAAGAAAAAAAAAAGAAAAGACGTTTAACGGGCTTATGGTTCTGCAGGCTGTACAGGAAACACGGTGCCAGCATCTGCTTGGATTCTGGGGAGGCCTCAAAGCAAAGAGCTTTTATTCAAGGCAGAATGTGAAGTGGGAGCAGACAGTTCGCATGGCAAAAGCAGGAGCAAGAGACAGCGGAGAGGAGCAGGTGCCACATGCTTTTAAACAACCAGATCTTGCAAGAACTCACTTGCTATCACGAGGAAGCACCAAGGGGATGGTACTAAAACATGAGAAGTCCACCCCCGTGATCCAGCCACCTCCCGTCAGGCCCCACCCCCGTGATCCAGCCACCTCCCGTCAGGCCCCACCCCCGTGATCCAGCCACCTCCCGTCAGGCCCCACCCCCGTGATCCAGCCACCTCCCGTCAGGCCCCACCCCCGTGATCCAGCCACCTCCCGTCAGGCCCCACCCCCGTGATCCAACCACCTCCCGTCAGGCCCCACCCCCGTGATCCAGCCACCTCCCGTCAGGCCCCACCTCCAACACTGGGGATTCCCATTCAACATGAGACTTAGCAGGAGCACATAGCCAGTGTATCAGAGGGTTAGAGAGACTGAGGTACTTGCCCCAGGTCACTCAGTAAGTTGGTAACAGAGCTAAGGGTGGAACTCCCAGTTCTCACAGCTACATTCTGTGCTGGCGTTCTCAGCCTGGTGTCTTCAGAGCATTATTAGAGTGGGTGCTGCTAGAGTTTCAAATAATTTGAGACTGTGCTGCACACTGCACATGACAGAGAGAGATGTGAGCGCCAGTTGCCTCTGAAAGGCATAGGAAGGTTATACATTTGGGCATTTCCCCATCTCGAGCATCAGACACCTTTGCTCCTAAGGCATTAGTGATTGGCCCAGGGATCAATGTTCCACACATCCATCTTGGGAAATGCTGTGGGAGAAGGTTAATCATACAGAGGTGGCCCGGCATGGTGGCTCATGCCTGGAATCCCAGCACTTTGGGAGGCGGAGGCAGGCGGATCACCTGAGGTCAGGAGTTCGAGAGCAGCCTGGCCAACATGGTGAAACCCCATCTCTACTAAAAATACAAAAATTAGCCGAGCGTGGTGGCGGGTGCCTGTAATCCCAGATACTTGGGAGGTTGAGGCAGGTGAATCGCTTGAACCCGGGAGGCGGACGTTGCAGGGAGCCCAGACTGCATCACTGCACTCCAGGCTGGGTGACAGAGTGAGACTCCATCCCTGCCCCGCACCCCCCAACCCCCGCAAAAAAAGAATGTGGTTATAACATTTCAGCTTATAACATTGGGACGATTCCTCCCTCCTTACCAGGACCGAACTAGGAAATGGCCAGACTTCCTGTCATGGTAAGACTGATGTCACATGCTCAGTGACATTTCTGAGATTCTTTTGGCCAAATGGGCTTCAGAATCACTTAGGTTCTCCCAGGCCCTCAGACTGTGGCGACTGAAAATAGAATGGACTGTGATCACCACCACACTGCCCAGCTGCCCCTTGACGCCCATGGGGTTCCTCTGCACGGGGTTCCCCTGTTTTCATGTGGCTTATTTTACTCTGATTCACACAGAGGAGGCAGGTTTAGAAACACAGCATCCGTTTGTCTGCATTTAAAACAATCCTTGGGAGAAGCAGGCAGCAGCCCTGTAGTCCTGGCCACAGTGGCAGCTGAGGTAGCCCCTCCTCACCTTCAATCACTGCTCCTCCATTTGAAAGCATTCTCAGAAACTGATGCTACAGGAAAGGCCTCTACCTTGTTCTGGCAAGTTCCCTCCTGCACTTCTTTCCCAGGCTGAGGCAGCTCCAGGGCTCAGACGTCAGCCAGAAGTAGGGGAGGGAGAGGACTCAGCCAGACATAGGGATCTGGGGTCCAGAGGGCAGCCGCACAGCCACCACGCTCGTCTGCCATGCTCGTGATACCTGCCCACCCCATAGCAGAGATGTTTCTGTTAACCACTTATAGAATGGTGGGGCTGCAGTGACGCTCAGGGGTCGTCTTGGGGGAGCATCTCCCAAAGTATGTTCTGTGAAACCCAATTCCAAAGCATGTTAATAGCCCCTGTGTTGGGGAGGCACTGAGCTAGACGCATTAATATGCCCTGTGAGTCGAGAAGGGCTATTGTGTTCATCTATTCACCCAACAAACACCACCCCTACCCTGAGGCAGCACATCCTAGGGGCCGGGGATACCAGAGTTCTTGCTCTCATGGAACTGTGAATGGAGAAAGCAATGAAGAGGCTGAGGAGACTGTTCCCGCTGGAGATGGGCGGGGAGGGGCCGGTAGTCACAAGGGCTACTTAAGCCCAGGCACGCAGAGGAGGTGGCTTTTGAGCAGAGAGTGTGGTGACAGAATAAGGGCCTGAGACTTGCAGCCAGCTGGGGACACCCCTGGCTGAAGATACCAGGGCATGGTGTGAGAGTGCCAGGTCCCCGAGGCTGTCTAACTGCACAGCTTCTCCTTCCTGGGACATCACTGCTAGGCCAGAGACTCAGCACACCTCGGGGGAAAGGCTCTTTTGCCCACTCCCTCTTTTTAAAGGCAGAATCAAAGCCCTTTGGAGAACAGGGATTTACCCAAGGTTGCTGTGACCTTAGCTCGGGCAGCCCCCAGCTGCCCACCTTTGCTTCTTTTTAGAAAATGAAGGTTAATGTGCTTTAAATCATAAAACTCATCCAGACTCATTATAGCAAATTCAGAAAGAAGCCCAGCCATATCACTACCACCCTGAAATAGCACTATTACTTCTGAGCACATTTCCTTCCTGTATTTCTTTTTCGAGTAGTTTTGGATGTGTTTCCATAGTTAACATATTGCATATACAATGCTTTCTATTGCTTTTTTCATGTAGCTTTATAGGCATTTTCCCATGTCATTATAACTTTGTTATAAATAACTCCTATCAGCTGCATAACATGATGCCATAATCTATATCACTGCTCCTTGACAGTCTTCTCATATTGAAGATTGTGATGGTGATGATGATGGTGGTGGTGGTGGTGCTGATGATGGCAGTGATGGTAATGGTGATAATGTTGATGCCAATGATGTGGTGATGCTGGTGATCATGGTGGTGATAATGGTGGAGATGGTTACGGCGTGATAGTGATGATGATGGTTGTGATGTTTCATGGTGGTGGTGATGGTGGTGATGCTGCTGCTAGTGGTGATGGTGATGATGAAGGTGATGGTGATGTTGATGATCATGGTGATGATGATGATGGTGATTGTGGTGGTGACGATGATTGTGATGCTGAGGTGATGGTGATGGTGGTGATGCTGATGATGGTGGTGATGATGATGATTGTGATGCTGAGGTGATGATGGTGATAGTGATGGTGATGATGATGAGGATGATTGTGATGCTGACATGATGGTGATGGTGGTGATAGTGATGGTGATGATGATGATGATTGTGATGCTGAGGTGATGGTGATGGTGATGGCGGTGTTAGTGGTGGTGATAGTGGTGGTGATGCTGAGGTGATGGTGATGGTGATGGTGGTGATGCTGATGATTGTGGTGATGATGGTGGTGATGCTGATGGTGGTGATGATGGTAATGATGATGGTGGTGATACTGTTGTGAACTCCCAAAGTTTGAAACAGGTTTCAGTTAATTTAGAAAGTTTATTTTGCCAAGGTTCAGGACACACCCGTGACACAGCCTCAGGAAGTCCTGACAACATGTGCCAAGGTGGTCAGGGCACAGCTTGGTTTTATACATTTTAGGGAGACATGAGACGTCAATGAATATATGTAAGAATTACATTAGTTCCATGCAAAAAGGCAGAGACAACTAAAAGCAACCCCCCCACCCCTTCCCTTCCAGGTCACAGGTAGGTGAGAGACAGATGGTTGCATTCTTTTGAGTTTCTGATAAGTCTTTCCAAAGGAGGCAATCAGAATATGCATGTATCTCTGTGAGCAGAGGGATGACTTTGAATAGAATGAGAGGCAGATTTGTCCTGAGCGGTTCCCAGCTTGAAGGGGCCCAAGATATTTTCCTTTCACACTGGTGATCATGGTGGTGATGGTGGTGATGGTGGTGATGGTGATGGTGGTGGTAATGATGGTGATAATGATGATAATAAAAAATACTAAAGGCCACCCTTACTGAATGCCATTTCTCCACAGTGTACTTGTGCTTTATATGCTCCTTCCATCAACATTTAGACAGGCTCAAATATTTCCTGTTAGAAAAAAACCTTCCTGGTCCATCCCTTTGCCACAGAGCTCTCTCGGGGCCCTCTTCTCTTCTCCCTCCACCTTCTCCCCAGGTTATCTCATCAGCTCCCTGGGGCCAGCCGCCTCTTCAACCCTTACAAGGTCCCAATCACTATCTTTGACTCAGCCTGTCTCCTAGCTTCAAACCTCTGTGTTCAACATCCTGCAGGATGTCTCCATCTGCTCATTCACTGGAGCCTCCATCTCTACATGCTCAAACCCAATTCATCCACTTCTCCCCCAAAAACCCGCATGCCATCCTCCCAGTGGCCCATGCCAGGCATGTGGGTGTTCCTCTTGCCTGTATCAGCAAGCAGCCAATAAGTGACAACCTCGATAGCATCACTCAGCGAGCTCTTACCCACCCCTTGCCAGGTACTGTTGGAGGTGCCTTATGCATGACGGCTCCTTCAACACTCTCAACAGCCCTGTGAGAGGGTCACACAGTGAAACAATTGGGATTTTAACCCATGTAGTCAGGTTTCCAAGATCACACTCAACCACAGCACCATTCTGCCTCTTCCAGAATCGAGGGCTCTGCTCCATGAGGAGCCAGGGCACGTGTCCACGTCATCTCTCCACGGATGCTGCCTATGCCCTGGAGGGCCACCATCACTGCTGGCCTGGCTGCAGCCATGTTGACCTTCCTCCAGGCAGTCTGAGTGACCTTTCCAAACCATAAATCTGACCATATCACTCTCCTGCTTAAAAATTCTTAGGAAAAAGCTCCTTCATGTTACACACAGGACCGGTCAGTGAGCTCTGGTTCCTCTCCAGCACCATCTCTCAGCTCCTGCCACAGAGCTTTTCTCTGTCCAACCACCACGGCAGCCTCTCGTTGCCACCTGG
Source organism: Homo sapiens (assembly GCF_000001405.40). Taxonomy (NCBI): domain Eukaryota; kingdom Metazoa; phylum Chordata; class Mammalia; order Primates; family Hominidae; genus Homo; species Homo sapiens. The sequence goes on from NC_000014.9 coordinate 99,954,055, forward strand.
TCTTTGCTCATGCTCTGTGCCCCCAACCCTCTTCCTCTCATCATTCTGGCCAACCACCATAACTTTCAGAACTCAGCTCAAAAGTCACTTCCAGCAGGGCACAGTGGCTCACACCTGTAATCCCAGCACTCTAGGAGGGCAGGGCCAGTGGATCATCTGAGGTCAGGAGTTCGAGACCAACCTGACCAACATGGTGACACCCCGTCTCTACTAAAAATACAAAAATTAGCCGGGCATGGTGGCAGGCACCTGTAGTCCCAGCTACTCAGGAGGCCGAGGCAGGAGAATCCCTTGAACCCAGGAGGCGGAGGTGGCAGTGCGCCAAGATTGCACCACTGCACTCCAGTGTGGGCGACAGAGCAAGACTCCGTCTCAAAAAAAAATAAAAAGTCACTTATTCCGAGAAGGCTTCCCTGAGTGCCAAGGCTGGTTCTTGTCCCTCCTCTGTGTCCCCACCTCTGTTGTACTTCCCTTCTCATGCTGAATTGTGGGTGTAGGTTTATGTGCCTCCAGCCTTTCTGCCAATCAGCACCCTAAGGTGGAAGCACTCTGCATCTCGGGCACTCTTCTTTCCCATCACCTAGCACAGTGCCTGGTGCCCACATGTTATCAGAAGTGTTTGGTGAATACATGAAGGAGTGGACTGTGAGCCTCTGAACTTGCAGTACCCTTTGCCCTTCACACTTCACCCTGAGCATCTTTTCTTGCTTTGGGTGTTTTGCTATGGCAGAGGAGACTGCAGTGAGCAGCTGTCCACTGAGCTTTTCTTTTAGTTAAATTTATTTCTTTGAGGCAAATGCCCAGAAGTGGAATTACTGAGTTAGCAGGCAAGATCATCTTTATGTCTTCTGATATGTTTTGCAAAAATGAATTCCAAAATTATGGTAGCAATTTGGTAGATTTTTTTCTTTTTTAGCAACCTAATCCTCTCTCCCTTTTTAAGTGTCTTCCTGGCGGAAGCCACACAAAGCTATTTTTACCTAAAGGCTGTAAACCTCATCATTCTCCAAGGAGAAAGTCGGGCATGTGTGAGGAAGCTATCTACCCACCTCACAGGCTCATCAGCCCTATGCTCTTGCCAAGCTCTAGGTCATTTTGGAAAAGCAAGTTGAAATTATATTCCAAATTAGGCAGTGGTTTTGCGAAAGAAGGAACACACACACACACACACACACACACACACACACACACACACACGTCACACACATATTCATCTCCATTTCGGGGCTAAATTATGAACATCTTTATCACTCAAAGAAACCAGAAAGTTATCAAAGCAAAACCAGTGAACTTTGCCAGGTGAATGTTACGAAGTTTGGACGTGGAAGTAGCTCGGAAGTTGGGGGATCACCTGGTTTTCACACTTTGTTTCAACAGTGTGATGGTTAATTTCATGTGTCAACTTGACTAGGCTAAGGGATGCCCAGAGAGCTGGTCAAACCTTCTTTCTGGTGGTGTTTGCGAGTGTCTCCAGAAGAGAATCAGTAGACTAAGGAAGCTTGATCTCACCAATGCGGGGGTAGGGTGGGGGGGCTGGGGGGTCATCATCCAACTTGTTGAGAACCTGAACAGAACAAAAAGGTAGAGGAAGGGCGAACTTTCTCTCTCTGTTTGACATCTACTAGGACATCAATCTTCTCCTGCCCCAGAACGTTGAAGCTCCTGGTTCTCAGGCCTTTGGACCTGGACTGGGATTCCCACCACCAGCTCCCCTTGTTCTTAGGCCTTCAAATGTGAACTGGAACCACACCACCCGCTTTCCTGGGCCACCAGTTTGCAGATGGCTGATCATGGGACATCTCAGCCTCCATAATCGCATAAGCCAATCCCCCATAATAAATCTCTTTCTATTTGTCTATACACTATACATCCTATTGGCTCTGTTTCTCTGAAGAACCCTGACTAATACCAGCAGCAAAACCTTTTTTCAGATGAAATCATACAAGAAAATCCACTCTGTAATAAGGTTAAGAATGGGGCTGCTCTGGCAGAAGCAGTCAGAGGTGGTGGTGACTCAGAAGCACTCTCACCCTATCTTGTTCCTTCCTCCTCCCTAACACCCCCTGCCCTGGCCACCTCCACCTGCCCCACGGGGCTCCAGAGTCTGCCATCTTGGAGCGGCCTCTGGAGGAAACAGAGGCTCAGGGAGAGGAAGGACCTGCCCAAATCCCCACAGTGAAGGGTGGCAGAGCGGGGTCTACCTGCCGGGCTCCTGGCTCAGTCTTGGGATGGTTCTCAACTATTGTCTTGACAGGAGCCTGCTCAGTTATTCACAGTTACAATGCACATCTTTTCAAGGACGGCCCGAGGTGGCTGGTTTCCCCCAGTGGTTAACCACCCAGGTGCCCCCAGGTATAGTTTGGTTTTAAAATTCTTCCAATTTAAGTTCCCCTATTACCAACATTTCTACTTACTTGATTTTTAAGAAAATCACCCATTGCATGTAGAACAGGTGGACATTTATTGAAATGCAACTGCAATAACATCCCCTGGAAATTAACTTCCTCTCATTTGCCCCTGTGAGTCTGTCTCATTTCTCATTCCTTCTGTTCTGTGCTTTTTTTTCTCTTTTATTTCTTGCACATTGTGAGTTTTCAATTTTTTTTTGAAGAAGCATATTTTAATTTTATTTTTCAGTATTTCAGTTATCTAATTCACTATTTTCAGCTTTTATCTTTATTCATTTCCTCCTCATAATTTCTTTTTATTTATTTTGCTGGGTTTTTTTGTTCTGTTTTGTGTGTTTGTTTGTTTTTTGAGATACAGTGTCATTCTGTCTCCCAGGCTGGAGTGCAGAGGCAGGATCTCGGCTCACTGCAACCTCCGCCTCCCATGCTCCAGCAGTTCTCCTGCCTCAGCCTCCCGAATAGCTGGGATTACAGGCACCCACCACCACACCCGGCTAATTTTTGTATTTTTAGTAGAGACGGGGTGTCACCATGTTAGCCAGGCTGGTTTTGAACTCTTGACCTCAAATGATCCGCCCACCTCAGCCTCCCAAAGTGCTGGGATTACAGGCATGAGCCACTGCGCCCGGCCTATTTTGTTGTGTTTTAAGTTGAATATTTAATTCACTTATATATGTATTGCTTGTTTTGCTTTTTTATTTTTATTTTATTTTGAGACGGAGTCTTGCTCTGTCACCCAGGCTGGAGTACAGTGGCACTATCTCAGCTCACTGCAACCTCCACCTCCTGAGTTCAAGCGATTCTCCTGCCTCAGCCTCCCAAGTAGTTGGTATTACAGGCGCCTGCCACCACGCCTGGCTAATTTTTGTATTTTTAGTAGAGATAGGGTTTCACCATGTTGGCCAGGCTGGTCTCGAACTCCTGACCTCAGGTGATCCGCCCTCCTCTGCCTCCCAAAGTGCTAAGATTCCAGATGTGAGCCACCACGTCCAGCCTTGGTTTTTTTTTTGTTTTTTTTTTTTTTTGAGACAGGGTTTCACTCCCATCACCTAGGCTGGAGTGCAATGGCGCAATCTCAGCTCACTACAACCTCCGCCTCCTGGGCTCTAGCGATTCGCCTGCCTCAGCCTCCTCAGTAGCTGGGATTACAAGCATGTGCCACCACGCCCAGCTAATTTTTGTATTTTTAGTAGAGATGGGGTTTCGCCATCTTGGCCAGGCTGGTCTTGAATTCCTGACGTCAAATGATCCACCTGCCTCAGCCTCCCTAAGCACTGAGATTACAGGCGTGAGCCAGCACGCCTGGTCCATTTATATACATTCTTTGTTGTATAATAATAAAAGCATTTAAGGTATCACTGTATCCCATAAGTGTTGCTCTGAAGTTTTCTCCTTTTCATTAATTTCTTTTTAATTTGTAGTTTTAACATTGATTTCTTTCTTTTTTTTTTTTTTATTTAAATTGAGACCAGGTCTCATTCTGTCATCCAGGCTGGAGTGCAGTGGCGTGATCACAGCTCACTGCAGCCTTGACCTCCCAAGGCTCAGGGAATCCTCCCACCTCAGCCTCCCGAGTAGCTGAGACTACAGGTGCGCACCACCACGCCCAGTTAATTTTTGTATTTCTTGTAGAGACAGGGTTTTGCCATGTTGCCCAGGCTGGTCTCAAACTCCTGGGCTCAAGTGATCATCCTGCCTCAGCCTCCCAAAGTGCTGGGATTATAGGCGTAAGCCACCACGCCTGGCCGATTTCTTCTTTAAGCTAAAACTTACCTATAATAGAAGAGTATTTTATACTTCTAATGTTTTATTATGTTTTTATGGTTATCTGGGGTTTTTTTTTTTTTGCACTCCAGTGAAATTTCTGAACTCTAAGGATAACATTCTGTATATAAGTAATCTGTTTGTTCTGCCAGAAGCTGATATCAGATTACTTATGTACAGAATGTTCCCCTTACATCCACCCCAATATGCCCAAACCTAATGCCTGTGAATATGTAGGTTACATGGCAAAGGGGAATTAAGGTTTCAGGTAGAATGAAGGTTGCTAATCGGATGACCTTAAAATAGGGTGATTATCATGGATCATTACACTGGCAGCCACTGGGGCCAATGTCATCACAAGGGTCCCTAACAGTGGAAGACAGAGGCACAGGAGGTCAGAGGGAGACACGACTGCCGACAAAAGGTCAGCGATGCCATGTGAGAGAGACTTAACCCCCGCGGCTGGCTTTGAAGAGGGCCCCATTCTAAGGGGCCACGAGCCCAAGAATATGGGCAGCCTCTGAGAGAAGGTGGAAGAGGCAAATAAACTCACCCAGAGCCTCCAGAAGAATGCAGCCCTACTGGCACCTTGGCTTTAGCCCAGAGAGACTTTTGAGCTCTGGAACCGTAAGATAATAAAAATGTGTGTTGTTTGAAGCCACTCTGCTGTTGGTAACTTATGTTAGCAATAGGAAACTGATATGATATGTGAAAAAGGGACTCCAACTGGTTACCAGGTTTCTTTCTTTCTCTTTCTTCCTTTCTTTCTTGACAGAGTCTCGCTCTGTCGCCCAGGCTGGAGTGCAGTGGCGCAATCTCGGCTCACTGCAAACTCCACCTCCCGGGTTCACGCCATTCTCCTGCCTCAGCCTCCCGAGTAGCTGGGACTACAGCCACCCACCACCATGCCTGGCTAATTTTTTGTATTTTTAGTAGAGACGGGGTTTCACCGTGTTAGTCAGGATGGTCTCGATCTCCTGACATTGTGATCCGCCCTCCTCGGCCTCCCAAAGTGCTGGGATTACAGGCGTGAGCCACCACGCCTGCCCTTCCTTCCTTCCTTCCTTCCTTCCTTCCTTCCTTCCTTCCTTTCTTTCTTCCTTTCTTTCTTTTTTTCTTTCTTTCTCTCTTTCTTTCTCTTTCTTTCTTTCCTTCTTTCTTCTTTCTTTCTTTTCTTTTTTTTTTAAGACAGGGTTTCGCTCTGTTGCCCAAGCTGGAGTGCAGTGGCTCAATCTTGGCTCACTGCAGCTTCGACCTCCTGGACTCAAGCAATCCTCCTACCTTAGCCTCCCAAGTAGCTGGGACTACAGGCACCTGCCATCATGCCCAGCTGATTTTTGTATTTTTTTGTAGAGACAGCATCTAGCCATGTTGCCCAGGCTGCTCTCAAACTCCTGGGCTCAAGTGATTCCCCTGCCTCAGCCTCCAAAAGTGTTGGGATGATAGGCATGAGCCACTGTGCCCAGCCGACTACCAGATTTCTTATCTGCATTTGAAACTAGAAGTTTCTAGACCTGAGAAAAGGGGACTGCTAGCCTAAAATCTCCTGGCTAAGATATCATTCACGTGGGAGGGCAAAATGAGGGCATTTCTACCAGAAGTGGTTCAGGTGTGTGTCTTTCTAAACTAATCCTCTCTGATACCTCCTGAGCTGTTTTTTTTTTTAAAATAGCTTTATTGAGATATAATTTACAGGCCATAAAATTCCCCCACTTAAGGTGTGCCATTCAATGCTTTTAGTACCTTCACAGAGTTGTGCAGCCATCACCACTATCTAATTTTAGAACATTTTCCCCACCCACACCCCCTTGGCAGTGTATTCATTTGCTCGGGCTGCCATAACAAAATGCCGCAGACTGTGGTTAAACACCAGAAATCGATTTGCTCACAGTTCTGGAGGCTAGATGTCCAAGATCAAGGTGTCAGCAGGGTTGATCTCTTTTTCTGAGACAGGATCTCACTCTGTCACCCAGGCTGGAGTGCAGTGGTGCAATCTTGGCTCGGTTCACTGCCACCTCTGCCTCCTGGGCTCAATCAGTCCTCCCATCTAAGCCTCCCTGGTAGCTGGGACCATAGGCGTGTGCTACCACACTCAGCTAATGTTTGTATTTTTTGTGGAGATGCAGTTTTGCCATGTTCCAGGCTGGTCTCGAACTCCTGAGCTCAAACGATCCACCCACTTCAGGTTCCCAAAGTGCTGCGATTACAGGCGTGAGCCACTGTGCCCAGACAGTTGGCTTCTTCTGAAGCCTCTCTCCCCACCTTTCAGATGGCTGTCTCCTGGCACCCTTACGGGGTCCTTTCCTCTGTCTTGCTGTTTCTCTGTGTGTCTGAATCTTCTCTTCTTGTAAGGACAACCATCAGATTTGGATTACGGCACCCTAATCGGCCTCATTTTAACTTAAGTATCTCTTTTTTAAAACTCCTCCTGAATCTCCCTAGAAATATATTTTGAGGTACTATGGGGTACCTCAAAGGAGCTTCAACGTATGAATTTGGGGGAAGAAAATTCAGTCCATAAGAGGCAATTATTCCCCATTCCCCCGCTAGCTCCCAACCCAGACCCAAGCAACCGCAAATCACTTTCCATCTCAATGGATTTGATTTGCCTATTCTTGACATTTTATATAAATGGATGAGACAATATATGGTCTTTTGTGACCGTCTTCTTTCACTTAACAATGTTTTCAAGGTTCATTAATATTGCAGCCTGTATCGGTACTTTCTTCCTTTTTACTGCCAAATAATATTCCATCGTATGAATATACCAGTTTTGTTTATCCATTCATCTGTTGAGGGACATCTGATTTGTTTCCACTTTTTGACTACTATTAAAAATGCTTCTATGAATATTTGTGTACAAGCTTTTGTGTGGACTTGCTAGGTCATACTGTAACTTTATGTTGAAACTTTTTTTTTTTGAGACGGAGTCTCGCTCTGTCGCCCAGGCTGGAGTGCAGTGGCGCAACCTCGGCTCACTGCAAGCTCCACTTCCCAGGTCCACGCCATTCTCCTGCTTCAGCCTCCCAAGTAGCTAGGACTACAGGCACCCGCCACCACATCCAGATAATTTTTTGTATTTTTAGTAGAGACGGGGTTTCACCGTGTTAGCCAGGATGGTCTCGATCTCCTGACCTCGTGATCCACCCGCCTTGGCCTCCCAAAGTGCTGGGATTACAGGCTTGAGCCACCACGCCCGGCCCCTATGTTGAACCTTTTGAAGAACTGCCAATCTGTTTTTCTATGTGGCTGAACCACTTTACAATTTTACCAGAATGTATGAGGGGTTCCAATTTCTCTATAACCTCACTTGTTATTTTCTTTAAAAAAAAAAAAATTATAGCCATCCTAGTGGGTGTGAAGTTGTATCCCAATGTAGTTTTGATTTGTACTTTCCTAATATCTGATGATGTTCAGCTTCTTTTTAGGTACTTGTTGGCCATTCATATTATATCTTCTAAGGAGAAATGTCTATTTAGACCCTTTGCTGACTTTTTTTTTTTTTTTTTTTTTTGAGACAGAGTCTCGTTCTGTCACCCAGGCTGGAGTGCAGTGGTGCAATATCAGCTCACTGCAACCTCCACCTCCCAGGTTCAAGTGATTCTCCCACCTCAGCTTCCCGAGCAGCTGGGACTACAAGCTCGCACCACCACGCCTGGTTAATTTTTGTATTTTTAGTAGAGACGGAGTTTCACCATGTTGGCCGGGCTGGTCTTGAACTCCTGACCTCAAGTGATCCGCCGGCCTCGGCCTCCCAAAGTGCTGGGAGTACAGTTGTGAGCCACCGCGCCTGGCCTTTGCTGACTTTTTAATTGGGCTCTTTGTCTTTTATTTTTGAGTTCTAAGAGTGCATTATATATTCCGGATACAAACCTCTTTGCTATACTTTGAATGTTTGTTTCCCCAAACTTCATGTTGAAATTTGACTCCTAGCGTTGGAGGTGGGCTCGGTGGGAGGTATTTGGGTCGTGGGTTGGGAATCCCCATGAATACGTTAATGCCCTCCCTAGGGGAGGAGGACTGAGTTGGTTCCTGCTCCATCAGTTCCAGAGAGAGCCCGTTGTCAAAAGGAGCCTGGCCCCTCCCCCTCTCTCTTGCTCCCTCTCTCGCCCTGTGATCTTTGCACCTGTGGGCTCCTTTCACCTTCCACCATGAATGCAAGCAGCCTGAGGCTCTCACCAGGTCCCCAGTCTTCCAGCCAGCAGAGTCGTGAGCCACATTTATCCAGCCTCAGGTATTCCTTTATAGCAACAGTAAACAGACAAAACCAGATCTTATCAGATATATGATATTTGCAAATATTTTCTCTCATTCTGTGGGTTGTCTTTTCACTTTCTAGATGGTATCATTTGCAGCAAAAGTGTTTAATACTAATGTGGTCCAATTTATTTATTTTTTCTTTGGTCACTTCTGCTTTTGGTGTCATATCTAAAAAGCCTCCGCCAAACTCAAGGTTATGAAGATTGCATGTATGTTTTCTTCTAAGAGTTTTATAGTTTTAGCTCTTATATGAAGGTCTGTGATCCATTTTGAGATAAAGTTTATGAATGATGTAAATAAGGTTTCAACTTTAGTCTTTTGCATGTGGGTATCTAGTTGTTTCAACACCATTTATTAAAGCCTGTTCTTTAACTTGGCGCCCCTGTTGATAATCAATTGACTGTAAAGTTAAGGGTTTATTTCTCAACTCTCTATCCTATTTTTTTTTCTTTGAGATGGAGTCTTGCTCTGTGGCCCAGGCTAGAGTGCAGTGGCGTGATCTTGACTCACTGCAACCTCCGCCTCCTGGGTTCAAGCGATTCTCCCGCCCTCAGTCTCCCGAATAGCTGGGACTACAGGCGCATGCCACCACACCCGGCTAATTTTTTGTATTTTTGGTAGAGATGGGGTTTCACCATGTTGGCCAGGCTGGTCTCGAACTCCTGACCTCAGGTGATCCACCTGCCTCAGCCTCCCAAAGTGCTGGGATTACAGGTGTGAGCCACCACTCCCTGCCTGGACTGTCTATTTTATTCCATCAATGTATATACCTGTACTTATTCTTTTTCAAGACTCTTCTGGCTATTCTATGGTCCCTTGCATTTCCAGATGAATTTTAGGATCAGCTTTCTAATTTCTGCACAAAATAAAAGTGGAAGCAGCTGGGATTTTGACAGGAATTGCATCGAATCTGTAGGTCAATTTGGGCTCTCTTGCCATTTTAATAATATTAGCTCTTTCAACCCATAAATGGATATCTTTCCGTTTATAGGTTTTCTTTAATTTCTTTCGGAGTCGTTTCATAGTTTTCAGTGTACAAGTCTTACACTTTTTTTGTTAAATTCATTCATAAGTATTTTATTGTTTTGATGTCATGTAAATAGAATTGTTTTCTTAACTTCATTTTCAGATTCTTCATAGCAAGTCTATCGAAATACAATTGATGTTTATATGTTTATCTTATATGCTTGGACCTTGCAGAACTTGTTTATTAGTTCTGATAGTTTTTGAGTGGGTTCCTTAGGAATTTCTATAGGTAAGATAATGTCATCTGAAAATAAAAATGGTTTTACCTGTTTTTGTCACTAAAGTTCTCTTGGAACACAGTGACATCCACTCACATATGGTCTATGGCTGTCTTCAAGTCAAAGGCCAAGGGAAGTAGTTGTGTTCCCGGAAGCAAGTCAGGTCCAGCTGCCTCTTCTTGAGTCCCAATAATGAGAAGCAGACAAACTAGCGAAGAAGGGAATTGGCCAGGTGCGGTGGCTCATGCCTGTAATCCCAGCACTTTGGGAGGCCGAGGCGGGCGGATCACCAGGTCAGGAGATCGAGACCATCCTGGCTAACATGGTGAAACCACGTCTCTACTAAAAATACAAAAAAAAAAAAAAAAAAAAAAAAAAAAATTAGCCTAGCGTGGTGGCGGGTGCCTGTAGTCCCAGCTACTTGGGAGGCTGAGGCAGGAGAATGGCGTGAACTCTGGAGGCGGAGTTGCAGCGAGCAGAGATTGCACCACTGCACTCCAGCCTGGGCGACAGAGTGAGACTCCGTCCCAAAAAAAAAAAAAAAAAGGGAATTTATTGCTGTAACCGGATACAGGCAGAAGGCCAGAGATAATTCCACCAGACCAACTCAAAGTGTTAGAATTGCTTATACAGGTTGGAGTTATGTGCCTACGTGCAGCACAACATTCGCCTAAGTCTATTGGTAACTAATTTTGTTTCAACTAGAAGGTCAGAGGCAAAAAAAAGCTTGTGGGAGACAGGCCCTTGGGGGTGGAGGTCTTTGATTTCATAAGAACCTGAGAAAGATTTTTCTAAGATATGTGTAACACACCAACTTACTGTGACCTGGGAAAGGCTGCTGAGGATGTCTTCAACAAAGGATATGGCTTTGGCATGGGGAAGATAGACCTGAAAACCAAGTCCTGTAGTGCAGTGGAATTTTCTACTTCTGGTCATGCTTACACTGATACAGGGAAAGCATCAGGCAACCTAGAACCCGAATGTAAGGTCTGTAACTATGGACTTACCTTCACTCAAAAACGGAACACAGACAATACTCTTGGGACAGAAATCTCTTTGGAGAATAAGTTGGCTAAAGGGTTGAAACTGAGTCTTGATACCATATTGGTACCAAACACAGGAAAGAAGAGTGGGGAATTGAAGGCCTCCTATAAATGGGATTGTTTTAGTGTTGGCAGTAATGTTGATCTAGATTTTTCCGGACCAACCATCTATGGCTGGGCTGTGTTGGTCTTTGAAGGGTGGCTTGCCGGCTATCAGATGAGTTTTGACACAGCCAAATCCAAATTGTCACAGAATAATTTCGCCCTGGGTTACGAGGCTGCAGACTTCCAGCTGCACACACATGTGACCGATGGCACTGAATTTGGAGGTTCTATCTACCAGAAGGTTAATGGGATTGAAATGTCAATAAACCTTGCTTGGACGGCTGGAGTAACAACACCCATTTTGGCATTGCTACTAAGTACAAGCTGGATTGTAGAACTTCTCTCTCTGCTAAAGTAAATAATGCCAGCCTGATTGGACTGGGTTATACTCAGACCCTTCGACCCGGAGTCAAATTGACCCTTTATCAGCTTTAATCGATGGAAACAACTTCAGTGCAGGAGGTCACAAGGTTGGCTTGGCGTTTGAACTGCAAGCTTAATGTGGTTTGAGGAAAGCATCAGATTTGTCCCTGGAAGTGAAGAGAAATGAACCCACCATGTTTTGGCCCTACAATCCTTCTGTGAAATTTCAAAAGTGTGAACTTTTTACTCTTCCAAAAAATTGTAATCCTCCCCACACTGAAGTCTAGGGGTTGTGAGTCCCTCCTGAGGGGAGGCGCTGGAAAGCATGCCTGGAAGCTGTCCTGTTTGTGCCACGTTTCGGTTCAGTTCTGCAGTGTTATTAAATGTGTTCCTCGGCGACAGTGTGGTGTCATGTTAGAGGAGACGATCTGAACCTCCAGTTTGTACCTCGTGTCCTGCATGTTCACACCATTTTTTTCATGACTCTGTAATATATTGGTCTCTGTGCTATTGTGGAATCTTTGATTTTGCATCAGAGTAAAATAAAATAAACCCATCACATTTGGAACATAAAAAAAAAAAAACAAGCTAAGTCTGATTAAGCTGTGTGGGCCCCAGTACCTTCAAGGCCTGTCTCCTGTGGTACCAGAGTGATTATTTCTATCTTATCTCCTTTACAGCTTGGTCTGGAGTGCTGCCTTAGACTCTCTGATGAATCTATTCAAACAGCTGCCTCTGTTACCTTGACTCGTCTCAGATTTTGTCGACCCGAGGCAGGTCCTGGCACTAGGAATGTTAGATTCTATTATTTTGACTTGCTCCAGGTTAGGGAGAAGCCCATGCAAGGCTTCTACTGACCGTATGCTTTATTTGTAGCTTTGATGTCTGGGCACCGATTGCCCTAGGTTTAACTATTTGCTCAGTGTTAAGGCAGCGCTGTGGAAATCTGTGTAACTGGGGTGCTGTGCAGGCCTGTCTGTCGACTGTCATACAGGCCCGTCTGTGTGATTGTCAGGGAGAATTGGCCTGCCACAGTTGTGACAGACCACATGGCTTTGAAAAAGCCAAAACTATTTACCAGCTGGTCCTTTGCAGAAAGTGTACTGACCCTTGTTCTGCAGGAGTGTCTTTTGTTTTTCACTGCCTCTAATTAATTTCTTAATTTTGAAATAATGTATTTTCTATTCTCAAGATTTTTTTGTTTGTTTTCCAATTGCTCTTAGGCAAGATCTTCTTGACTCTCCTCATCACTTCTCTACGATTCCCTCCTTTAGACATGCCACATTCTGACTGCGCAGCCTGGCGGGAAGACCGTGCCTCCCTGGGTGGGGAGGCTGCAGCCTTTAAACTTCCCAACACCCCGACCCCTGACACGTCTGCTCGCATTCGGATGCCCGGGCCTCCCGGCCTCCTTGCGAATGAAGTGCCGGCGGCTCCCACAAAGGCCTGGCTGCCACAGTCCCCACGGTAATTGCGAGACAGCAGGCAGGAGAAGTGAGCGGGAAGTTTCTTCCCCAAAGCTGATGGTGAACGGGCCCCCAAGCTGGGACCCGATGACTAGCTGGGAGTGAGGAGAGATTTTGGCTTTCCTAGGTGTGAGCTGGATGGGGCTTCCCTTCCCAGTGGCCTCAGGGCTCCTGGGAAGGGGCACGGGCTCCAGGGGGACCCTTAGGCCTCTCTAGGATGGCTGGCTGGTTGTCCCAGGCATGTACTTGGCTTAGTTTTCTTCTTCAATTAAGTGGAGACATTAAGTTCCCATAAAGTGGGAACACTCAGACTTGGCTGCAGAACAGCAGGCCTGCTCCCGCCCAGCCCTGTGACACAGCCAGGTGGGAGCAGGTCCCTGGAGAAACTCCAGCCAGCCTGCCCACTGAGGGGGAGCCTCGGGAAGTTCACAAGGTTTGCAGCAGGGAGGAGCCTGGCCCCTCCCCTTCCTGCGTGGAACCCGGGATTCCGACTGCCAGGCCGGGCGGGAAGCGCTCTAGCGGAGGGACTCTGGCCTTGCGAGAGGAAAACCAGAAAATTCTGTCATGGGGCTCTGGAACCCCCATGCTCACCCGCTCCCGCCCTGGGGAGTATACTTCTGCTGTCAATAAATCTCTGCTTTTATTGCTTCATTCTTTCCTTGCTTTGTTTGTGTGTTTTGTCCAGTTCTTTGTTCAAGATGCGAAGAACCTGGACACCCTCCACCGGTAACACTAGGTCCTCCTTTCTCCTTGCAAACAGTGGCACTAAGAAGTTGCCCTCCACAAGACAGGTAGCAAAGATTTTCCCCCAGCCCCGTCTGGCCACGCTTCTTATTGATGGGTCCAGATCTCTAAGTCACCCCAGCAGAAGGCTGGAGTGCTCCCCGGTATGACTATAGGGCCCTCATCCCAGAGTCACCCCTCCTGCCTTCAAAGCCAGTAAAACATGATCTTAGGGAAATCACTTTTGAGTGGGGGAGCCCGAGAGAGGTGAAATTAAAATAAGCTCCAGGCCGGGCACGGTGGCGCACACCTGTAATCGCAGCACTGTGGGAGGCCAAGGTGGGTGGATCACCTGAGGTCAGGAGTTCAAGACCAGCCTGGCCAACATGGCGAACCCCCATCTCTGCTAAAAATAAAAAAATTAAGCTGAGTGGGCATGGTGGCGGGAGGCTGAGGCACCAGAATTGCTAGAACCAAAAAAAAAAAAGCTCCAGCTTTGACCCACAGGCCATCTTCAAGGTGTGGAAGCCAAAATGGACCAGAAGTAATTTCTATTTCCTGCCAGATAGAACACAAGCAGGAGCCGTAGTTGCCAAAAATGCCCGCGCACACAGGCTAGTGGTCTCTGACCCTCCCAGGGCACTGCTTGGGTTGGAATGGCGGCGCTCACGCAGGATTCCTTCAATTCTGCACTGTCACAAGCCCACAGGGCTGGAGAGGCTGGCAGCACAAAGAGGAATGAGACTCGCTTGCTGGTCTCATGAAGTTCACAGCCTAGTTGGGGAGCCTGCAAGTAAGAAGACAATCCCGATGCAGGAGGGCAGGCGTGTGACCCCGAAACAGTGTAGAGAAGGAGCCTGCAGCCTGTGGTGGGGGAGGGTGGTGCTGAGCGGTCCAGGAGAGACCTGACACATAGCAGGATTGAAGATGATTTGCCAGGCAGGCTGAGGCAGTGAGCAGGGCAGGAGAGGAGGCAGACACGTGCCGAGGAGCGCAAGGCACATTAAACGAATGGATGAATGAAGGAAAACTAGCCATGCTGTGTTTAAGGAAAACAACTGCTGGTAATAACTGAGTTGGGCAATGAAATTAATGGTGTGAATGAAAAAGGGGTACAGGGTCACAGGTGGTCCCCCAAACCCCTGAGACATCTGTGGTTGTCTAAGCGTGCTTTACTTTGGATTCTGGCATGCATTTGTAACTCACTTATGCTGGTTAATGTGAACCAGACATGGTCTCATTGGTGAATCATCGAAAGCAACTGTGTTTCTTTCCATTATTTGTGGTGAGTTTCGTTTTGGCAAACACTAAGCAATGGAGAAGATGGTCCATGGAGCTGGCTCCTCAGCAGTGACCCCAGGGCTGGAAAAACTTCAAGAACTGGGCAGGCAGTCCAAGGCCTTGGAGTCTGCAGAAATACATGCTCATTTGGCTCTTATTCCAGTCACCTGTGTGACCTCCTGGGGCCTCAGTTTCATCACCCTCTGGACAAGTAGGTTGGATGAGATGCCCTTTGAAGACTTGCTAGCTCTGTTATCTGTGACTCTGTGACTATCCTGAACCCAACAAACAGCCAAAATCATCTTTCCTGCCTCCCTTACAAATGGAAATTCCAGCCCAGGAGCGCTTGGAGGCATGGGTCGTCAGCCTGGCTGAGTGTCCTGCACCCACACACATCAGATGTCATGAAATCACTGACTCTGGCAAGGAAACTTTCCAAATCCTAGGACTGGTGACCTCCAGAAATAAGTCATTCGGGGGAGCCACATGTCCAAATGTTAATTTTCTTTTTATCAGAAGAATGGAAAACATGAATTCATGTACTTTTAAGGAATAAAGCCTTTGTTCAGAAAATGCAAAACGTGCCAAATAGACTGTGGTTTCAAATTATGTTTCGTTAAGGAAGAGGGGAGGGGAGGCGAGGGGGAGGGTACTGAAGAAGGGCAGAAAAGGCCTTTCTCGGGATCTACTTTGTGTGGACATCGGCATCTCATCTGAGCCTCAGCAGCACCTGCCAGATGGGCTTTAGGATTCCCACCTGCCAGAGGAGGAATGGAGGTCAGAGAGGTGTGAGCTGGAGGATTAACACAAGGAGCCTCTGACTCCCCAAGCATCCCAGGGTCTGTCAGACAAAGACCAATGCCCACTCAGGTGGAAGCAGGGCACAGGATAGGATGTGAGTGGTCCCAATCTGTCGTCTCTCAGCTCCTCCTGCAGCTCATGAAGCCCTCTGATGAACAAACATCAGCTGCAAGAAACAACCTCTCCAGGAGCAAGACGGTAACAACTTGTCAGACTTCAGGGCAGCAGGGAAAATACCTGATCTGGAGATCAGAGTGGGCCACATGCTGAAAGAGCATCAATAAACCAGGCTGCAAACAAGCAGGCCTGTATCCCAAGGTCTCAGCACAGGACTTTGATAGGCAGTGACCAGGGGTTAACCTTGCCTTTCCATAGCACAGCTGGAATGTCCCCAGGTGACCTGAGGCTTGTGCATTTTAGTAAATTTTAGGATGCAACAAGACTCTCCTGTAGCAAAGAGACCACTCTTGAACTTGTGAAGAGAGGGACAAATGAGGTTATGAGAGGGTACCACCCTCAGGGGCTGCTACCAGGGCTGTAGGAGATCATGGTACCCTTTCAGGTTTGACAACTCTGGGCTTAAACAAATACAGGAAGGAAAGTGGAGGTGCTACAACCAATCGCTAGGGAACTCTAAATACCTGTACACGGTGAGGGAGGTACAAGGAGACAGGGAGAGAGAGAAGCACATAGAGACCCAAACTGCAGCCCATGACACTGATGTTCAACCCCAGCAAACTAGAACGCATGGGCACTGGGATTCCGAGTCAGAAAAACGCTGCTTGAGACTTGGCTCCACCATTTACTATATCTTGGACAAAACTGCTTAACACACACAGCCTCTCCTCAATCCTGGACAGGAGGAAAATAGCGACCCTTCATTGCCCTCCTAACTGCCAGACGCTGACAAACGCCTTAAATGCTCTTGTTCAGACCGTTTTTCAAAAGGTAGCTATTAACGTTCTGTGACACGGGGAAGGGAGGCAATAGTGCCCATACTGGTAATGCATGAGGAACTTTGTCTTCTTTTTTTTTTTTTTTTGAGACAGAGTCTCACTCTGTCTCCCAGGCTGGAATGCAAGATCTCGGCTCGCTGCAACCCCTGCCTCCTGGGTTCAAGCGATTCTCCTTCTGCAGCCTCCCAAGTAGCTGGGATTAAAAGTGCGTGCCACCACGCCGGGCTAACTTTTTGTATTTAGTAAAGACAGGGTTTCACCATGTTGGTCAGGCTGGTCTCGAACTTCTGACCTCAGGTGATCCACCCGCCTCAGCCTCCCAAAGTGCTGGGATTACAGGCGTGAGGCACTACGCCGGGCCGGAACTGTGTCTTCTTACACACGGGGAGTGAGACCCTGGAGGATCTGGGGTTTCCAGCCACCAGTGAGATTCACTAACCTTTAGGAAAGATGGGGATTTAAAAACCAGAGACAACCTGGACGAACTACTTGACGCTGTGTACGGTAAATGTGATTTTTCACAGGCTGTGGTTCTGGGGACCCGTGTGGGCTCTTGTTGAGCTGGGGGAGATACTTCGAATACTGATATCGCCCCAAAGCTGCAACTCTCCGGCCCCGCCACGGCTCCTTATGTACAAAGAGAGGGAATCAGTCGCCGGTGACCTCGACGGCCCTCGGATCAGGGATGCCCCGAGTCCGAGCGGGCAGGGTGCTCAGCAGGGCCAGGTGATGGGAATCATGGGGCCATCGAGCACGGACCCTGGCTCCCCCGGTGGCCTCTGTGAGCTCTGGGGTCAGGCGGGGACTGGAGGAGCGTCCGCGCCGGGAGGGAGCGCACCGCGCCACGTGCCCGCCCGGCGCCCCGCCCCCACCCCGGCCACGCCCCTCGCGCTTCCCTCAAAGCCCCGCCCCTCAGCCCCGCCACTCTCGTCCGCCCCGCCCCTCGCAGCCTCAAGCTCAGCGCTCCCGGAGGCGCGGACGGTGGGGCCCCGCGCCTTTTGTGTCGGGCTTTGACCGCCGCGCGCGCTCATTCACCTCAGCGGCCGCGGGCGGAGGGGCGCACGCGCGCGCAGTCCCCTCGGAGGGCGGTGGGGCGAACAGCAACGCGCGTACCCTAGCTCTTGGCTGCTGTGCTGAGACTAGCCCGCGCGCCCGCGCGCCTCTCCCTCGAGGACTCGGAGCCGCCCGCGCACTCGCCAGGGGCCGCCGCCCCGAGTCTCAGGCGGACGCGCACGCGTTCCCGCCGCCCGGACCCCAGCCGGCTCGCCCCCCGCCCCCCCATCCCCCGGCGGCGGCCCCCAGGCACGCGCCCGCGCACACGCCGGCCCGGGCACGCGCCCGCCAAGATGGCAGGGGCCGGGGCCCAGCTGTCAGTCGCCGCCGCCGCGGCCCTTCCCCGCAGCTAGCGGCCCCGACGCCCACCCGGAGAAGATGAGCCCCCGCTGCCCCCCGCAGCCCAGTCAGACGCGGAGCCGCCGCGCCCGGGGCCGGCTCCCCCGCTAGCGCCCGCGTCCCGCGCCCCGCCGCCGCCGCCGCCGCCGCCGGGTCGCCCCTGGCCCGGCGCGCCCGTCCCCGGCAGCGACAATGAGGTGAGTCGGGGCCGGCGCCTCGTGGGAGGTGGCAGCGGCCAGCGTCGGAGGGGCTGGGCTGGGGGCCCGCGGTGCCCCCGAGGGCGGGAGGGGGGCTCCACGGGCGCGGGGGCTTCCAGAGAACCGCGGGGGCTCTGCAGAGATTCGGGGGCATTCAGAGCGCGGGAATGGCTTCGCGAGAGCCGTGGGGGCGTCTGGAGAGCCGGGAGGGTCTGCAGGGCTTGTGGGGGGCAGTGTTCTGCAAGGGGCAGGCGGCGCTGGCTTTGGCTGCTTGTGGGGTCCTCTTAGGCTCCGGGGGGCCTGCGGCGGCCTGGGAGGCAGACCCCCGCGGGCAGGTGTGGCCGTGTCCCGACCGCGCGAGGACCGAAGTTGGCGGAAGCCCCTGTGCGGTGCCTTCCAGCCCGGAGGAGGCTGGCCTGAAGCCCCCAGGCGTTGCCGAAGCCTCCCCCTGCCAGCGCCCAGAGCCGCGTTTGGGCTTTTACAGGTGTAGTTTCCCCTCGACTTGGAGCCCGTCAACCCCTTCGTCTCCTAATTCTCAACCCCCCTTTTTTTTCTTCTTGCACGCCAGTAAAGTGCAAGGCCCCCAAATGTACCGCTCGTTGATGTATCACCCAGCTCGGGAGCCTGCTGATTATCAGGCCAAGAAATAAAACCTTGCTTCTGCCAGAAGCCCGGTGCCCTCTCCCAGTCGCTAAACCCTCCCTTCCTCTCCAGATCCTGTCGTGACTTTTTTGGGGTAATCACTTTTTTTTTTTCCATTTGTAATTTTGCTTTCTGAACACGTATCTCGTAAAAACTGTAGTTTGTAACTATAGTTTCGTTTTGCCTGTTTTGTATTATTTATGACAATGAAATAATACAGTATTCTTTTGTGTCTGGTGTTTTTCAAGATGTTTTCGAGATCCATTCCGTTGTAATCGTTATTTGTTCATTTTTATTGGTCTATAGTATTCTGTTGTAAGAATATACCACAGTGTACGCATTCTACTGTTACTAGACATTTTAGTTGTTTCTAGCTTTGTTGGCTATTAATAATGCTGTTATGGATATTGTTGTGTATCTCCTGGTGCATTCATTTCGATTGGGTAGATATCTAGTAGAATTTTTAGGTCAAAAGATAAGCATATCTTTAGCATTAGCGGTAAACACCAAGTTGCCAAAGTGGTTCTACGAGCTGACATTCTTACCAAAAAATGTGTGAGAGTTCTTGTTGCTTCACCTCCTTCTCAACACTTGGTATTGTCAGTCTTAAATTTTAACCATTCTGGTGATTATGAAATGATATCCCATTGTGGTTTTAATCTGCAGTTTCCTGTTGACTGATGAGGCTGAACATCTTTTTATTTTTATTTGGTATAGTTTTCTGGAGTGCCTGTTCAGATATCTTGCCCACATTTCTCTTGGGTTTTTGTTTGTTTGTTTTGAGACGGAGTCTCGCTCTGTTGCCCAGGCTGGAGTGCAGTGGTGCGATCTCGGCTCACTGCAACCTCTGCCTCCTGGGTTCAAGCGATTCTGCTGTCTCAGCTTCCCGAGTAGCTGGGATTACAGGTACGTACCACCACACCTGGCTGATTTTTGTATTTTTAGTAGAGACGGGGTTTCACCATGTTGGCCAGGCGGGTCTCGAACTCCTGACCTCAGGTGATCAACCCGCCTTGGCCTCCCAAACTGCTGGGATTACAGGCATGAGCCACCGAAAATAGTTTCCTGTAAAATATTAGAAAGCTTACATGTGTTTTCCCTTTTACATTAAGATATATGGTTCACCAGAAATTCATTTTTGTGTGACATAATGTGAAAAAGGGGTTAAATTTTATTTTTACTTAACACCATTTTTTTCAGCACCATTTATTAAAAAGATAATCTTTTCCCCATAACTCTGTTGTACCACCTTTGTCATCTTCCAGTCTTCGCTTTGGAGTTATTTTCTTTCTGCCTGAAGAATACTCTTCAGTATTCTTTAGTGCAGGTCTGGCAACAAATTCTTAGTGTTTGTCGAAAAACATCATTATTTATTCTTCATTGTTTTCTTTTTTGTAAGTTTTATTGAGATATAATTCACACAGTAAAATGTACCCATTTAAAGCCTATGGTTTAGTGGTTTTTAGAATATTCAGTTATACAACCATTACCACATCTAATTTTAGAACTTTTTTCCATTTGTGAAGTGTCTTTTTATTAGTTTTATAGAACTCTTGGTTTGCCATTGATTTCTTTTAGCATTTTAAAAATTTAATTCACTTTATTTTTCTTGTATAAAAATCCTGCATTGTATAATAGCCATAGCTGGAGCCTGGGTTCTCTGCAGTGGAGACTCTGGTCAGTGAATTCCTAGTTTCCTAATAGGTAGACTTGGTGAATATGGTCTCCTTCCAGAGCTTGGGGATCAGATAGCTGTAGGTCTTTGAGATGACATTAACAGTGGCCTTGGTGAAGTTGCCCAGGGTGGCAGTGCAGCCCCTGACTGAGGTGTGGCAGTCCTTAATGCCAGCCATCATCAACAGCTTTTTGGGCACAGAGATCAAGATGAAACCATTGTCTCTGTGTGTAGAGATGAGGTGTACCAGCACAGAGTTGCAGTGGTCTGTCACCTTGCAAGGAATGCCGTGGGGCTTGCCAGTGTTGTCTCCTGAGATGCCTCTCTGCACCGGGACAGTGGAGAGCTTGACAAAGATGATGACTCCTTGGATGGTAGTAGGTACCGTCTTGGAGCATTTAACACCCAGACCGACATGGATATTTTAGTCCCCAATGGCAACAAGTGCCTTGAATCTGGACCACTGGCCAGTGCAAGTCTCCATTTTTACTGGCATAATCTTAAACTCATTCGTGAGGGTTGCCCCCAGGAAAAAGTCGATGATCTCAGCCTCCTTGATGGGCAGGGAGAGGAGATAGAGCTTCAGGGACTTAATCTTCATGTCCTTGACTATGCTGCCCAGTTTGATGATGGGGACCTACTCCTTGGCCTTGGCCTTGGCCTTGGCCTTGCCACCACCAGCTCCGTGGCCCCAGCCTTAGCCCTGGATGCCACTGCTGTGGCTTCCCATTTTGGGGCCTCTAGGCCCTCCCACTGCACTGGTCTCATTCGCCATTTGGTGTTTTCTTGGAGAACTCTTTTAGCATTTTAAAGCTATTTCATTATCTATGACTTAGTTTCTGTTGAGAAGTCACTTGTCAGTCTCTTGTTCCTTTGAAAGTAGTCTTTTTCTCTGGCTGTTTTTAAAGTTCTGTCTTTGGTTTTCAGCAATTTTTCTATACTGTCCCTAGTATGGATTTCTTTTTATTTATAATTAGAGTTTTTAGGGATTCTTGAATTTGTGGCTTCATGTCTTCCATTGGTTTTGGAAATCATCAGCCATAAGTACTTCAGTTATTTCTTCTGCCCCATTTTCTCTTACCTTTCCTTCTAGGGCTACAGTGATATATGTGAGACCAGCAGTTCACAACTTTTTTGGCACCAGGGACTGGTTTTATGGAAGAAAATTTTTCCTTGGGGGGTTAGGGGGGTAGTTTCCAGATAAAACTGTTCCACCTCAGATCATCAGGGATTAG
The DNA here is from genome assembly GCF_000001405.40 of Homo sapiens. Taxonomy (NCBI): domain Eukaryota; kingdom Metazoa; phylum Chordata; class Mammalia; order Primates; family Hominidae; genus Homo; species Homo sapiens. The sequence continues at coordinate 99,975,610 of NC_000014.9, forward strand.
CTTCTCATAAGGAGTGCACAATCTGGATCCCTTGCGTGCACAGTTCACAATAGGGTTCACGCTTCTATGAGAATCTAATACTTCAGCTCATCTGACAGGAGGCAGACTGCAGGCAGTAATGCTCACTCATCTGCCACTCACCTCCTGCTGTGTGGCCTGGTTCCTGACAGGCCATGGACCGATACTAGTTCATGTCCAGGGGTTGAGGACCCCCATGTTATTCCATTTCACTATATCTTCTATGTCTCTTAACTGTTTCTCTGCATTTTACATGTTTCTCTCTCTCTTCTTTATTCTGGTTATCTCCTTCTCACTGTCTGTCTCTCTCCATCACCCCTCCTCTGCTGTATATAATCTGCTATTAAAACCACCCATTGAGTTTTTAATTTCAGGGTTTTTAAAAATTATTTTTAAATTTCTTTTTTGTTTTTTATTTTTATTATTTTTCAGAGTCTCATTCCTTTGCTCAGGCTAGAGTGCAGTGGCTCAGTCATGACTCACTACAGCCTTAAACTCCCACCTTAGCCTCCCAAGTAGCTGCAGCTACAGGCACACGCCCCCATGGCCAGCTTTTATTTATTTATTTATTTATTTATTTATTTATTTATTTATTTAAGTGACAGGGTCTTGCTGTGTTGCCCAGGCTGGTCTCAAACTCTTGGCCTCCAGTGATACTCCTGCCTCAGCCTCCCAAAGTGCTAGGATTACAGGCATGAGCCATTGTGCCCAGCTGATTTTTATATTTCTATTTGTTTCTGTTTTATACTTCCAAGCTATCTGCCAAAATTATCAGTCTTGTCTTTTACCTCCTTTAACATAGTATGTGTAATTATCTTAAAGTCCATGTTCAATTATGGCAATCTGTTAGTTGTTTCCAGTGTCTGTTTCTGTTGATTTTCATTCATATTGTCTTGTCTCCTTATGTGCCTAGTGTTTTTTTTAATGTGTGGTAAACATCATATTTGCAAAATTATTTGTAGGAATAATTTGAGGCCTAAGATGATGCTTTTTTCTTCCAGAGATAATTAATATCTGCTGTTATAAGGCACATGGGAGCACTTACAATTGGCGTTGCCTTCAGTACAGTTTCAGGGATTGAAATATCTCTAAGCTGAGCTGCAGTTCTTGTGAAGACAAACCTGTTCTGTTCACTTTTCCTCCTAATGTTCTCTTCTTCACCAGCACCTTTACTCTCCACCCCAGCGCCAATCTTTTAGCATTCCCTTCAGAATTGATAAACACCCTTCAGGAAAATTAGCCTCAAACACTGAGCTCACTTTCTCAGGCTCTGACTTGCTTTCCTCCCCCGTGCCTCCAAGCAGGTATTTCTTACATTTTTCCCAGCGTTTCTAGTTCTTTTTAGATGGAGGATTGTTCTGATTGTTCTGATTAGTCCACAGTTACTATCAGTAAAAGTCCCTGATTTTTGCATTTTCAGGAACAGTTTGAGTCAATATTCAATTCTGGAGATTCATGCTACCAGGTTATGGAAGCTGTAGAGAACAGTGACACCTATTTTCTTGTGTTCTGTCCTAATTGTATTAGATTATCTCTGCCAGTTTGTGAAATGCTTTTGGAATCAAGATAACTTTAAGAATAAGTCTTTAACTCCTCTTAATAAATAATTAATTGAAAAAAATAGCAGTTTAGCTCAGGTCATTAAAACAAAAGATTTGGGGGGCAGGTACTTTTATCTCCTTTCCATGGTTCCTTTCTCCTGTCTTGATTTCCTTATTTATTTGATAAAAATTATGCTCTAACCAGTCCTCCTGAATAGAAATTTAATTTATTTTTTATTTTTATTTTTTAGATGGAGTCTCACTCTGTTGCCTGGGCTGGAGCACAGTGGTGCGATCTCAGCTCACTGCAACCTCCATCTCCCAGGTTCAAGTGATTCTCCTGCCTCAGCCTCCCGAGTAGCTGGGATTACAGACATCCGCCACTATGTGCGGCTAATACATCGTATTTTCATCCGCCACTACGCGCGGCTAATATTTTGTATTTTTAGTAGAGACGGGGTTTCCCTGTGTTGGCCAGGCTGGTCTCAGACTCCTGACCTCGTGATTCGCCCACCTCGGCCCCCCAAAGTGCTGGGATTATAGGCATGAGCCACCGTGCCTGGCCAGAACATTTAATTTTTGAGTCTACAGTAGCATAAGAGCATTCTCAGATCTCATTCTTTGGGATCTAAAAAAGTCATGGATGGCTGGGCACGGTGGTTCATGCCTGTAATGTCAGCACTTTGGGAGGCCAAGGCAGGCAGATCACCTGAGGTCAGGAGTTTGAGACCAGCCTGGCCAGCATGGCAAAACCCCCATCTCTACTAAAAATACAACAGTTAGCCAGGCGTGCTGGTGGGCGACTGTAATCCCAGCTACTCAGGAGGCTGAGGCAGGAGAATCACTTGAACTCGGAAGGCAGAGGTTACAGTAAGCTGAGATCTTGCCATTGTACTCCATCTTGGGTGACAGAGCGAGACTCTGTCTCAAAAAAAAAAAAAAAAAGTCAGCAGGGTGCGGTGGCTCACGCCTGTAATCCCAGCACTTTGGGAGGCCGAGGCGGGTGGATCACGAGGTCAGGAGATCGAGACCATCCTGGCTAACACGGTGAAACCCCGTCTCTACTAAAAAAAAATACAAAAAATTAGCCGGGCATGGTGGCGGGTGCCTGTAGTCCCAGCTACTCCGGAGGCTGAGGCAGGAGAATGGCGCGAACCCGGGAGGCGGAGCTTGCAGTGAGCCGAGATCGCGCCACTGCACTCCAGCCTGGGCGACAGAGCGAGACTCTGTCTCAAAAAAAAAAAAAGGCATGGATGTAGAAATAAAAGTTCTTAAGTGGTTTTTCCAGAATGAAGAGCCATTTTTCTTTTCTTTTTTTTAAGTCAGTCATTTTTTACACAGATTTTTAAAATTGCTACAGTTTAACCTGGTTCTCCATTGCAGACTGCTTATAGTTGAATACCTATACGTGTATATTTACCTGTACCTGAAGTACTTGGCTTTAGTACATGGATTTAAATGAATCCAGGGGGACTTTTCATTACCTTTGTTGTCAGTTGATTTGATTTGATTATTTATAAGCAATTTGGTTTACCTATGATAACACTTTCCTTTTTGTTCAGTCCTAAATTTTTAAAATGAAAGTAACGTATTATTTCTCTTGATAGATACTGTCATGAGAGTACGTAGATATGACCTATTGCTAAAAGTCTAGAATGTAATATCCAAACTGTGTTCCTTTTGGAGCATCTCAGGAAGCCATAACGCTGGAGATGCATTCTAACAAGTGAGCTAAACACTCGAGGCACATGTCCACTTATTTTAGCAAAAAAGTACTATTGAATCGACTTATTCAAATAAAGAAGTCTAAGTCTCAGTTTTTCTTTATTTTCTAGACTACTGCCTGAATTCTTGTTTCTCTTTTTCTAACAGACTCTATGTATTTTCATATTTTCATTGAGAAATCGTTTTTTGAAGGCTTACTGTTGTCTGGTACTGGATTAGATGGGGTAAGGAGGTGTAAGGAACTAGACACTCCCATCCCCCACTCTCACCGCCCATACACAAATAATCCCCATACCTAAAAGATTTACAGAAACTTACTAAATCTTTCTGCAGTTGCTAAAAAAAAAACAACAACAAAAAAACCCACCCACATATACACAATATGCAATCTATTTCTGCTTATATATTCGAGTCATTTATCTATTGGGAACATTCTCTTCTGTGAACATTTTCCCTATCTGCTTTTTTTAAAGATTTAGATACAGAAGTTAAAAAAATTTTAGGTCATTAAGTTTTGTTCCTGATGATTTTTCCATATTTCTGACATTTAAGTTATTGTTTTTCTAGAATTTTAATTATTAAACTTTTTTTTTTCAGTTATATGTGAAGTTGGCCCTCTGTGTCTGTCGATTCTGCATCTGTGGGTTCAACCAACCTTGGATGGAAATATTTTTTTTAAAAAAAGGATGGTTGTGGCTGGGTGCGGTGGCTCACGCCTGTAATCCCAGCACTTTGGGAAGCTGAGGTGGGCGGATTACGAGATCAGGAGATCCACACCATCCTGGCTAATATGGTGAAACCCCATCTCTACGAAAAGTACAAAAAATTAGCCGGGCGTGGTGGCAGGCGCCTGTAGTCCCAGCTACTCGGGAGGCTGAGGCAGGAGAATGGTGCGAACCCGGGAGGCAGAGCTTGCAGTGAGCCAAGATCGTGCCACTGCACTCCAGCCTGGGCGAACAGAGCGAGACTCCGTCTCAAAAATAAATAAATAAAAATAAATAAATAAATAAAGGATGGTTGTGTCTATACTGAACACGTACTGATATTTTTTCTTGTCATTATCCCCTAAACAATAAAGTATAACAACTATTTATATAGCATTTGCATTGTATTAGGTGTTATAAGTAATCTAGAGATGATTTAAGGTATATGGGAAGATATACCTGGGCTATATGCAAATATGACTCCATTTTACCTAAGGGATTTGAACATCTGCAAACTTTGGTATCTGAGATGGGTCCTGGAACCAGTCTCCTGTGGATACTGAGTATGACTGTATAACAGTTTTAAAAATTCATTCTTCAAATGGTCTGAAATATGAGATGGAGACTTAAATTATATTTTTCTCAAAATTGCTGGTCAGATACTTGATCATATCAGTAGTTTATGTGGTAGAGATAACAGCAACATTTTCTGGGTTGGACGGCCGTGCAGGCATCTGGATCCCAACATCCCGGGGTGCATGGTTGTGGCTGGTAATGCCTACATGAGTGAGAATCACCTCTAATTCTCAGAAAGTTACCTGCCTCCCCCGGGGCCAGCCTTGTACATGTGAGGCATGGCCAGTCCAGCCTGTCAACAGGTCTGGTTACGAGCCAAGAACCGCTTCATCTGGGCCAAGGGCACTTTATTGATATTGGAGTTCTACAGAATGCAGTGTGATTACAGAATACAGTATAAAATACACAGGTACAAACAGTCTCCATTTCTCACCCTTAGCCTATACTAGCTATCACAGTTGGGTCCAAATATATTTCTGAACCCAGTGCTGCAAATTGCAGGTACGGGGCATTTCCTAAGGTGGCTTTTGTAAGGGCTATAGGGATTCCGTGTGTATCTTTCCAGGCTCTCTTGTTCTGTCTGCCTGTTTTTAGGCCTATGCCATTACCATATTTACCTTGTGGGCAGTGATTTTAATTTGAGCGGCATCATTGATTAATGTTATTTTGAATTTTGCTGGTTTGGTGATTTTGTTTGTATTTAATTTATAAGTTTGTTTTTTGCTTATCTAGTTATATAAACATAAGACATTTAAACTTAGTTTTATAGTTGTGTATATAAGCTGGGTGTGGTGTCACATGCCTGTAATCCCAGCTACTCGGGAGGCTGAGCAGAAGGATGGCTTGAGGCCAAAAGTTTGAGACCGGCGGCGGTGGGCAACATATTGAGATCCTATCTCAAAAAAAAAAAAAAGTGTAGGCATCTGCTTTTTAGGCTTTTGGCTAGCACTTCTGTTGATTAAGAAAAATAATAGGCCAGGCATGGTGACTCACACCTGTAATCCCAGCACTTTGGGAGTTTGAGGCAGTGGATTGATCACCTGAGGTCAGGAGTTGGAGACCAGCTTGGCTAACATGGTGAAACCCCATCTCTACTAAAAATACAAAAATTAGCCAGGCGTGGTGGCGGGCGCCTGTAATCCCATCTACTTGGGAGGCTGAGGCAGAAGAATTGCTTGAACCCGGGATGGGGAGGTTGCAGGAGCCGAGATCATGTCATTGCACTCCGGCCTGGGCAACAGAGTGAAACTGTCTCAAAAATAAAATTAAAAAAAAGAAAAGTAACAATTATATATATAAGCTGAATGAATATAAATTAAATCATATTGTTTCACATACAGATTTTTCCCCTTTAAAGAGAATATGTGTACTGCCCATGTTTGAGGAACCTTGCAGTAGACTTACCCTGGAGATACAGTGGGTGCACAATAAAGCAGTAAAGCAAATATTGTAAGAAAGCAAGTCACATGAATTTTTTTGTTTCCAAGTGCATATAGAAGTTATGTTTACACTATACCATAGTCTGTTAAGTATGCAGTAGCACTATGTCTAGAAAATGTACATACCTTCATTAGAAAATACCTTATTGCTTAAAAATGCTAGCAAAGTGAGCATAGGGTATTGGAAAAAATGATGTCAATAGATTTGCTCAGGGCAGTTGCTACAAACCTTCAATTGGTAAAAAACGCAATACCTGTGAAGCTCAATAAAGTGAAGCCCAATGAAACGAGGTCTGTCTGGATAAGCTTGATGAAGGGACTCTTGAGTTGCCACATGAATGTATCGCAAGTGCTGCAGTAAGAGTGGTGGTAACTCAGGGGAAAGCACTTCCAGCTGATGTCGGGGTGAGGGTGAGAAGAGTGGCCGGTCCCTTCATGAAACAGTTAAGGAGAGTATGAAAACAGAATGGTATGATATAAAGAAGACAATACAGATAAGCATTGATCCTGCTCTTTACAGATAACCACATCAAACCTGTGGTGTAGTTCCTTTATCATTCCCAGGTACAAGTGAAACATTTTTACAAAATTGAAAGTGTACTGTATATTTGTATTGGGCATTGTACATTTGATATATGTGCACTTCCCCCTTACTAAATATTCTTTGAAAACAGCTAAATATTCTTTGAAAACAGTTAAAATAGCTGAATAATAGTCTGTCAGATGGTATACTATAATTTATTCGTAATATATATTTTAATGGTATTTTTGGGACCAAAGGGTATAAACATTTTAAAGGCTATCAATATATACTACCAGAATGTTAATTTTAAAGAAGAAGAAGATAAAGTTAGTGAATAGAAGTTTAATCCTAGAGGTTTAACTTGGAGGTTCTCCCAAAAACAAGCACCAAAGGAAGGACTTTGGAAAGGAATCAGGAGAGAGAAGTAAATGGGGTTAAGAGGGAGAGCGGGGGGAAAAAATACTGTACTTTGAAATGGTGTAGTTCTGTCTGCTCACCAGGGGAGGGAGCCCTGTTCCCAGTTCCTCTGTGAGCGATTCATACGAAGATGCATTGTCTTTGTCTTTAGGGCTGTGTGAAAGACATCTACTCTTCAGTTTGCAGTTAATGTAGGTATGTAAAGGGACTTCTTAAAAAGAATTTGAGTTAGATTTAAAATGTTTTAGTTTAATTTAACCCCTGTATACTGAGCAGCCTGGGTTTTAGAGTCAGACCTGGATTCTGCCCCAGAGGTACTACTTATCAGCTGACTTTTAGCAATTTACGTAACCTTTATGAGCCTCCGTTTTTCTCAAGTATAAATGAGGACAGTTCACTTTCTTCAGAGGGTTTTGTGAGGATCAAATGAGAATACATGAGAAGTTCTCAGCTTATGATATTCAGTAAAGGTTAGTTATCTGCCCTACTCCACCCCACCCCAGCCTCACCACCCTGTATTTATTTTCTAGGGTTTATCTTCCATGAGGATATGGGACAGTTCTGGTTTCAAATATTCTGCCCTTTTGTCAGATGACTATATGACTTCATATGTGATAAATTTTGGTTTAGAAACTGCAGTTGCTATTGATGCATCACCTTCTAAGAAAGATCCAGTGACATTCTCTATGAAAGATGAAATAGACAAAAGAAAGATAAAACAGGAGACATAATATTTGGACGTAGAGGCGATAATTGTACCAGAAAACTTAGGTTAAGAAAGAGTTACTTCAGTCGAGCACACTTAGCTGTGAAATTCATGGAAGTCATGACAGAAAGGGAAACATGAGCCAGTGTGTGCCTCTCCTTGGGTAATAAAGGAGAGACATGCCATTTTATAGCTCTAAAGGTGTGTTTCCTATGGAACTTAAAGAGACAGTGGACCTTACAAGAGCTTGGTTTTGGCAGCCGCCTACACCCTTCTCCAGTCCTTTTCCCATGTATTTGTCCTGGGCCTCTTCTTTAAAAGGTTCCAGCACTCTCAACCATTCTCTGGGTCCTGCCTGCTGCTCTGCTGCTTTTGTGGAGCTGTGTTTATTGCACTTATCTTCTCTTCTCCCTTCTCTCTCAAAGAATTCTTAAATAAGAAAAGATCTGTTGCTAAATCATGCAAGTTGATCTCAGTCTAGCTGCTTCCTTTTCCTCTTTACCTTGCTAACTTCTTAGCCTTCAAATCTTATTTGAAACATCACTTCCTCAGGGAGGCAGCCTTTGACCCTTAGCCTAGCTGAGGGCCCTTTCCTGTTAATTACCTTTGTGATATCCCATATTTCCTCTTCTGTAACTGTTTATATGTATGTAATTACTTAAAATTTCCCTGATCTACTGAAGGCTTTATAAAGGCAGAGATTATGCTTGTTTTGATCTCTGCTAGAACCCCAGAACCCCAAGCACTGGTACTTGGCACTTGGTAGATGTTTAATAAAACATTGACACTGCCACCTGTACCTAAGATGGATAGTTGATCGTGGCATTCATCCCAGTTTGGCATGGATCCTTCTAAGGACAGCATTTCAGGTGGCCACCCCCAAATCGTAGAAGCTAGCATCCAAGCAAAAGCTATTTTATTATGTGCTTAATGACTTAATGCATTACTGAGGTGTCAGTGATTTAGTCTGTTGTGTCCTTACTGCTGCCATAAGACATGATTTGTTTGGTGATGTGTGGATGGGTATTTTTTTCTGTGATTTCTTTGTAAGGACGTTATCCACTGTAACCCTTAGTATCCCAGATGTTTCTCAAACTTGAATATGTGTAGGAATCACTGGAGGGATGTGTATGTATGTATGTGTCTTTCCAAAATGGAGACCCCAGCCCCATCCCCAAGGATGAATGAATGCTTTTCTTTCTTTTTTAAATTAATAGACTTTGTATTTTAGAACAGTTTTAGATTTATAGAAAAATTGAGAAGGTTGTACAGAGAGTTCCTATACACCTCCTGCACACATATAGTTTCTCCTGTTAATTAACATCTTATATTAGTATGATACATTATTACTGATATGTTATTATTATCATTTGAGACAGAGTTTTGCTCTGGTCACCCAGGCTGGAGTGCAGTGGTGCGATCTCGGCTCACTGCAACCTCCACCTCCCAGTTTCAAGCGATTCTCCTGTCTCAGCCTCCCGAGTAGCTGGAATCACAGGTGTGCGTCACCACACCCGGCTAATTTTTTTGTATTTTTAGTAGAGACTGAGTTGCACCATGTTGGCCAGGCTGGTCTCGAACTCCTGACCTCAGGTGATCCACCCACCTGGACCTCTGAAATTGCTGGTATTACAGGCATAAGCCACTGTGCCCAGCTGACATTATTATTAATTAAAGTCCAGCATTTATTAAAGTTTCTGTTGTTTTTACCCGGTATCCTTTTTCTGTTCCAGGATCCCATTCAGGACATTTAGTTTAGTTTGTATATAACAACGTTAAGTTGTTATATCTCTTTAGGCTCCTCTTGGTGCTGATGGTTTCTCAGACTTAACTCATTTAATTTTAATCACATTTGCTTACATTTTTGCTTGACAGATATATATATATTGAGTACCTACTATATGCAAGATAGTGGGGCTAGGGATAGAGAGCTATGGAGACCTACATAAGCCTCAAGGAGTTTATAGCCAAGAAGAATAGCATGGGGCATATGAGATGGCAGTGTCAGAAAAGAGGTATGAACGACATAATTTTTATTTATTATTATTATTACATTTGAGATGGGCCTAGGGGAACTGGCAGGATTTTGACTGGGCTTATCTTCTGTTTTGGTTCTTCACCTTTGTACTTCCTTGAACTGGTCTTTCTTCCAGTTGGCTTTTCAGATGCTTGAAGACAATGGACTTCAGTAAGTCTTGCCTTTTCTTGGTTAAAAGTCCTTGGTCTTGGCCAGGCGTGGTGGCTCATGCCTGTAATCTCAGCACTTTGGGAGGCTCAGGTGGGCGGATCACCTGAGGTCGGGAGTTCGTGACCAGCATGACCAACATGGAGAAACCCCGTCTCTACTTAAAATACAAGATTAGCTGGGTGTGGTGGTGCATGCCTGTAATCCCAGCTACTTGGGAGGCTGAGGCAGAAGAATCGCTTGAACCCAGGAGGTGGAGGTTGCGGTGAGCCAAGATTGCGCCATTGCACTCTGGCCTGGGCAACAAGAGCGAAGCTCCATCTCAGAAAGAAAAAAAAAAAAAAGTCCCTTGTCTTTTAGCCATTCATTACTAATTAGTGGCCCTTCTGTGGACCTTCCTTTCACTGAGCTCTGGCCTGCTGAAGTCCTTTAGCAATTTAGATCTCTAACTTCGGCTTGAATACAGAAAGATGTTCGACCTAGCACACAAATGAAACCCTGAATACAAAATGGAAACATACTAAACCTTGGAGCCTCTTTGCTGATAGATCAAAATCAAATGTATTGGCTGGGCACGATGGCTCATGCCTGTAATCCCAGCACTTTGGGAGGCCAAGGCGAGCGGATCACCTGAAGTCAGGAGTTCAAGACCAGCCTGACCAACATGGCTAAACCCTGTCCCTACTAAAAATATAAAAATTAGCCAGACGTGGTGGCATGTGCCTGTAGTCCCAGCTACTCGGGAGGGTGAGGCATGAGAATCGCTTGAACCTGGGAGGTGGAGGTTGTGGTGAGCTGAAATTGCACCACCGTACTCCAGCCTGGGTGACAGAGTGGACTCTGTCTCAAAAAAAAAAAAAAAAAAAAAATCAAATGTATCCACTGGCACTGCTTCTTTCTACCAGCTGAGATTTCTAAGAGGACAGCTTCAGGGTCCCGTTTATGAGCATTTTCTTTCCTGGGAAGAAGGAAAATGCTCTCCTCAATTTGTATCATTAAGGAAAAATCAAACAGTAAGCAACAGACTGAATCAGATAGTGTCCCAATTAGAGGAGCAGCGCTAGGAAGGGAACCAGCTGGTGCCTTCACAAGATCAGAGTGATATGCTTCAGAGTGTCCAAGGCTATGGGTGATGAGGCAGCATGACTGTGAAGTGCACATATGGTAATAATTGCACAAATATTTATTGAGTTCACTGTGCAGATTTCTGGACTATGAATTGAAGACATGGTTTTCTACACATGTAGCCTAGTTCCAAGGAGATAGAGCATAAGTACGTGCAATTCAGCATGTCTACAACTGGACTTACTACCCCTACATTTATGAGCAATTGTTTTTTGACAAGAGTGCCAGACAATTCAATGGGGGAAAATAGCCTTTTCAACAAATACTGGGACAAAGTACCCACATACAAAAGAATGAAATTGGACCCTACCTCACACCATATACAAAATTCAACTTAAAGTAGATTGTAAACTTCAGTGGGAAGACTAAAACTTTAGAACTCTTATGGGAGAAAATACAAGAGTAAATCTGTGTGACCTTATGTTAGACAATGGTTTCTTAGAAATAGCACCAAAAGCACAAATGACCAATAAATAAATAAATTGGATTTTATCAAAATTAAAAATGTTTCTGCTGAAAATGGTACCGTCAATAAAGTGACAAGACAATCCTGATAATGGGAGAAAATATTTGCAAATCATATATCTGATAAGAGATTTATATCTAGAATATATAAAGAACTCTTATATTTTGCTATGGTCTAAAAGTTTGTGTGCTCCCAAAATTCATATGTTGAAATACTACCCCCCGCCAAGATTATATTATTAAGAGGTGGGGCCTTTGGAATATGATTAGGTCATGAGGGTTGAACTCTCATATATGGGATTAGTGTCCTTATAAAAGAGGTTAGAGGCCGGGCATGGTGGCTCATGCCTGTAATCCTAGCACTTTGGGAGGCCAAGGCAGGTGGATCAACTGAGGTCAGGAGTTTGAGACCAGCCTGGCCAACATGGCAAAACCCTGTCTCTATTAAAAATACAAAACTTAGCCTGGCATGGTGGCACACGCCTGTAATCCCAGCTACTTGGGAGACTGAGGAAGGAGAATCACTTGAACCCGGGAGGTGGAGGTTGCAGTGAGCCGAGATTGCACCACTGCACTCCAACCTGTGTGACAGGAGCGAGACTCTATCTCAAGTAAACAAACAAACAAACAAATAAATAAAAGGGGTTTGAGGGAGCTTGTTTGCCCCTCCTAGCATGTGAGGATGCAGCAAGAAGGCTCTATGAGGAAAAGGCCTTCATCAGATAGGTAATTTGCCAGTGCCTTCATCTTGGACTTCTCAGCTTCTAGAACTGTGAGAAATAAATATTGTTTATAAGCCACCCAGTTTCTGGTATTTTTGTTATAGCAGCTTGAATAGACTAAGACATCTCAACAATGAAAAGACAACCCAATTTTTTTTTTTTTTTTTTTTTTTTTTGAGACGGAGTTTCACTCTTGCTGCCCAGGCTGGAGTGCAATGGCGTGATCTTGGCTCACCACTATCTCTGCCCCCTGAGTTCAAGTGATTCTCCTGCCTCAGCCTCCCAAGTTGCTGGGATTACAGGCATGCACCACCACACCCTGCTAATTTTGTATTTTTTTAGTAGAGATGGGGTTTCTCCATGTTGGTCAGGCTAGTCCCAAACTCCCGACTTCAGGTGATCTGCCCACCTCGACCTCCCAAAGTGCTGGGATTACAGGTGTGAGCCGCCGTGCCTGGCCAAGACAACCTGATTTTAAAATGGGCAAATTATTTGAATAGATACCTTTCTGAAGAAGATAAACAAATGGCCAATAAGCACTTGAAAAGGTGCTTAGCATCATTAGACAAGAGGAAAGGCAAACCAAAACCACAATGAAATACCATTTCATACTCACTAGGATGGTTTGAATAAAAAAGATAATAACAAATGTTGGTGAGGATGAGGATAACCCTTACACATTGGGAATGTGGATAAACCTCACATATTGGAGCCCTCGTACATTGCTGGGGAGTGTAAAATGGTGCAGCTGCTTTGGAAAACGGTTTGTCAGTTTTTCAGAATGTTAGACATAGAGTTACCCTATGACCTATCAGTTCCACTCGTAGGCAGATAGCCAAGAGAAATTAGAACATATGTCTACACAGAACTTATACACAAATGATCATAGCATTATTCATGATAGCCTCAAAGTGGAAACAACCCAAATGTTCACGAATCGATGAATGGATAAACAAAATGTGGTATATCCATACAGTGCAATAAAAACTAATGAAATACTGATATAACATGGATGAACATCAGAAATATTATACTCAATGACAGGTGCAGTCACAAAAGACCACATATTGTATGATTCCATTTACATGAAATGTCCAGAATAGGCAAATCTATAGAGACAGAATGTAGATTAGTGATTGCTTGGGTGGGTGGAGGGTGTGGGGCTGAGGGTCAGTTTGAGAATGGGGAGTAACTGCTAATGAGTACAAGATTTCTCTTGCAGATAATCCCAGTATCGCAAGATTGGATTATGGTAATGGTTGTACAATTCTGTGAATATCCTAAAAACTGTTGTATACTTTAAATGGGTGAATTTTATGAAAAAGAAAAAATCTGTTCCTCAGTAAATCTGTTTTAAAACAACAACAACTGAACTCACTGTGTTCCTTCCCAGACTTGTCTTTTTTCAGAACCTTTATTCCCAGAGAGACACACTTTGTGATCCAAAATAGAAACCTGGAGGTGTGATGGAGTGTCTCGGTTCCCTCCTGTCACATCCAGGTGTCTTTTATCATTTCTTCTTCCTTAAAAATCTCTTCTCTTTGTCCCCATCTCCCCAGGGCCGTGATACTTATTTAAGTCAGGTCTTCATCGTTATTAAAACACCATAATTATATTCCACTTTTGTTTTCTACCTCTTAAAATGTCTCCTCTGTGCTTTGTTGTTAGTACTCAAATCTGAGTTAATATTTTCTTCTTAGGTTTCTTGAGGATATTCCCATATCTTTATAATAAAGTCATAACTCCTAGAGAGTATGCAAAGTCTTGCATGAGCTAACCTCTTTCATGACTCTCCAGATTAATCTCTTCTGTTTTCCTGTTATAAGGAACCCACCCTCACATATTTTTTATACATCTTTTACCTTGTATATAATATTCGTCCTGATTGTAGTGCCACATTTCAAGTGATCAACAGTTACATGGTGGCTATCATATTGGACAGCACAGATTATAGACCATTTTCATTATTGTGGAAAGTTCTAATAGACAGTGCTGGTCTAATACCTGACATAGCTTACTGTGGCACTCAGTAAATATCTGTTAAATGAATGAATGTAATCATAGCTGTTATCTGTGGCAGGCGTTCACCCAGCTCCTGCTTTTATACTTGTAGTAGTAAGTCAGTCCGTGGATTATGAGGCAATTTATTGAATTACTAAACTAGCCCTAGTTATTTCTTCCTTCTTCTTATACTCAGCTAGTATTTGCTTCTCTGAAATTTCTACTGTTGACCCAACTTCTGCATAATCCAAAACAACACCCAAGAATTAAAATATGGCAATCATTTCCCCCAAGTCTTCTCTAGGTTAAACACTTTGCTTACTTAAGCTTTGTATAACATGGTCAGAGTCATCCATGAAGGCTGGAGTCAGCTTTTTCCAAATTCCTGTTAATGTTGATAGTTTGACCTCCTCCCTGAATCACAAATATTCTTAATGACATCTAGAATGGTGAATATTTTCAGAAGGTTTTCAATTTACTTTGCTCAGATTCATCTTCTGGCATATACTAGGGTATCAGCGAAGTTCAGAAAACTTGCTTAACAATAAGTTATTTATTTCCAGTGTTCGCTCTTTTTTAATTTTAATTTTTATTGTAAAAACATTAAACCCACTGTCTTAACCATTTTTAAGTGTACAGTTCATTAGCGTTAAGTATATGCACATTGTTGTCCAGTAGATCTCTAGAACTTTTTCATCTTGCGAAACTGAAACTCTAAACCCCATTAAACACTAATTCCCACTTTCCCTCTCCTGACAGCCCTTGGCACCTACCTTTCTTCTTTCCGTTTCTATGATTTTGACTACTTTAAATACTTAAACTGAGTGAAATCATATAGCATTTGTCCCTTTGTGACTGGCTAATTTCACTTAGCATAATGTCCTTGAGGTTCATCCATGTTGTAGCATGTGATCAGATACCCTTTTTTAAAGGCTGCAAAATATTATACTCTATATATATATAGAGAGAGAGATGCTACTTTTTAAACATTCATTCATTCGTCAGTGGAATTTGGGTTGCTTCCACTCCTGGCTATTGTGAATAATTCTGCAGTGAGCATGAGTATGCAGATATCTCTTCAAGATCCTACTTTGCATTCTTTGGATACATACCCGGAAATGGTTCTGGATATATATATAGAGAGAGAGGGGGTGTGTATGTGTGTGTACCCAATTGTATATATAGCTGTATATATATAATTGACCCTTGAACAACATGGGTTTGAACTATGCTGATCTGCTTATATGCAGATTTTTTTCAGTAAATATGTTGGAAAAATTTTTTGGAGATTTGTGACAATTTGAAAGAAACTTGGAGATGAACTGCCACCCCCTGAGGCAGCAAGATCAACCCCTCCCTCCTCTTCAGCCTCTCAACACAAAGACAAGGATGAAGACATTTATGATTATCCATTTCCACTTAGTGAATAGTAAATATATTTTCTCTTGTGAGTTTCTTAATAACATTTTCTTTCTCTAGCTTATTTTAATTTAACCCTTTTCCTGTTTAGAAAAAGTACAGCTCGCTGCCAGTGCTCATTTAATTTTACATAAACACACTCTTTGAGGCTGAAGCAAATCTGATTGATTTTCTATGTGAAAATAAAATATAAAAACTGTTCTTGGAGTTATTTCTAAACAAAGTAACATCAGAATCATCTGAATCATCAGAATCGTCTATTTTAGAAAAATCAGATTCATCAAATGAATCTTTGGCCAACAACTGAGAATGATGTTAACATCACACATAGGAATGTGGTGTTTTCTAGGATTTGGCATTTTCAGCGATTGAGAATTACTATATTTTGTAAATGGAAATAACACTGCTAAAAACAGAATGCTATAAATAGAATGATGTCTTTTGTTTCCAAAGTTGATATACTAGAGCAATGCGAAAATAATAATAAAAGCAAGGTATTTCGTGGCAAAGTTATCTCGGGGTAAACGCAGCAACCACAGGCGCTGCCAGCAAGTATGCTTGGGGCAAAGGGGAAAAGGGTTAAGAATACAGTATATATAATACATACATGTAACTTATAAAAGATGTGTTAATTGACTGTTTATGTTATCAGTAAGGCTTCCAGTCAACAGTAGGCTATTAGTAGTTAAGATTTTGGGGATTCAAAGTTATACATAAATATTCAGCTGTGTGGTGGGAGGGTGGGAGTTTGCACCCTAACCCCTGCATTGTTTGAGGGTCAACTCTGTGTGTGTGTGTGTGTGTGTGTGTGTGTGTGTGTGTCCAGTGATTGCTGCATCATATGGTAATTTTATTTTTAATTTTAGAAAATGGCTATACCATTTCACACTTCCACCAACTGTGCACAGTGGTTCCAGTTTCTCTGCATCCTTGCCAGCAGTTATTTTCTGTTCTTCTGATAATGCTATCCTAATGGGTGTGAAGTGGTATCTCATTGTGGTTTTGATTTGCTTTTCTCTTATAATTACTGATGTTGAACATCTTTTCATATGCTTCTTGGTTGTGTGTATATCTTCTTTGGAGAATTACCTGTTCAAGTCACTTGCTCATTTATTAAATGGGTCGTTTTTTTCATTGTTGAGCTATAGGAGTCCCTTATATATTCTGGATATTAATCATTTACCATATATGTGATTTGCAAATATTTTTTCCCACTTTGTAGGTTGTCTTTTCACTTTGTTGATTGTTTTCTTTTGTGCAGAAGTTTTAAATATGATTTAGTCTCATTTGTCTATTTTTGCTGTTGGTATTATATTCAGGACATCATTGTCAAATCAAATGTCTTGAAACTTTTCCGCCACGTTTTCTTTTAGGAGTGTTATAGGTGTTATGTTTAGGTCTTTAATCCATTTTTAGTTAATCTTTGTGTATGGTGTAAGGTAAGGATCTAACCTCATTCTTTGGCATATGAATATTCAGTTTTCCTAACACTGTTTGTTGAAAAGTCTGTCTTTTCTTCATTGTGTACTCTTTGTGCCCTTGTTGAAGATTATTTGACCATACATGCAAATGGACATCATTGCCTTATTTCTTCTGATCTTAGGGGAAAATCTTTCATCCTTTCACTATTGAGTATGATGTTAACTGTGAGCTTTTCCTATCTGGCTTTTATTATGTTGAGGTAGTTTCCTCTATTCTGAGTTTTTTGAGTGTTTTGTTTTGTTTTGTTATCATGAAAGGGTGTTGAATTTTGTCATATGCATTTTTTTGTATTAATTGAGATGATTATATGGTTTTTGTCCTTCATTTGTTAATGTATTGCGTTGATTTTTGTATGTTGAGCCATTCTTGCATTCCAGGCATTGGTGGTGGCGTATAATCCTTTTTTTTTTTTTTTTTTGAGACGGAGTCTTGCTCTATCACCCAGGCTGGAGTGCAGTGGCATGATTTCGGCTCACTGCAACCTCTGCCTGCCAGGTTCAAGTGATTCTCCTGCCTCAGCCTCCTGAGTAGCTGGGACTACAGGCACGTGCCACCACGCCTGGCTAATTTTTTTTTATTTTTAGTAGAGACAGGGTTTCACGGTGTTAGCCAAAATGGTCTCAATCTCCTGACCTCGTGATCTGCCCACCTTGGCCTCCCAAAGTGCTAGGATTACAGGCGTGAGCCACCGCGCCCGGTCGTTTAATCCTTTTAATGTGTTGTTGAATTCAGTTTGTTAGTATTTTGTTAAGGACTCCTTCATCGGTATTCATCAGATATTGGTTTGTAGTTTTCTTATTTTGTCTTTGTCTGGTTTTGGTATCAGATTAATGCTGACCTAATAGAATGAGTTTGGGAGTGTTCCCTCATCTTCAATTCTTCGGAAGAGTTTGAGGATTGATGTTAATTCTTATTTAAATGTTTGGAAAAATTCTCCAGTGAAGACATCTTTCTTTGTTGAGAGGTTTTTGATTACTGCTTCAATTTCTTTATTAATTATAAGTCTTTTCAGATTGTTTCTTTCTTTCTTTTTTTTTTTTTTTTTTTTTTTTGACTTAGAGTTCCATCCTTGTTGCCCAGGCTGGAGTGCAATGGCGCAGTCTTCCCTCACTGCAGCCTCTGCTTCTGGGTTCAAGCGATTCTTCTGCCTCAGCCTCCCAAGTAGCTGGGATTACAGGTGCCCGCCACCATGCCCGACTAATTTTTTTGTATTTTTAGTAGAGACGGAGTTTCACCATGTTGGCCAGGCTGGTCTCGAGCTCCTGACCTCAGGTGATCTGCCTGCCTCAGCTTCCCAAAGTGTTGGGATTACAGGTGTGAGCCACTGTGCCCAGCCCAGATTTTTTTATTTCTTCAGTCTTGGTAGGTTGTATATTTTTAGGAATTTGTCAGTTTCTTTTAAGTTGTATCCAGTTTGGAATTACAGGTGTGAGCCACTACACCCAGCCTTTTGGCTTTTTTTTTTTTTTTTTTTTTTTTTTGTACTTTCAGCCTATTTGTGTCTTAAGATCTACAGTGGATCTATTGTAGACAGCATATAGTTGGATTCTGGTTTTCTATCCATTCAACCAATCTATGTCTTTTAATTGGACTTTAATCCATTTACATTAAAGTAATTACTGATTGGGAAGGATTTACTATTATTTTGTTAATAGTTTTTCTGTATGCCTTGTAGCTTTTTGTCTCTCATTTCTTCTCTTGTTGCTGCTTTTGTGTTTTATTGATTTTTTTTGTAGTGACATATTTTGATTCCCTTATCATTTCCCATTGTATGTATTCTATAGATATTTTACTTGTGATTACCATTACAATTACATAAAACATCTTAAAGTTATAACAATCTACTTCAAACTAATAACAACTTCCTTTCTGTTGCGTTAAAAACTCTACTCCTTTACATCCCTGTCCACCCCGTTATGTTATTGATAATACAAATTACCTTTTTTATTTCATATCCATTAACAGACTTATAGTTACTTTTTATCTTTTGTTTTTAAAATTCTATACTGTTTAAAAGTTATTTACTCACCTACATTACAATACTATAGGATTCTATATTTGTCTACATATTTACCTTTACCAGGGAGTTTTGTATATTCTCATG
Organism: Homo sapiens; assembly: GCF_000001405.40. Taxonomy (NCBI): domain Eukaryota; kingdom Metazoa; phylum Chordata; class Mammalia; order Primates; family Hominidae; genus Homo; species Homo sapiens. Next base: position 99,994,762 of record NC_000014.9, read on the forward strand.
GTTTCATGATGCTATTTAACATCTTTTCATTTCAACTTGACGTCCCTTTAGCATTTCTAGTAGGGGAGGTTTAGTGTCAGCTTTTATTTATCTGAAAGAAGGGAAAAAAGTCTTCATTTCTCCTTCCTTCATTTTGAAGGACAGTTTTGCTGCATGTAGTATTCTTATTTGACAGTTATTTTTTCCTTTCAGCACTTTGAATATATCATCCCACTCCCTTCTGGCCTGCAAGATTCCTACTTAGAAATTATTTGATAATCTTATAGGAGCTTCCTTATACATGAAGAGTCACCTTTCTCTTGCTGCTTTCAGGATTCTCTTTTTGTCTGTGACTTTTGGCAGTTTGGTTATTACGTGTGTTAGTATGCGTGTCTGGATTTATTCTATTTGGAGTTTTTTTAACCTTGAATTTGTGTCTCCATGGCTTTCCTCAGAGTTGAGAAGTTTTAGGCTCTCTGCCTCTTTGTCTTTTTCTTTGTATTCTGAGATGTCCATTATTTACATGTTATTTCACTGGATGGTAGTCGATAAGTTCTTTGAGGTTCTCTTCACCTTTCTTTATTCTTTTTTCGTTTTATCCCTCTGACTCAGTAATTTCAAATGTCTTGACTTTGAGTTCGGTGGTTCTGTCCTCTGCCTAGTTAAGTGCTTTTGAACCCCTCTAGTTAATTTTTCAATTGGCTCTTCATAGTTTTTCTTTGTTGATATTCTCATTTTGTTTATGCATTGTTTTCCTGATTTCTTTAGTTTTCTATCTGTGTTGTCTTTTAGTTCATTGAGCATCCTTACAGTGGCTATTTTGAATTCTTTGGTAATTCATATAAATCTATTTAGGGTTAGTTTCTGGAGATTTAACTTGTGGTTTTGATTGGGCCATGTTTCCCTGTTTCTTTGTATACCTTATTATCTTTTGTTGAGACTTGAGTATTTGAAAAAACAGCACCCCTCCCAGTCCTTACAATCTGGCTTTGTACAGGGAGAGATCATCACCAGTCAACTTTACTAGATAATCTGGAGAACTCTCAAGCCTTTTCTTGGGTTGAGTCTTCTCTATGCATGTAATACCCTAGTTGAGGTTTACCTATTTGTACTCAGGATTTTCACTTCCCGATTTCCATCTGTGGTACTGTTTCCTCTCTGGTGCTGTGGCAAGCCTTGGTACTGGAGTTCTCCCTAGCGTCTGTCAGTGGTACTGCACACTCTCTGGTGCTACAGCCAGTTGCAGTGATCTTTGTTTTCAGTGGCTTCCAACCTGGTGCCCACTTCTGTCTTAGATTCAGTTAAGAAACCAGTCCCTCAGGTAGCTTCCCCCCTCCCCCACCACCCCATCAAAGTGAGAACATTGAATGTGTGCTCTACTTTTATCTTTTCATCCAAGAAAGAAGGGATTTGGGATTTTTTTTTTTTTTCCAATGGTGCTATGCTGTGCTGGGGAGAGGCTGTGGAAAGTATATGCCATGAACTTTTCTGCTGGCTTTCATGAGGTTCTTCTTGGCATACTTGGGGTACAGAAACCTCTTAACTGGTTTCTGGATTTCTCACAGAGGCCATCTAACATTGTTAATTCATCTCCATAGGGGAAGGAGGATCTGGTGTTTTCTATTCCATCATCTTCCTGTGCTCTCTCTTTTGGAGTCAACCTTCTCTGGGAACTAATTTAATCCCTTTATATAGTTCATGAAATGTGATAAAATGTGAACTCTGAGTTCAAAAGTGCAACTTGGTAAGGGGACTTCAATTCTATTTCTCAATTAACATAAATAGTAAAAATAACTCATTTGTTGAGTATTTTTACATGCCAGGCATTGTTCTAACCAGTTAACATACATTATCTCATTTAATCTTTGCAATATCTCCAAGAGGTAGGTATGATTACTACTCTCTTTTCCCCCTTCCCCCTTTTTTTTTGAGGCAGGGTCTAGCTCTGTCACCCAGGCTGGAGGTCAGTGGCACAATCACAGCTCACTGCAGCCTCAACCTCCTGGGCTCAAGTGATCCTCTTACCTCAGCCTCCAGAGTGGCTGGGACTATAGGCACATGCCACCGTGTCTGGCTGATTTCTGTATTTTTTTAGAGATGGGATCTAGCCATGTTGCCCAGGCTGGCCTCGAACTCCTGAGTTCAAGCAATCCAACTGCCTTGGCCTCCCAAAGTGCAGGATTACAGACGTGAGCCACTGCGCTCGGCCTACTGCCCTCTTTTTATAGGGGAAGAACCTGAGGCACGGAGTGATGAGGTGACACCCATTTGGCTAGAAATTGTAGACTAGCAATTCCAAGCTTGAGAGTCACGGTACTGACTGGACTGCTCAAAATGTCATAACTCAGAAATTTTAGATACTCTGTTATTACATGATGTAGACCTTCAGTTTGTGTCATTTCCCATCTTTATTACGCATTCCTTTTTTTAATCACTTGCAAAAATAATTGTTTGCCTAAGTGTAACTCCTTTGGCATTTCTTGTATGGCTAATGTAAATGCCCAGCTTCTCATTGAGAATTCCAAGCTTTGAGGAAGTTAAGAAGCTGGAAGGGAAGAATGATGTAGGTGTTTAATGATCACAATTCAGTTTCTCTTGCTCAGTTGTTCTTGCCTGAAGGGCAGGGAGGCAACCATCCTGTACGTATTAGTCAGTACATAGGCTTAGCCTTTATGTAGTCCAGGTCACAAGATTAAGGTGTCTTATGCCACAGCTGGGCATGCAGTATATGCTTAGTGTCCATTGACCAAGATGAATGATTTTGATTCTGGGAGAGGAAAAGATTAGGACAAGAAAGGTATGGGGAGGGCCGTGGGAGTAGAGTTGTTGTGAAATGGAGATAGGTCTGAAGTCAGTGTTTTGAGGAATGGGTGAAGAGAGGACAGACCTATCAGGGTTCTGTACATCCAAAATTAGGGCAGAACTAGGTCAGGTGAGGCAATAAACACAGATTTCTCCTTTTATTGGTTGTTTGCGTTAGAAGGAAGTGATGTTCATGTGTAACTTCAAACTCTGTTCCCTGATGTCAACCTCTGCCCTACTCTTCATTAAGCAGAGCTGAAATTACAGATTTATTTTTCCTCCCTTACCTCTCCTTTCCTAAGGGGAAATACTCTATACAGTTCCCTTTCTGTTACCAAGCATGATTAGAAATGCAAGGTTTGACTGATGAAGTCATTTAACCTCTTGGATTCATAGTCTCCCATCTGTACTGTATTGCCTCTCAATTCATTTGTTCCTTCATTCATTCAACAACTCTTTATTTATTCATTTATTTATTTTATTTTTTATTTTTTTGAGACAAAGTCTTGCTCTTTTACCCGGGCTGGAGTGCTGTGGTGTGATCATGGCTCACTGTAGCTTTCACCACCTGGGCTCAAATAATTCTCCCACCTCAGTCTCCCAAGCAGCTGGGAACACAGATCTGCGCCACTATGCCTAGCTAATTTTTTTATTATTTGTAGAACCATGGACTTACTGTGTTGCCCAGTGTAGTCTCAAACGCGGCTCCAGTGATCCTCCCACCCCAGCCTCCCAAAGTGCTGGGATTACAGACATGAGCCCCTGCACTCCGCACAACAAAATATTTATTATATGCATAGTGGTGTTCCGGGTCTAAGATCTGACTCTCCTCAGCTTGTTCTTTCTCCTTCCCATGGATCTCTAATTTGAGATATTGTCTTATCACTTTAATGCTGTCAGAATAGAGGAGTATTTATTTTGTACAAGCATTGTTATCTGTATGCTGGGAGGAGATACATACACACACACATATATATACATGTCTGCATCTATAAAAGTTACTAGTTTTGTAAAAATCATACTTGCTCATTCTACAAATTTTGCAATACAGAAAAGTACAAAAATAAAGAATAAATCATCTGACATGCCTTGGAAATTAGTAGTAGTTAGCATTTTGGCTAACATGATTCCAAATTTTTTTTATACAAACATATATACAGATAAAAGCATAATAATAATGGAATAACTGTGTTTACTAGCGTTTATGTATGGTTCTAGGATGAGCAACTTTATATGCATTATATCATTTGATTCTCACAAAAAACCCTCCAAGATACATAATGTTGCCCCATTTTGCTCAGGAGGAAATTGGTGTTTAGAATAATGAAGTAAATTGTCCAAGGTCCAGTAATGGTCTCTGAATCTCAAGACCATGCTATTACACTATGTGGTGTATAATATTATGATGGTGCATAAGTGAGAATATACTGTCTATACTTTTATATTTGCTTTTTTATTTGATTTGTGGAAATGTTTATTATACTTTATAATTTATAAATTATAGTAATTTATAAATTTATAATAATTTTCTATAATGTTTTTATTCAACAGTAGTAATGTTCATGCAGTTAGTGAAGGGCTATATTTCTAGTGACTGGTACTCTGTTGTGTCTACCATACATTATTTGACCAGTCCCTTGCCAATGGATATTTAGTTTTTTGCTATTTGAAGTCACATAGGAATAAATATATTTGTGCCCTTTTGGTTTTAACTTATTCTGTAGTGATTAAGAGTACAGATTCTGGAGTCAGGCAGCCTGAATTTGAGTGTGATCAGCTCTGCCACTTTTGAACTATGTGATCATGAGCAAATTACTTTACCTCTCTGTCCCTCAGGTTCCTCATTTATCAAATGGGAAAAATAACAAGATCTCTTTGCCATTCCCTCAGGATTAAATCCGCTGACACATATAAAGAATGTAGAGCAGTGCCTGGGACATAATAAGTACTCAATAAACAGCACTTTAACTTTTAGCTAAATGTGGTGGCTCCTGTCTATAATCACAGCTATTCAGAAGGCTGAGGCAGGAGGATCACCTGAGGCCAGGAATTAGAGACCAGCCTGAGCAACACAAGACCCTGTCTCTAACACTTTTTAAAAAATTAAAATAAAACATGTCAGCCTTTATTTATGGGTGGTGGTAGGAATTCTTCCTTTGAGGCGCCATGGATTGCTTCTGCAGAGAGATGTCTGTGGACCCCTGGAGCTTACTATGAAGAGGGCATACTGTGGTGGGGGGTCACTCTCTTCCCCTGTGAGGCCATCAGCACAAAAGTTTGTGTTTTCTGGGATCAACAGATGCCCTCAGGGCAAAAGGGGCTCTGTGCTCATTTGTCTTTTGGGGAACCCCTGTTTTTCTCTTTAGTTTTTGCCTAGTAATTCTTTACTGTCTTCACAGCCATTTGAAGCCTTTAGAAGTGCTTTTTGTTTGCTTGCTTAACTGTGTTACCTGGCATTTTTGGTTATTTCACCAGAAACATTGATCTACAGCTAGTCCACCAGTATTGGAATGGAATAGGAAGTGTGAACCCCGAATATCTGAGATAGGTCTCAGTTAATTTAGAAAGTTTGTTTTGCCAAGGTTGAGGACACGTGTCCATCACACACCCTCAGGAGGTCCTGACAACGTGTGCCCAAGGTGGTCAGGGCACAACTTGGTTTTATACATTTTAGGGAGACATGAGACATCAGTCAATAAATGTAAGATGTACATTGATTTTGTCCAGAAAGGCAGGACAACTCAAGCAAGGATGGAGCTTCCAGGTCATAGGTAGATAAGAGACAAACTGTTGCATTCTTTTTTTTTTTTTTTTTTTTTTTTTGAGACGGAGTCTCGCTCTGTCACCCAGGCTGGAGTGCAGTGGCGCGATCTCTGCTCACTGCAACTTCCGCCTCCTGGGTTCAAACGATTCTCCTGCCTCAGCCTCCCGAGCAGCTGGGACTACAAGCGCGTGCCATCATGCCCGGCTCATTTCTTGTATTTTTAGTAAAGACGGGGTTTCACCGTTTTAGCCAGAATGGTCCCGATCTCCTGACCTCGTGATCCGCCCACCTCGGCCTCCCAAAGTGCTGGGATTACAAGCATGAGCTGTTGCATTCTTTTGCATTTCTGATGAGCCTTTCCAAAGGAGGCGATCAGGTATGCATTTATCTCAGTGAGCTGAGGGATGACTTTGAATAGAATGGTAGGCAGGTTTACCCTAAGCAGTTCCCAGTTTGACTTTTCCCTTTTGCTTAGTGAATTTGGGGCCCCAAGATTTATTTTTCTTTCACATTTACCCCCTTTTCTTTTTAAAAATCTCTTGGAGAAAGCATTTTTGGAGAAAGCATTTTAGAAGAAAATGAGTCTCTGGTCTCAGGTTTTGTCTGATCTCTCATGGCTAGGATGGTTTATTCCTAGACAGGTAGGTCCTGAGTTATTAGGAATTATATTAATAGAATAATATTAGGAATATTATTTTAGCAGGTTGAGAAGTCTCATGTCCTATGAAGAGAAAATAGGGGGAGGAAGGGAGAAAAACAACAACAAACAAAACAACAATCCTGGAAAATTGATAGAGGCCACGTTACTCTGAAGTCCATGTATCAGTAGGCAGGTATGAAAGTGGCTTATGTATGTAAATAGGTTGCTGTTATTTTCTTCTGAAGTTTAGTTGTCTGGATTAAGTTTGCAAGGCTTTAAGAAGCACAGCTTAGTTTTCAGTGATTTCAAATTAGGAAAAAACGGAAGGAAAAGGAAAAGAAAGAAAAAATTGAAAACATTATTTTGGAAACTTATAGCCAGGAAAAATTAGAATTCAGCCCAAACTATAGAAAATAATAAAAACTGGAAAACATTAGGACTAGAATCTAGCAACAGGTGTGTTATAGTTTTTGAAATAGAATTCGTCTCTCTCTCCAGTTTCCCGTTTTTACTAAAGACAAATCATGGTAGGACTGATTTGCTTTATTATACTTGGACAGATTATTTGTATAAAGTGCAGCGAGAGTAATTATTTCTCACATAGGCTTTTAAAATTGGCTTTGGTGGAACTTTGTTCCATTGAAGGAGTCTCAGATAAGGCTTTTTAAAAGACAAGCCCAGCCGTGGATTTGTACCATCAAATAACTATGAGTCAGGTGAATTTTTCTTCCTCTTGAAGTCCCATGATAACCTGGGGCTCCTGGGCCTGTCAGAAAGTGACATTCTTTACTTACCACAGGTCAGGAACCCTGTACAGGGACTGTGTAGACAAGGTATGAGGCTAGTTTTCCCAAGGGGATTTTATTGGCTCTGTAAGTTAAGTTTGATTCCTTAAAGGAAAGCATACCATTCTAGTCAAAGCCTTGGTAAAATAACCAGTTTCGCCTGTTACAAATGAAAACAAACTTTTATTGTACTTATGCAAATAACTATATTGCCATACATTAAGAATACTCACAGATAGTTTCCAAATTCTGGAGGAATCAAGTAGAGAGAAACAAATATCCTCCAAATTTTGTTCATAGGAGTATACCTAGTTTCTGTCAATAGCTCAAAAGAAAAGTTTCCTTGACTCTAAAAAACAAAGGATCAGCAACGTTTTAAGCAAAAAGTCAAAAAGATAACTTCAGTCCACTATTAGTTCAGTCCATGCAGTTAATTCCTGTTCTGCTTGATATCCATGAACATTTCGCTCTCCATGAGTCCTGAAAGTTTTTCGTCATCCTGATGTCACAATCTCCAAAGTTATCAGAAACCTGCATTCAAGAGCACCTGTTAGAGTTTTATAGCTGATTTTAAAACCACCTTCTAAAGAGGACCAAAAGGAGACAACAATTGTCTGTAGATGACAAAAAGTTTTTATGGCAGCCATATTCAGAGACACAACTGACAAGGAAATTTATTGTCTCTGTGGCACACAATAATTTAACATAACAATTATAATTATTACTGCTAATAGGCACTAAGTCATACCAGAATTATAGGAGTTTCCTATAATTTTGCAACACATACCAATAACATTTATACAAATACAGCCCAAAGAAAGCCAAACAGCATTTTATATTTGACAATGCTTCCTGTATAATTTTTAAACCAAATAAGCCAAATATGCCATTTTTGGACTTTAGGGAACCTAATATCTTAAAAGATTAATTAGGTCAGAAAAAGACATAATTTATAACTTGATTTTGGAAAGTTTGTCCAATATCAAGGGTTTAAAACACATGATATCACAAAATAGGATCACAAGTCATTATGAAATAAGTCATTCATTTAACTAAAGTGATAACTCAAAGATTTCCATAAAAAGGTGAAAACCTTCATTCTTTGAGAAAGGAGACTTAATTTTCCAAACAATAAGCCCAATAAAAGCAGCATGAAGCCAATTAAATTTCTTTTCCAAAATTTTATAATCTATAATATTTTAATCTTGACCATAATATATAACTTCCATAAGCCTTTTATAACCTTTATAGCCTTTATTAAGGAGTTGGCTAATGCTTCAAGAAAAGCTTGTTAATCCGACATAGGAGCCCGTATGCTGGTCTTGCATCAGTGTACCTATGACGTTAATGGTTAACTTATAGAGAAACTGAACTTATTTTATCTCTCAAAATCGACCCTTACAATCTCACGCACCCCCCTCTTCCACTATAGTCCCTGGGCCTTGAGGAGTTGAATAGCTTTAATTTCTGGCCCTGCATCTCAGGAATGGAGTTTATTTCGATTGGCATCTCCTTCCAGGCCTGAAGATGAGGCTTTAATTGCTATCACTGTTTAACATTTAACAGGACCTGGTGTCCTTTTTAGACCCAGGAGTCAAAGCCCTGTAACTCAGTGTCACAAGGACTTTAAAAGCACATACAGAAAGATACATGGATGTAATAACCTTAATTTTATTATTTTTTATTTTTATTTTTATTTTTTGAGACAGAGGTTTGCTCTTGTTGCCCTGGCTAGAGTGCAATGATGTCATCTCGGCTCACTGCAACCTCTGCTTCCTGGGTTCAAGCAATTATCCTGCCTCAGCCTCCCAAGTAGCTGGGATTACAGGCATGTGCCACCATTCCCGGCTAATTTTTGTATTTTTAGTAGAGACGGGGTTTCACCATGTTGGCCATGCTGGTCTCAAACTCCTGACCTTGGGTGATCACTGCCCTCCTTGGTCTCTCAAAGCACTGGGAATACAGGCGTGAGCCCCCACACCTGGCCGATAACCTTAATTAAAAAAAAATTTTTTTTAATCTCAGTTTTTTCCTAAGCAAACCAAATTTAATAATAATGGCATAGGAATTATTTTGATAAAATGTAAAATCTGTTAGACCAATTACCAAAAGGCAAAAGAAGAGACCTTCTGCAGTGCACAGATTATATTGGAAGAAAACATTCCTTTTAGACCTTTAAAAAAATGTTAGAGGACAGATGCGGTGGCTCACACCTATAATCCCAGCACTTTGGGAGGCCGAGGCAGTGGATCACCTGACATCAGGAGTTCAAGACCAGCCAGGCCAACATGGCGAAAGCCCGTCCTTACTAAGAATACAAAAATTAGCTGCATGTGGTGACGTGCGCCTGTAATCCCAGCTACTTGGGAGGCTGAGGCACAAGAATCACTTGAACCCGGGAGGCAGAGGTTACAGTGAGCTGAGATGGTGCCACTGCACTCCAGCCTGGGCGACAGAGTGAGACTGTGTCTCAAAATCAACCAACCAACCAACCAACAAACAAATGTTAGCATCAGGCCACAACAAACAGAACTCAAGGGAAAAAAACCTTTTATGAACTGAAAATGAGTCGAAGGAGGGCAGTACTATTTCACACCTTTAAAAAGGGGAGAGAAAACCGAAAATGGCAAGATGCAAGAAAGGTTGAACTTTGGGTTAAAAAAAATTACAATCTCTTATCATTTATTAAGAGTAAATCAATCCCTTAAGAAAATGTTACTGTTCTAGTCAGTTCTTTAGTGTGTAAGTGGTTTTTTTTTTAACATCAAACTCAGTCTCTAGAAAGACCATTTTAATTTCTCTTTAATTTGATCATATAAAAGTTTTGTCTTTTTAATAAATCCTCTTATTGTGACTTACATACACCATTCATGACATGCTTGGACTTCCCGAATGTCCCTCTTTCTTAAATAACCAGTCATTTTATTCTAGGACTGCACTTACCATTCAAGATTGTTTCTCATATAAAATTATTTCTCTTTAAGCTTTCTTACCAAAAAATACCTCTTTATTGCTGTAACTTTCTATATATTTCTCTTATTTCCTGGTTCCTTTTACCTTGTTTTATACATAACCTTTAAATAAGCTTTGAATTAGACAAAAATTGTTCACCTTTTTAAAAAGGACACATGTATTTTTTTAGAATGTTTTCCTACAATATATTTTTATTGGAATATACCTAAATAATGAAATATCTGTTATTTAATTTAACTTTAGATTCTAAATTATGACAAGTTTGTCTACAAGTATTTATTTCATTACATTTACCTAATTATTTTATTCTAATCATTTACCTAGATTACTTATGAAAACTACAACAGTCATCATTTAAAGTTGTGAAGCTTGCCATTGCAAAATTATAACAGAGACAGTGAAAAAGATATGATCTGACCGCCTCCATCTTGCTTCTAACCTCCAAGCTGTCCTTGTTCATTGCTGAGCATAGGCCAAACTAACTTTGGGAGGAACTTAGTTTATAGTTTTGAAATAAAGACAACAGCAGTCCTTTCTCTAAACAAACCTCCTTACTGCCTGTGGACTAGACTGCCTAAAGCCACAAGATTAGAAGTTATGGTAATTTTACTAAATAATTCAAGATGTAGCTGTTTTCATTAAATTAATATCAATATCTTATTTATTAAAAATTATACAAGCAAAGATCATTCTGTTTTAAGCTGGGTTTATAGTTTTGTAACCCCTATGCCAAATTTTGACACCTAATATTACTTGGCAGGGATAAGTATGTCCTGGTCCCTCATGCATCAGAGGGTGCAAGAGAAAGGAGAGACAGCAGAAGTAAATGAAGAAAACAGAATTCAATCAACTGAGAAGAAAACTCTCGCTCAAAAAAAAAGACAGTGTCCTAGGAGAAAAACAAAAAGTATGAAGGCCTTTTAAATACACACACACACACACACACACACACACACACACACACACCCCTTGGATGTTACCTTTTAATTAAACTGACTTTTAACCATTGAGCTTCTTTTAAAAAACTTTTTAAATCTCATTACCATATTTCAGCTGGCACAAATTGCTACTATTGCAGAAGTACCAAGCATCAAACCAGAAAGGGCTTGATTTAGGAACCAAACCCAGGCTGTCCCGGTGGAAAAAAAAGAAGGCAGAACCCTTAGCTATGGAACTGCAGCATGGGGCGACAGCCATCACTCTTTTGGTTTGGCATGGCTAGCAAAAAGGTGGCCGTGTGACGTAAATAAAGCCCTTTAAGTCAAAAAATCTTTCCTTTTTTTTTTCCCCTTTTGCTGGCCATTTCCCCCCCCCCCCCCACACCGACAACACTTTTGTGTGTGTTGGGGGTGAGGGGGATTTAGCCACTTCAGAGGCCTCGTTCCCCATAATTTGGAACTTTCCTGTGGATTTGATCAGGTCGGATAGAGTTGATGAAACCCAATGGGAAAAAGACCAAAACAACAACAAAAACAGAAACAAAGACAAAACAGTCAAGCAAAACAAACGATGGCACAACTTATACAATTACTGAATGCTTTAATGGTAAGGAGCAAATAAAACCAGCTGGTTGTTAATCTTTTTTTTTTTTTTTTTTTGAGACAGAGTTTCGTTCTGTCGCCCAGGCTGAAGTGCAGTGGTGCGATCTTGGCTCACTGCAACCTCCGCCTCCCGTGTTCAAGCAATTCTCCTGCGTCAGCTTCCCAAGTAGCGGGGATTACAGGTGCCTGCCACCACACCTGGCTGGGTTTTTTGTATTTTTAGTAGAGATGGGGTTTCACCATGTTGGCTAGGCTGGTTTTGAACTCCTGACCTCAAGTGATCCACCCGCCTTGGCCTCTCAAACTGCTGGGATTACAGGTGTGAGCCACTGCGCCCGGCATGTTAATCTTAACTTTAGCCAAGACGAACCCCAATTCAGTTACTGACCTAGGCCTATGGATGGGTCTCAGTCTGAAGACTGCTCTGTGCCATCCAAGAAGCAGGAAAAATCTCAAATTCGTCTTCCCTGTTGGAAGCGAGCTCAAACTCCATAAAGGAGTTCATGCCTTCCATCGTGGAAGCAGGAAAAACTTGCCTTCTTTGTGTTGGAAGCAAGTAAAACATCAAAAAAAAAAAAAAAGGAGTTGTACAGCAAAATAAACTTTAAATCTCATCCAGATTTTGGGAAATCAGAGATTCTCTGGAGGGGTGCTTCCAGGCCTCAGCAAATTGTCCTGTTGGTTTGAGCCATAAAGATAGCTCAAGCTGGTACAAGCACCAGTAGGAGATTTGTCAAAGGTTAGGGGCACCTTCACTCAGAATCCTTTCGTGGTTACCAGAATGTGAACCCCGAATATCTGAGACTGGTGTCAGTTAATTTAGAAAGTTTATTTTGCCAAGGTTGAAGACGTGCGCCTGTCACACAGCCTCAACAGGTCCTGACGATATGTGCTCATGGTGGTCGGGGCACAGTTTGGTTTTGTACATTTTAGGGAGACATGAGACATCAATCAGTATATGTAAGATATATATTGGTTCCCTCTAGAAAGGCAGGACAACTCAAGCAGGGAGAGGGCTTCCAGGTCACAGGTAGGTGAGAGACAAATGGTTGCATTCTTTTGAATTTCTGCTTAGGTTTTCCAGAGGAGGCAAATCAGATTTTTCTCAGTGAGCAGAGGAATGACTTTGAATAGAATGAGAGGCAGGTTTGGCCTAAGCAGTTCCCAGTTTGACTTCCCCTTTAGCTTAGTGATTTGGGGGCCCCAAGATTTATTTTCCTTTCACAGGAGGAACTCTGACTTTTGAAAAAAAGATCTGTGCTGCTCTCTTATCTACTCACATCATGGCACTCATGAAAAATGCCAACATTTGCGTGATACCCTTGGGAACTAGATATAGCTGCTTGCTGTGAGAGTGACTGGCCAAGGGGCCTGAGGCTCTGATCTCAGAAGTAGCCAAAGACTCAAAGTGTGTCGGCTTGCCTTACCTATTGGAGGCACTCCAGCGGGGAGGTACAGCTTCACAGGATGCATTTATGAAAGAGAACTGAACTTCCAGCTAAAGCAGATAGATACTTTCAGAGAGAGAGGAGAGAGAGAGAGAGAGAGGGAGAGACAGACAGAGACAGAGAGAGAAAGAGAAAGAAAGAAAAGCACGGACAGCTTTCCTGGTTCTGCCCTCCCACTATTAGGTGTAGGGCAGAGTTCCTCAACCTCAGCACTATTGACAGATAATACTTTGTTGTGGAGGACTACCTGTACATAGTAGGATGTTTAGCAACATCTCTGGCTTCTACCCATTGGATGCTAGAAGCAACACCCAACCTCATTTCCCAGTCGCCACTGCTAAAAGTATCTCCAGACGTTGCCAAATGTTCCTGGGGCCCAGAATCATCCCCAGTTGAGAACTGCTGGTGTAGGGCAGTCAGTGGTTCTCAAACTTGAGCATGCGTTAGAATCCCCAGGAGGGCTTGTTAAAACAGTGCTGGTTCTCTCCTCCAGCCTCTGATGCACTAATTCTGGGGCGGGATCTGAGATTTTTCATCCTTAACAAGCTCCCAGGTGATGCTAATATGGCTGGTGGATGACCCCGCTTTTGAGAGCCACTAATGTGGAGAAGAAACACTTGAGTTAGAAATCAGGACACTTCAGTTCTAATTCCATCTCTGACTGTGATTGTGTGACCCTAGGCAAGGTGCTGCGTTTTTCTGTTTCTTTGCTCAAAGTGAGGAGATCAGACTGACTCTTTTCTTAGGTCACTTACCATATTAATGAAATCTCTGAAACCCTCATGTTCTTGCGTGTAACACAGTGGTTCTCAAGGTTTGGTTCATTCAGTGCCTGTTCTAGTGTCTGAAGGCAACTACTCCTTTACCCTTCTTTTTCTTCTGTATTCAGTATTTGCTTTAGGGTCCAAGAAAGAGTTGAATGGCTTGAGAAGGAGGCTTAGAAAATAATCAAATGCCCATTTTTTTCATGGTAGTATGAATATATCTTTTAAAAAATAACTGCATTTTCAAATGTAGTCAGTCACCTAACAAATCCCAGTGTGGCATTAGCAATCCGTGGGAAGGTCTTAATCAATTTGTCCTTGTACCTATTAATTTAAATACCATGGTTGTATGTTGGGTGTTGGGGCTTTTTGTAAGAAGGAATATAAGCAACACTGCAAGACTCATGAGATGAAATGCAAATAGAACTTTTTGAAACTAAGAAGCAGTGCTATTTTAGATGAGGGAAAAAACACTGCTTTTTACATCTTAGTAGGAAATCAGAAATAGAGAAGTCCTGATTATCAGAAATGGAATGTGAGAAAGAAAAATTAGCTTTTTGAGGAAACAAAACACGTTTACCTCACGTAAGACTTCTTAGATTACAACTCTCTTAGGCATATGTTTGTGCAACTTCTTTATGATTATATCTGCCTTCCCTCTACCTCCTTCTCCAGTGAGAACATGTATTAAATGAAGGTTTTCATTTTTAGTACTTGTAGATTAGGAAGGGGTTGCATGGTCAAGCATTGGTACCTAGACTCCATACCTTAGGCTCTGAAAACATGGGAACTACTGCTCTCTTTGAGAACACACCCGTGTGGCCTCATTTCAGATGTGCATATTTATTCCCCTCCTTGATCTCCCTACCTTCAAAATAAAATGTCTTCCATCTTGCCTTGCCAGTTGGATGCTTGAAATTCCCACAGTGTTCATTCATGTAGTCTTCATTTCTGAAGCCCTCACTGGACTAGTCTCCAGAAATTGCCTTCCTTTCTTGGTTTCTTGAAAGACATTTTAACATGCTGAAACCTTTGGAATCCATTCATTCTTTCTGTTTTTTTAGTCCATTCAATTTATTTATTTGTTTATTCAATCATTCCAGTTCCCTAACCTCTGTGGAAAATACAAATGTGAAGAAGACATTCTCAGATTAATTAGATTTCTTTTTTGACTTCGTATTGTTGTTGATGAAGAGTCAAACTGTAAAATATTTTAGGAGATTTATTCTGTGCCAAATATGGGTGACCATGGCCTATGACACAGTCATGAGAACATGTGCCTAAGGTGGTCACGGTACAGCTTAGTTTTATATATTTTAGGAAGGCATGAGACATCAATCAAATACATTTAAGAAATACATTGGTTTGATTCAGAAGGCAGGACAACTCAAAGCAGGGGCTTCCAGGCTGTAGGTAAATTTAAACATTTTCTGGTTGGAAATTGGTTAAGTTTATCTGAAGACCTGGGATTAACGGAAAGGAATGTTCAGGTTAAGATAAAGGATTGTGGAGACCAAGTTTTATTGTGCAGAGGAAACTCTCAGACTTTAGAGAGAGCACGTTGTAAAATGTTTCTTATCAGACTTAAAAGGGTGCCTGGCTCTTAGTTGATTGTCTCCTGGATCTGGAAAGGAAGGAAGAAAAACAAAGGGAAAAGAGGGGGTTCTCTATAGAATGCAGATTTTTCCCACAAGAGACTTTGCAGGGCAATTTCAAGGTATGGCAAGGAAATATATTTTGAGGTAAAACATTTTGATTTTCTTCCTTGTTATGCCAGAGTCACTCAGATTGGAAAGTAAGTCACGATATACAGGGTTAAAATAAAACCCATCTGATGAGAATTTATGGTTTGTAGGGCGTGACTCCTAGACCCCTTAGGTAGGAATTTGGGCAAGATAAAAAATCAGAACTTGGTCGTCATTATTGTGCTAGTTAGTGTGGGTTGGTTTTGTTTGTTTGTTTTTTGAGACAGAGTTTTGCTCTTGTTGCCCAGGCAACAAGATCGTGCAGTGGCACCATCTCACTTCACTGCAGCCTCCACAATTCTCCTACCTCAGCCTCCCAAGTAGCTGGGATTACAGGCATGTGCCACCTCGCCCAGCTAATTCTTTGTATTTTTAGTAGAGACAGGGTTTCGCCATGTTGGCCAGGCTGGTCTCAAACTCCTGACCTCAGGTGATCCACCCGCCTTGGCCTCCTAAAATGCTGGGATTACAGGCGTTGAGCCACTGTGCCCAGCAGGTTTTTTGTTTGTTTGTTCGTACCTCTGTAGTGATTTTGGTTTTGACTTCCAAGCATTGTTATATTGGAAAGAAAAGGGTGACAGGGATGGGTTTGTGAAGATGAGGAAATTACGGTTAATTATGGCAACTGCCTCAGAATAGCCAGACCTCTAGGGAATTTACAAAGCCTGTGAATCAAATGTTCCGTTTTTCATCTTTAGGAGATCCAAAAGTGAGGTCGTTGGAGAGAATGCAGAGAGGCACTGAGGACTGGAAGTTTTGGAACATAGTGCCCTCCTCAACTTTGGATTTCAAGATGATTTGTCCTAAGAAAACTAAGCAATTATTTATGATTGACTTTATTCACTTGAAGATTTTTATAAAGAACATGTGAATGAGGAAGATACAAAAATGGGCCAGATAGGAGAGAATTTTTTATTAACTAGTTCATTGGAATAGATGATAAGCTATGTTTAGATATTTTGAAGATTTTTAGAAATGTTATCTAAAACTTGGAGAAAAGGCAAAAAGATTATTGTGTGCCCTTTCAGTGTCACTCAAAAGCATTTGTTTGGAAAGTCCACTGAAGGGACATAGAACATTCCTGGAGAAGGTAATTATTTGACTTACTTTTGAATAGAGTTTAGACTCTGTAAAGTTAGATATTAATTTATAGAAAATTGATGTTACAAATGATTTTTGTCCAGTAGAAATTAAATGATTCCTGTTTTAATAGAAAAGATAACCTCAAAGATTATGGTTTCATTGCTCTGAAATGAAACATTAACCAGTTTTATATCTAACTTTGCAAGATTAATCAGCCTTTGACACATATATACTAAATATTTTTATGAGAGCTGTGTTTTTAGCTTTTTGAAAATTAGACTTCGACATAATGAGTACATATTGAGCATATAAGAATATTGAGCATATAAGCATCTTGGATGGCTTAGACTATTGCCCAAGAGTAAAGTTTTGACTAAATTGACTATGATACTCTGTCAGCCCTGCATTCCTGTACTTGTGGGTGTTTATCTATATTCTCTTGGTCACGTGGATAGTAAGTTGCTCTTAAGGATAATCTAATTATATGGCCTGGATGAAGACTTAAAATTCCTGCCTTATCAAGATCTCAAATGACACAAAGTGCAAAGGGATAATTTCTTTTGTTGTTGTTAATAGTACTACTGTTGACTTGTATAGCACTTAAAATTTACGAAAGATTGGCACACCTGTTATTATATTTGATCCTCAGGATTTCTGTGTGAGGAAGCAGGATAGGAATTATTATTTACAACTTACAGGTGAGTAAACTGAGATGCTGACAGATAAAGTGTTTTGCCAAAGGACACTCAGCTGTTAAGGAATGGAGCTGGGACCACAGCCCAGCTATTCACTCTCCAGGTACATTCAGCAACTTCATAATGGAGCCAGGGTTCAAAAGGGACATTGATAAGAACAGTGAATTGAAGTGGAAAAAAATCTAGTAACACTAAAGGAATAAATAGAAAATCCTATACCCCAGCTTCATATACTTGGTATTGATTTACCATTGCTAACTATCATTTCAGCTTTTTTAGGTTATGGGGTCTGTTTCTAACTGTTGGAAAGGCCTGAAGTGCGTCTGAATCTTCTTTGACCTCTTCTCCCGCCTCGGGTGTAACAGTGCTGGTCACATGGCAGGTGCTCAGTATATATTTCTTTATTGAATGTATGTATTTGCTTTACATGATTTTATCTTCTTGATTATTCCTTTCTTCCTGGAAATACCTTCTTAATTAGCAAATTTCAGTAAATCAGGGTGACACTGGAGCAGCTGCACTTGCTTATTCAAAAGGGTAATCTGCCCTATTATTTGATGTTTGTACTGGAAAGAGGACTGCTGACTTAATCTAATTTCATCTTTTTATTAAATCTCTCTAAGTCCACAAACCATTGATTAATTAACTCAACAGATGAACAATTCTGTGTGCCAGGCCTGGGGAAAGAATGGTAAGGATGAGGCAAGGGCCCCCCTTTCATGGAGTTGACACTTCCTTTGGCTTATGGTCCTGGTGGTGGTTTTACTTTTTCTCTTGAGATGTTTTTGATCTTGGCTCTGTTTCATTAGTAATCTGAGAGCCACATGAAACAATTGAGTTGTGAGAAAAACCGTCTCTAAGACTTACAATGTATGACTAAGAATTGCTGTGCCTTGTGAAAGATTAGGACTAAAACCAAGGTCAGTGCTAGTGGACTCCCCACAATTTCAAAATGGGATAATTTGAGGATAGTGGCCCAGAATTGTAATGGCTTCCTTTTGAAGCTGTATTTGCATACCAAGCATGCTGTTATTACTTAGATTGTGTGTGTATTTCTTGTCTGATGGAGGTTGTGGGGAGTTAAACCCCTCAGGCCTCACCTTCTAGCCATTCTAGTTCCATCCCCAGGGACTGTCTTTGAGGTTGTGGGGAGTTAAACCCCTCAGGCCTCACCTTCTAGCCATTCTAGTTCCATCCCCAGGGACTCTCTTTGACTAGGGTCCCAAGACACGTAATGAACTGAGTTGTTCAGCATAAGACAATGTGTGAACATTTTAAAAATGGTTATTGATTGTGATAGGAATTCAGGAGTTTTAGAGATCAGTTGAGACTGGTTTTGGTCAGGAGGGCAACTCGATGGGTTTTTGAGGCATATTTGATAATATTAGCTACCATTGATTGTGGTTAATGTGTGTAATGCACATCACAGCATCCCCACAAAATACATGCTGTCTTCCCCATTTTAGGATGAGGAAACTGAGACTTAGGCTGGTGAGAATTTGCCCAAGGCTTCTCAGGGAGATAGGAGTAGAACTGGATTCAGAATCAAGTGGCTTTCCATAGCCACTTGTGGAGAGAAGGTGGAAGCACTATGGATCCGGGACCGAGGGTCCCCTGGCCATTGGAAAGATCTTTGATTGGGCCATGAGAAAAGAATAGTATTTTTAGTCATGTTCATAGCTGATTTCCATTTGTGGCTCCTTGTGTTTCATCTCCACACAGCACAGGTGGAGGTGATATGGTTAGGGTGCGGAGTCAGTGCAGGGCCATGCCGAGGGGCCAGGTTGGCAAGTTTGAGAGCTGGGTTGAAGCATACAATGGTCAGATTGTGCGGGAGCCAAATGCCAAGTTTGGGGGCTGAGACTATTATGCAGACAGTAAAAAAGAATGGTAGGTTTATTTTTTATATTTTTATGGTTACATAGTAGATATTTCTATTTATAGGGTACATGAGATATTTTGATATAGGCAGATATGTGTAATAACTAATTACAAATGGGACAAATGGGGTATCCATCACCTCAAACATTTATTATTTCTTTGTGTTGCTGACATTCCAGTTATACTCTTTTAGTTATTTTTAAATGTACAATAAATTAGTGTTGACTGTAATCACCCTATTGTGCTATCAGATACTAGCATTTGATTCTTATTCATTCTAACTCTATTTTAATAGATAAAATATGATCAGTCCCCTGCCCATTGGTTACCCATGAACATCCCCAACCCTTCCCAGCCTCTGGTAACCATCATTCTACTCTCTATTCTACTCACAAGTTCGATTGTTTCAATTTTTAGCCCCTATTCTAATTTTTAACTTAAATTTAATTTTTAGCTCTCATTCTTCTCACAAGTTCAATTGTTTTAATTTTTAGCTCCCAGAAATGAGTGAGAACATGTGAAGTTTGTCTTTCTGTGCTTGGCTTATTTCACTTAACATAATGACCTCCAGTCCATCCATGTTGTTGCAGATGACAGGACTCATTGTTTTTTATGGTTGAATAGTACTCCACTGTGTATATGTACCACATTTTCTTTATCCAGTCATCTGTTGATGGGTACTTAGGTTGCTTCCAAATCTTGGCTATTGTCAACAGTGCTGCAGTAAACATGAGAGTGCAGATATCTCTTCAGTATACTGATTTCCTTTCTTTGGGGTATATATCTAGCAGTGGAATTGCTGGATCATATGAACACTTTAGTTTTAGTTTTTGAGTTGTGGGTTTTTTAACTGGCAATTGGTAGGGTTGAAAACTGTGCAGGAAGGGAGTAAGACAGGCAGGAGATCAGGTAGAGGCTAGAAGGGTCTTAATTAGGGTTGTAGAAGTGAAACCAGGGAGAAATGGGCCTCTGAAGACACTGTTGAATTCCTCTTATTACCGCTCAGCCCCCTGGCCATTGGAAAGATCCTTGATTGGGCCATGAGAAAAGAATAGTATTTTTAGTCATGATCATAGCTGACTTCCATTTGTGGCTCCTTCTGTTTCATCTCCACACAGCACAGAAGTGAATGTGCATATTAGTAAATGTTGAAATAGAGTTCTTTTTTTACTTGATTGGCACATTAGATTCTGTTCAGATGCTCAGTCCTTATTTTGCTTCACGTCCATCATGGCTGTGTGCCCCACAGCCTAAAAAAGTGGCAGAGGAAATGTTGATTGTAAGGTCTCAAGTCCACGGGACATCAGGGCCTTAAACTCTCTGTTTATTGGCCTCCAAGTGAACTGTAATGAGATTCAGTACTAACAAATCATAAATTCCTTTTCTTGGACAGTTGACCATTTCGTATGAAAAGACATGGGTTGCAAAACGAAGGTACCGGTTAAGCTGAGGACACTTGTTTAAAATATTCTCATTTAGCTTTCCCACATTGTCAGGAACCCAGGGCCATTTCCTGTTCATGTTTGTGTTTGTATCAGCGTCTCCATGTTTGTTTCTCCGGAGAAGTCCCGGGCAGCTCACATGTCCAGTAACTGCAGATGAGTGTTCTACCATGGTAGTACCGCTGGGGCTAGGGAGGGTATTCTTAGGAATGACACTAGAAAGAGGAAGTGAATCCAGATTAACTAGGGTGAGTGTGACAGTTTGTAGCTGGGAGAGCCCCACAGATCATTAGCGCCGGCAGGGACTGCCAGAGTCATTTAGGCCAGTGTGTTCAGGTTGAGCCTGTCCTGGTAGAGAGAGGGAAGGCCTTGCAGCAGGGACTCTAGGGCCCCTCCACCTTCTTCAGCTGGAACTATTCTACTTTGATCAGTTGTATGTATTAGGGTTCCATGGAAGTGTTATTTTTAAAAATAAGACAATTATTGGCTGGGCACAGTGGCTCATGCCTGTAATCCCAGCACTTTGGGAGGCCAAGGTGGGTAGATCATTTGATGCCAGGAGTTCGAGACCAGCCTGGCCAACATGGCAAAACCCTGTCTCTACTAAAAATAAAATAAAATAAAAATTAGCCAGGCCTGGTGGTGCATGCCTGTAATCCCAGCTACTGGGGAAGCCGAGGCACAAGAATCACATGAACCTGGGAGGCAGAGGTTGCAGTGAGCTGAGATTGCACCACTGCGCTCCAGCCTGCGTGACAGAGTAAGACTCTGTCTCAAAAAAAAAAAAAAAAAATTAATTATTTATTAATTTAAAAATTTAACATCTGGCTATTCTTTCATGGTACAAAGGGAAATTAAGTCCCAGAGTAGGAGTGTGCATTATCTGAGCCTGAGTTGTTGGCGAATGGCTTGGAGTGCCTTTAAAAAACAAAAACAAAAACAAAACACTGGGCGTTGTGGCTCACGCCTGTAATCCCAGCACTTTGGGAGGCCGAGGAGGGTGGACCACAAGGTCAAGAGATCAACACCATCCTGGCCAACATGGTGAAACCCCGTCTCTACTAAAAATACAAAAATTAGCTGGGTGTGGCGGCACGTGCCTGTAATACCAGTTACTCGGGAGGCTGAAGCACGAGAATCACTTGAACCCAGGAGGCAGAGGTTGCAGTGAGCTGAGATTGCGCCACTGCACTGCAGCTTGGCGATGGAGCAAGACTCCGGCTCAAAAAACAAACAAACGTCCGGCCTGGGCAAAAGAGCGAGACTCCGTCTCTAAAACAAACAAACAAACAAAAACAACAACAACAAAAAAACACATTATGTGGTCACAGAAGTGCCTTTTTGAGCCCTATTCCAGACAGGAGTGGAGTTGTCAGGAGTCACGGACCCTCACTTATGTTTCTGTTTCTGACACTTTGGTGTTATCAGTAATCAAGTGGTCGAGGATTTCTAGCCTTTGAAGCAGACTTGGTTCCCATTTGGACCCCAATGCCATGTCAGCTGAGGTGTCTACCTCTCACTTCCTGGAACAGTTGAGGCACTTTTTTTTAGCCCTGGCAGGTCTCTTGCTTGGCCATGAAATTTGGGGATTCACCTGGCCAGCTACATAAAATAGCCCAAAAGGGTCAGTGTCCTACCGCCTCTGCAGGGCCACAGGCTGCCTGACAGTCTATCAAATAAGTCCTCTTCTGGAGGCAGCCTGAGCTGGTTGGATCATTGGTGTAAGGACACCAGGAGAGCATGTTGGAGTTAGCTCAGCCGGAATCCATGTCATTACTCTGCTACTTATAGCTGTATGACCCTGGACAAGTTACTTAACCACTTTGGCCTCTGTCTTCTATTAGTAAGTTGGGAGAATCTCTTAATATTATGTGTAAAATGAGCTTGGTGCTGGGATTTGATTTTTCACCATTTCTACCAACTGTCCTCTACCAGGACCTTATGAATTGCCCTGAAAGGTGCTGGTTATACCTGCAAAAGGAGAGTCTTGAGTCACTGGTGGAGAGCAGGCACAGAGTCTAGAGGTCCCCACAAAATTAAATGAGCCACCCATTGAGCAGACAGGATACTTCCAAGGAGTGGTAGTCTCTTCATGAAGAAGAACCACCCAGTCATCAGAGCTGTCCGGTTAGAGATCATCTTGTGAGATAATAAAGCTGATGAAGATACTTATGTAACTTAATATATTTGATAAAGAACTTTCCAACTCCTACTTTATTGGTTTCTTACAACACTCCTATGAGAGAGGCGTGGGCAGTATCAATATTATTCTGGTTTTATATAGGGTAAATCCAAGGCCCAGGGAATTTAAGTAGCTTGTCAATGATCACAGAGTAAGGGGCAGATCTGGGACTTAAAACTGAGTTATTTAATGACTTGAATATTTTGTTTCCTGTTATTATGATTCTGCCAAGAAGCTGCCATCACCAGAAGGTCTCAGGCAGATGCTGGTCATGAATACTGCAGAAGGCATTTCAGATCAGCTTAGGTGATTGCTGTGTGGTTTGGGGGACCACAGGATTCCCCCAGACACCTCCCTCACTCGTCAGTCGGCCTCGTTTGGCCTTTGTCACTGCATTTCTTTGAGTCAAGACCTGGACTCTCTTGCTTCTCTTCGAGACGGAGATAACTGTATGAAGAGTGATACATTTGTCCCAGAGCACCTTCGTGCGAATGCATGTACT
Source organism: Homo sapiens (assembly GCF_000001405.40). Lineage (NCBI taxonomy): Eukaryota > Metazoa > Chordata > Mammalia > Primates > Hominidae > Homo > Homo sapiens. Next base: position 100,017,988 of record NC_000014.9, read on the forward strand.
GGATCACTCTTCTCCCTGATAAAAGCTGAGGCAAAAGAGGTTCATTCAGCAAACCTTATGTGAATAATTCCTTTTTGTCAAGTGCTATGTCAGGCATTGGGAATACAGAAATTAACTTCACACATTCCTGTCCTCAAGGAACTCTTAGATTTGCAGGAGAGGCAAACACAATGTTGGATGCCACGCAGGTGGCAGCCAAGAAGAGAGAGCAGTGCGCTGCCCTGTGGGAATCTCAGCCCCTCGGAGAGGGAGCAGTGAGGGAGCAGCACGTGGGCAGCGGCTCACATTAGGGAGCAGCAAAGAACCTCATCCAGCTGGTCCATGGGCCCGAGAAGGGAGGTCCTGACAGATTTTGGGAACTGTGAATGTCTAACTGAATTTGAAGGTGTGTGAAGAGTTTTAGTGGAAGAAAGAATTGGAGAAATAAGACTTTGCATGTCATGAAGAGGCGTGAAAGACTTTATTTCTTGAGCTGTGAGGAGTTAGTAATGCAGGGTTAAACAGAGGCATCAAAATCAGAATTGGTAACTGGTTTTCCTTCTTCCACCCCTTCTCTAAAACTCAGCCAGAGCAATTTTCCTAAGGCCAGAGGCTGAGTGAGGGGCGCTGAGGGCACACCCAGGCTGCGTGAGCGGGTGAGGGGAAAGGGGCAGCTTCAGGCCACCTTTTCCAGGTCGATTACAGTTAGTGACTGATGACACTGGGGTCAAGGGAGAGAAAAAACGTCAAGAGTGACTCATACGTTTTTATTTGAGATCTGCCTTGCTTATTTCACAAAGAGTTGCAACCCGAATGCTGAAGATTTTCCTTCATGGCGAGTCTCAGAATACAACCTCAGCTCATTTGCCAAATCTTGCCAGCCTGATAAACATTTTTCTTTTGGGGGCTGGCATCTCGTTTCCTCCTTCTTCTCTTCTGAAATGATTATAGCAATTTTTGTACTTCAAGGAATTGGTGAGAACCGGGTACCTACTATATACTCGATAAATGAATAATCAAATAAATGAGATCACTAATAAGGAGTGACATGTAAGGTCACGCTGGTCATGGTAAAGTGGTGGACATAAAATGCGACTTGTGATTCTGAAGCAGCTTATGCATTTGTGCTAAAATAGTGTTTGATAGTGGAATGGTAAAATACAGAATTCTGCAGAATTTTTCAGTACTTACGTTCACATATAATGTTGGTCATGCCTGAGCTTATAGCAGCAGCAGCCAGAGGAAGATGAGGTAATTAGGCAGATCACAGCGGAACAGGTTGCATTCTCATTCCTTTCAGCCTTCTCTCCTCTCTCCCCAACCTGCACAGTTCTGGTAGGGGGTGGGATGTGTTACATGCTTTACCCAGGATCCCAGGCGTGCCCTGGGTTCGACTTCTTTCTCTAGACTAATCCAGTTCCCAGCCTGGAGCCTAAGCATACACTGCATTAATCAGACTTGCTGGAATGATCACATGGTTTTCTAGCTGCCTCCCCTGTTAGCTGCCGCTTGTCAGCAGCTGGCGGAGCTGGAGGCTGCAGGCCCCTGTCTGCAGAAAGCCTTTTACTTCAGAATATTGGGGGGTGTGGAAACCCCGCCTCATTTTTCTGCACTTTGCACCATCTGACTAACTAAATGGTTGTCCTCCATACCAAAAAGACTACCACACAATCTAAGGAAATTGTCTCTGACTAGGTCATGTTTGCATTTGAAGAATTCAGGTATGTTCTGGGCTTTCTACATCAGTCTGCTGCTGGCTTTTTGTTCTCGCTAGGTTTTTGCTGTGTAATGACAGCTTAGGCTCTGGCTGGTTCTCACAAAAAAAACAGGGTTCTTTTCAGCTTGTGGTGGGGTTTATCCCAGTCATGGGGGTGGGAGGTGCAGAGGTGGTGCAGGTCAGGGGTGTTTACTGTGTGCAGAAGTGCAGCGTGGATAATTGGTCTGATCATGGGTGAATTTGTCCAGGACCCCACCTTGTGCCTTATTTGAGCTGCTGTTGCTGGTGTAGAGTTGTGAATACAGAATAGCAACTGTGTGTCCAGAATGAGTCTCTTGCTATCTTTTGTTTTTCTTCCTTTGTCAACTCATGCAGTCTACTGCTCTTTTTAAAAAATGCTGATTGTAGCAGTGAAGGTGAAAAATTCTACAAGTCTGTCTGCATAGTTGAGATTTGATTTTGGCTCTTCTTGTCTTCATTATTTTTAGTAGTAATCTCATCGCCGGTCTGTTTTCTGGAAAGTGCCCTGATAGTGTTTTGTTAACAGGGCTCTTTGCTTTCGTATGCTTTTCAGCTGCTGTAATTATTAGTGCTCCAAATTAGATCTTTTGTGAATCTTACTCCCTCTCTTCTCCAGGAATCTATCCCTGTATATAAATGTGGGAAGGGATGTTCCAATAGAAGGAGTTTCTAAGAAATGAAAATAAAGGAGGCGGAATGGGAGGGTCATCAGATTCTTCTTGTGCATATTTCCACCTCTCTGGAACATATGGAAGAGAGTGTGTGTGTGTGTGCACGCACACACACACACTTCCGACTTCTGAAAGCTTCTCATTTTTCAAATGCAATTTTTGTGCATTTTAGAACTGAGCATAAATTCCATATTGATGGGCAAAGAGTGATTGTGCGGGAACCTCAGTTCTACCTCTATGGGCCTTTTTTATTCCTCCAAATGTTGCTGCGGTAGACATTAAAACAATAAGAGAATAACCACCTTTCATTCTTCTAAGAGAAAACTACAGACCTGTTAGCCAGTCAAGGGAGTAGATAAGAGGATCATTAGATCTCCACAAAGAAAAGTCGGACCGTAAAGGTCGTCCCCTGCCCTTTTCAGTAAACTTGATACTTTGGATTCAGGAAGTTATCCTTTGTTTAGTCGTGTGTCTCTGCATTATTTCTAATGGCCTGGGTTTGCGACAAAGAAATTCTTTTTATGTGGCAGTGTGCTCTGGTGACATGGGCCCCTGCCCTTACAGAGTGACCAGAACTTTTATAATAGCCCCATTAGATGACTAACAAGAATTTATATAATGTCTGGCGTGTTACAGTAGATAGGCCCCTGGGTTCTAATGTCTGTTTCAGAAGTAGCTTTTGTGATCCTTGTGAGAGTTATGGAAGCGTTCTGTAATTTGTAGAAAGTAGCGCAATTGCGTAGTTCACGTTTTATTGTTAGCATTTACTCTAGATGAAGTACCCCTGTCTACCCTCTTGAACAGAGCTTGGAGCCTTTCATTACGTTTCATGGTTAGGGAAGAGGGTTATGTATGAACACATCCACTCGCATTGTGGTGGGCTTCTAATCTAAGGGTCAAGAGCTGGGTCTGATGAGGTGGGAGGGGGTTGAATTAAAGGCCATTGCACTGATTGAGAAAAGGGGGCTATCATTATGAAGGGTAGACCACAAAGGGGAGGGCTGTTACCTCTTGCTTCAAGCTTTTGCCTAAGCTGGCCCTGAAAAATTTTACTGGATGTGACTGCATTTTGTGACTGCTGCATGGTGTCAGACAAATGGCTTTCTTCTCTAGTCATGGAGTTTGTGTATGTGGGGGCCCCGTGATCATGGTGGGGCAACACAGGGACTCTAGAGGTACCTGGCTTTTTAGCTTAGTTCAGTGGGGTTCTCTAGCTTTAGCATGCAGCAGAATCCCTGGAAAGCTCATTAAAACTCAGATTGCTGGACCCCACTCCCAGAATTTCTCATTGAGTAGATCTGGGGCGAGGCCTAAGAATCTGTATTTCTAACAACTTCCCAGGTGAGTCTGATGCTGCAGATCTGGAGACCAGACTTAACAACCATTGGCTTAGGAAAAGCAGAAGATTACCTTCATGGAGATGGGAAGTTTGAGGCAAAGGCAGGGTGGAGGTACGGGTAAGAAAAATTGAGAGCAGACAGAAGCAGGTCAAGGACAGGTAGGTGAACCACCGGTCACTTGGGGAGGTTTTGCAGAGCAGTAAGATTATAAACCAAGTTCTCTGTTTCTTTGGGATGAGAATCAGAGAACTTGGTTTTATAATCTCGGTGCCGCTATGAACTAACTTGGTGGGCTTGGCAAGTCTCTTGATCTTTCTTAGTGTCAGCTGAAATGGGGAGAGTGATTCTCACCAAGAAACTCCATAACACTGTTAGAATTAAATGGGATAATATAAACTTTATGAATTACAGCAGTTCTTCCTACATGAATATAAAGGGGGAAGCACATCCTGGGGCCGGCTCCATCAGGTTATCCACACGTGCCTGTAGGCCTCGTTTGTGGACACGCTCCTCCACACATCCCCAGCCCTGAGAGCAGAAGGAAGGGCCACATTCTTGGTTTGTTTTTTTTTTTTTTTTGGAGACAGACTCACTCTCTGTCACCCGGGCTGGAGTGCAGTGGCACAATCTCAGCTCACTGCAACCTCTGCATCCTGGATTCAAGCAATCCTTCTGCCTCAGCCTCCCAAGTAGCTGTGATTACAGGCATGCACCACCACGCCCAGATAATTTTTTTGTATTTTTAGTAGAGACAGGGTTTCACCATGTTGGCCAGGCTGTTCTTGAACTCCTGACCTCATGTGATCTACCCACCTTGGCCCCCAGAAGTGCTGGGTTTACAGGCGTGAGCCACCACACCTGGCTGGCCACATTCGTTTTTAAAAGGAAGTCTGATTTTGACTCAGATGCATTTACTTATTGGACTATGAATTCCATGAGAGCAGAATTCATAAAAACAACAGAATCCTGCCTGTTTTTGTTTCCTTGGCACCTACAACTGCTTGACACACAGTAAGACCTTAATGAGCAGTTGGTACAGTGCATTTTAACCAGAACTTAAGGAAAAGCAAGCAAGCTATCCAGCTAGCTCGGCACAGTCCTGAGGTCGGTGCCATGGTGCCACGTGGGCTGTTTTGTGTGCTGGTTCAGGAGAACGTGTGGAAAAGCTGATAACTGATCTCCTGAGAAAAGCGTGGTGTCCTCAGCACACCCCACTTGCTGGAGTGCCAGAGAAGTCATCACGTTTCATTAAGGAATCCCTGCAGATGATCTCACTCCACTGAGCACTGATGGTTGTGATGATTTACTGCTGCCTGGGTCCCACGCCTAGAGAGTAATAGGAGCTTGAGAGGTTGGGCCAGTGTTTTACAGCTGCCTAGGGGATTTTTGTCTGCCATTGCCTACAAGACTATTGTTCTACCACCAGGCAAGCTGTTCTAGCTGGCTCTTGGGGTAGACACAGGTCACTTGTCCTTTTGCCCTTTTTTTTTTTTAATTTTTTTTTTTTGGAACACAGTCTCACTTTGTCACCTGGGTTGGCGTGCAGCGGCAGGATCTCAGCTCACTGCAACCTCCACATCCCAAGTTCAAGCAATTCTCCTGCCCTAGCCTCCTGAGCAGCTGGGATTACAAGTGCCCACCACCAAGCCCGGCTAATTTTTTTTTTTTTTTTTTTTTTTTTGAGATGGAGTTTCGCTCTTGTCTCGGGCTCCAGCAATTCTCCTGTCTCAGCCTCCCGAGTAGCTGGGATTACAGGCATATGCCACCATGCCTGACTAATTTTGTATTTTTAGTAGAGACAGGGTTTTTCCATGTTGGTCAGGCTGGTCTCGAACTCCTGACCTCAGGTGATCCCCCTGCCTCGGCCTCCCAAAGTGCTGGGATTACAGACATGAGCCACCGCACCTAGCCTAATTTTTGTAATTTTGTAGAGACGGGGTTCAACCATGTTGACCAGGCTGGTCTTGAACTCCTGACCTCAAGTAATCTGCCCACCTCAGCCTCCCAAAGTGCTGGGATTACAGGCATGAGCCACCGTACCCAGCCTCCTTTTGCCTTTTTTAAAAACTTTCTTAGACATCCTTCTACTGAACTGAAAGTTTTAAATAAACATTTGCCTGTTTCTACACACCACAGAGACTGTCTTGAGCATTTTGTGAAATACCATGTAGTTTTCCTTCTACCTCTGGACCCAGAACAGTGCCTACATTTCCTTACCACCCCAGAATGAAGAGTTTTAAATGTGACTTTTTCCCCCATAATCCGTCAAGCAAGAATGGAGCCCAAATCAGAGACTTCTGTTTCTCAGAACTCCTGGTATTTGACTTATTCCGATTTATTTCCGGGAGGAATGTAGTGTACCAAGATCTGAAATCCACAATTGCTATTTGTTAGTCACGTGAAAATGGAAGTTACTATTTTGAGTCTGTTTTATTTTTAAACAAAAACATCATGGAAGGGTTTGAAGTTCAAACTCTAACCAACTTTCTTTATTAATTCAAATTTATATCTACTCTTGGGAAATGTGATGGTTTTTCTTGCCCTTTCACTGGAATATTGAAACAAGTCAAAATGAGTAGTATTGGGGAAGACTTGAAGATGGCAAGGCTAAAGAACCATCCAAGTGTCAAGAGCCCAAGCCAGCTTGGTCTCTCTCATTTTCCAGGCTCCTGTAGTACCTTGAAGAAACAGATGTTTAGTACATTGATCTGAGCTGAGGAAATAAGTCTCAGATGAACAGGAGGTAGAGACTGGGCCAGGCAGGGAAGGGGAAGGAAAAGAACCTTGATCATTGAATACCTGCTGTGTGCCAATCACTGCTGATTGCTTTGCCCAAGGTAACTTTAACTCACATAAATGAAATGGACTCTCTCCTCCATACCACTCTAGCCACGTGGGCCTTGTGCTCCTCCTCTAGACCTCTTCACTGGTTGTATCTCTGCCTGGATTGCCCTGCCCCCAGGCAGCCATGTGGCTTGCTGGAGATGAAAACACAGTCCACATCAGAACTTGTCCTAAACTCTGGGCCCATATATCCATCTGCTTGTTTGATGTCACTACTGGAAGCCTAATTAGGCATCTCAAACATGTCTAACACGGTTCTCCAGCTCTTTCCTGTCCTTTCTTCAGTCTTCCGCAGCCCAGTCAGCGGCAGCTCCGCAACTCCTTCCTTCTAGTTGTTCAGTCATTCTTGACCCCTTTCTCCTACTCTCCACATCTCGTCTCTCATCCATCAAGCAGTCCTACCAGCTCTGTCTCAGAATATACACCAAATCCAACCACTTCCTACTGGCTCTACTACCACCAGCCTTGTCCAAATGCCAGCATCTGAATTGCTGCAGTAGCATTGTAACTGCCCTCCAAGCTTTCTGCCCTGTTCTCTAGTCTCAATTTTTCACCCATTTTCCTTTTTAAGATAAGAAGTCAAATCATGTCACTCCTGTTCTCAAACCACCCACCTCCCCTCCCAGTAACTTCCCACTTCACTGAGAGTGAGAGCACAAGCTCCTTTAATGGCTTACCAGGCCTGCTCAGCCTGGCCCTCTTATCAGATTCCATCTCTAACAGCACCCTGTCTCCTCCACACCACTCTAGCCTTACCAGCTTGTGCTGTTCCTTGAACACACCAGGCTGCCTCCTCCTTGAGGCCTGTGCACTGACAGTCTCTGCCTGGATTGCTCTGCCCCCAGGTGGCCACGTGGCTTATGCCCTGGTCTCTTCCAGGTCTCTACTCAGATGTTACCCTGACCTGTCTTTTTAATATCCCTCTCCCCACAATGGGCACTCCCTTTCTTTTTACTCTGCTTTATTTTTTGCCAGATCACATATCACCATCTATATACTGTAGCTTTAAATTTTATATTTGTTATTGTTTACCTCCCTTAGCAGAACCTAAGTGCCACAAGGATAGGTTTTTAAAAATACACAGTTGGCGGGGCGTGGTGGCTCACGCCTGTAACCCCAGCACTTTGGGAGGCAGAGGCGGGTGGGTTACCTGAGGTCAAGAGTTCAAGACCAGCCTGACCAACATGGAGAAACCCCTACTAAAATACAAAATACAAAAATACAAAATTAGCCAGGCATAGTGGCGCATGCCTGTAATCCTAGCTACTCGGGAGGCTGAGGCAGGAGAATCGCTTGAACCTGGGATGCAGAGGTTACGGTGAGCCGAGATCGGGCCACTGCATTTCAGCCTGAGCAATAACAGTGACACTCTGTCTCCAAAAACAAACAAACAAACAAAACACAGCTGTGGTGGGGCACAGTGGCTCACGCTTGTAATCCTAGCATTTTGGGAGGCTGAGGCGGATAGATTGCTTGAGCCCAGGAGCCCCAGATCAGCCTGGGTAACATGGCGAAACCCCACGTCTACAAAAAGTACAAAAATTAGCCGGGCATGGTGACACATGCCTGTGGTCCCAGCTGCTTGGGAGGCTGAGGTGAGAGGATCATCTGAGCTCAGGAAGTCAAGGCTGCAGTGAGCCAAGATCATGCCACTGCACTCCAGTGTCTCAGGAAAAAAAAAAACAAAAAAAAAACACAACACTGTTGTGTCCATAGTGCCTTGCATACAGTAGGTATCTAATAAATATTTGTTAAATGAATGAAAGAAATGAGAACAGACACTCAGAGAGGTTAAGTAATTTGCTTAAAGTCACCCAGCTGTTAAGGGAATCAGTCAGTTTCAGTTCAGTCCCTCTTTCCCAGATACTATGTGCCTGAAATGCCATCCTATAAATTGACCCTGTGTCTTAACCATCAGCCCAACCTTTCAGTCTTTCCTGTGGGCTCAGAGCTTGTCGTGGTGCCTGGCACGTGCTCCACAGATGTAGGAAAAGTAGGGAACTTCTAGAAAAGGAGCAGAGGGCTTGGGGTAGAATGACCTACCCTCCTCCCAGTTCCCACGGCTCTTCCATCCCATCTCTGTGTAGTGCTTACTACTGTGTAGTTGTATGATTATTAGTTTCTCTCACATCTTCTTCTCTACCAAAGCATGAGCTCCTTGAGGTCAGAGAGAAGGTCGTCATCTTGTATCCCTACCAACTACTGCTGACAGCATACTCTCAGCTCTGGGACGTATTATTAAATGTCTGATAATGAAAATACTTTGAATTAAGTAAGTCACAGTCCCTAACTGTGGGAGCTATGATCCCTCTCTGTCTTGGATCCCCGGGGCCTGTTGGAATCTACAACCATGTGGATCTTTGATAGATGATGGTGGGAGCACTGGTTGGTGGAAGAATGCAGAGGGCAGACAGACCAGGGAGAGAGAATAGAGCAGGTAAGACAGGGATGGACAGACCTCATTGACTTGACAGTTTCACCTGGTGTCCATCTGACAAGCCAAAAGCAAGGTGTTATTTGGGGAAACAAATTATTTATTTATAAAAATTTTAATTATTATAGATACTAAGTATACCTATTTATGGGGTACATGTGATATTTTGATACAAGCATACAGTGTACAATGTGTAATGATCAAATCAGGGTAACTGGAATGCCCATCTCAAGCGTTTATCATTTCTTTGTGTTAGGAAAATTCCAATTACACTTTTTTAGTTATTTTGAAATGTACAATAAATTACTGTTAACTCTTGTTGCCCTATTGTACTACTGAACACTAAATCTTATTCCTTCTATCAAACTGTATTTCTGTACCCACTAATTATCCCTCTTTATTACCCTCTCCCCGTTACCCTTCCCACCTCTGATAACCATCATTCTACTCTCTATCTCCATGACTTCAATTTTTTTTTAGCTCCCATATATTAGTGAGAATATGTAGTATTCGTCTCTCTCGTGCCTGCCTCATTTCACTTAACGTAATGTCCTCCAGTTTCATCTAGGTTGCTGCAAATGACAGAATTTCATTTTTTCTTATGGCTGAATAATATTCTACTGTATATTTATACCACTTTTTTTTTAATCCATTCATCTGTTGTTGGACGCTTAGGTTGATTTGTATCTTTTTTTTGTTTAGACAGAGTCTTGCTCTGTTGCCCAGGCTGGAGTGCAGTGGCATGATCTCAGCTCACTGCAACCTCCACCTCCCAGGTTCATGCAGTTCTCGTGCCTCAGCCTCCCAAGTAGCTGGGATTACAGGCATGCGCCACTATGCCCAGCTAATTTTTGTATTTTTAGTAGAGGCAGGGTTCCCACATGTTGGCCAGGCTGGTCTCAAACTCCTGACCTCAAGTGATCCACCCTCATTGGCCTCCCAAAGTACTGGGATTACAGGCATGAGCCACCGCACCCAGACTCAATTCCTATCTGGACCGTTGTGACTAATGCTGCAGTAAGCTTGGGAGTAAAATCAGTCTCTTCAGTATACCAATTTCCTTTCTTTTGGATATATATTTGACAGTGAGATTTCTGGATCATATGGTAGTTCTACTTTTAGTTGTTTTTTTGTTTGTTTGTTTTTTTTTTTTTTTTTGAGGAACCTCCAAACTGTTTTGGAGTGTCCACAGTGGCTGTACTAATTTATATTCTCACCAGCAGTGTACAAGGGCCCCCCTTTCTCCACATCCTTGCCAGAGTCACTTATTGGCTGTCTTTTTGATAAAACTGTGTGAGATGCTGTTGTGGTTTTGATTTGCCTTTCCCAGATGATTAGTGATGTTGAGCATTTTTTCACATACCTCTTGGCCATTTATATGTCTTTTGAGAAATGTCTATTCAGATCTTTTGCCCATTTTTAAATCAGAATATATGTTTTCTTTGTATTGAGTTGTTTGAGTCCTTTATGCACTGGGAAGCAGATAATTTAGTTGTTAGGATGGCAAAGCAGATATACTTAAAAATAACAATCTATCGGCCGGGCGCGGTGGCTCACGCCTGTAATCCCAGCACTTTGGGAGGCTGAGGCGGGTGGATCATGAGGTCAAGAGATCAGCGCCATCCTGGTCAACATGGTGAAACCCCGTCTCTACTAAAAATACAAAAATCAGCGAGGCATGGTGACACGCACCTGTAGTCCCAGCTACTCGGGAGGCTGACGCAGGAGAATTGCTTGAACCCAGGAGGCGCAGGTTGCAGTGAGCCAAGTTCACGCCACTGCACTCCAGCCTGGCAACAGAGCGAGATTCCATCTCAAAAAAAATCTATTCTTCATTATTAAATAAGCGTGCAGTTGTTGAGTTTTACTCAAAGTGAGGCAGTGTTGTAGATCTAGAGTCCCAATATCTGGCTCCATTTCCTACAAAAGAAATGTAAGCTATGACTGTCACTTTATTTCTCTAGGCCTTAGTTACCTCACATATAGCAAAAGGACTATTTTGAGGATAATGTATAGGAAAGAAGTGTATAAATTATAAAACATTGCTGTATTGTTTGTATATTTTACATTTTGTAATCAGTGAAAGTTTAATCAGTTAATGTTTAACAGATTCAAATGCCGTGTTTTAAAACAGTTTCTGTTATCTCCCATTCCTCTTTGCTTAGTGTAATAGTAGTTGCTTATGCTAATAACAAAAGAAAACAAAGAGGAAGAATTTAGCTGGGCTTCCCAGAGGAGTGAGTCCTGGAACAGAATACCAACTTGGGTCTCTATGTCTCCTGCTGACTACTTAGGGTAGTTGCAAACATATCCTCAACTATGTTGGTTCTGAAAAGTCAGGCAATGGGTCATTTTGGAGGTAGGGATGTGGGAGGGCCCTTTTGATACTAGGATAACCATTCATTGAACAAATACTTCCAGAACATCTACTCAATATAAGCCACAGTAGAAAATGTAAATATGTGTAATCCTTAGTCCTGCCTCCAGGAACACTGTCCTCAAGAGGTGTGGAACAGACAGACCAAAAGCATGGAGTAGCAGGTAGCAAAGATAATACTAACATAGGAGATTGGGATAGATTCCATAGGGATACAGATAACGTGCTGTGGCCGGGAGGTGGACACAGTTTTGCTGTATAAAAGTTAAAAGAGATTTTCAGGAGGAAGCATCTGTGGGAGTGAGCCTTGGAGGGTATAGGATTGGGGTGGATGAAAATCAAGACAAGGGCTGTTAGTAGGTGTGCGGGAGCTGAGGTATAGGAACAGGGGGACAGTGTGCTCTTAGCCATGCTTTAGCTGATTGAGGGGAGAGTTTTTGCTGTCTTCTCAGGGTATAACCCAGGTCCATTTTGTCCTTTCCCTGTGACTGGTGACTTCTCTGCCCTGAAGTTGGCTACTCTGCAGAGATAAACATTTTCACCTCTGGGGAATAAGTAGTAGTGATGGGAAATCCTACTAGGTGTTTTGCCATGCTGCTAGCACCTTGACTTTTCTTATCACCTTGAGCAATTACTTAAGTTCTCTGTGCCTTGGTTGCCTTACCTGTAAAATGGGACTATTACCAATCTCTGACAGTTACTATGCTAATTAAATGAGATTACCTTTTTTTTTTTTTTTGAGGTGGAGTTTCGTTCTTGTTGCCCAGGCTGGGGTACAGTGGCGCAATCTCAGCTCACTGCAACCTCCGCCTCCTGGGTTCAGTAATTCACCTACCGCAGCCTCCCAAGTAGCTGGGATTACAGACATGTGCCACCACGCCCGGCTATTTTTTTTTTTCTTTTGTATTTTTAGTAGAGATAGAGTTTCTCCATGTTGGTCAGCCTGCTCTCAAACTCCCGACCTCAGGTGATCCGCCTGCCTCAGCCTCCCAAAGGGTTGGGATTATAGGCGTGAGCCACCGCGCCCGGCCGAGATTACCTCTATAAAGCATTTAGATACTCAATAAATTAATTCTTTTAATTTACTGTAAGCAGCAAAGCATTTTATAGACACTTATCCTGGATTAGAAATTGCATGGGAGCCAGGAAAAAGGCTGATACATTCTCCAGCTAGAGTACTTCTAGTCTTCCCCTCTCCCTGAGCGTTCAGACTCAGAATGCCAGAAATCAGTCCTTGGAAGATAATCATGTTTGCTACTGAAATGTTTATGACACAGTGAACGAAACATGGTGTGACTAATCAGCTGAGAGCTTGGATCTTGGCTTGGTTTGCATGCAAATTCCCTGGTCTGAGAGATTAATAAGTTCCTTGCAGTTGACAAACTGGGACTACAGTGTTTTCTGGCTAACTGTGATAATACAACCAGAGCCCACCACCAAGTGACCCCTGGTTCTCTGAGTCTGCAGTGCTTCTGTACTCAGGCCACAGCCCATTGCATTATTCATTGTTGTACGTTTCTCCGTGTCCTATTTCATTATCCTTGGAGCCTAGTGTGATCAGTAAGTGTCTGTTGAACTAACTAGGACTACACGGGACAACTATGACGTATGAGGTCTCTTCCGTGTAGGGAAGAGTGAATTACAAGTGAGAACTCAGTGAAGAGCACCCTTCCAACAATTGTAGCTATGATGTGATACATTCTGGGGTGGTTCTCCTGGACAGCAAGAGAATCAACTAAAGAGCTTTCAAGAGTGACTTTCAACTTGGGAAATCTATGTAATGTTTCTCAACTGGGAAGGCCCATTGCAATCTAAAGACAGGTGCCCAGGCCACTCCTCAAACCTCTTAAGTCCAAATATGTGCAGGTGAAACCCAGACATGTGCACTGTTTAAAGTTCCACTGATGATTCTGATGTACACACCTCGTTGGAGTTCACGGGAAGAACCTGAGCTTGGGAACCTGGAAACCCTAGGTTCTAATGATGCTGCGTTAGTTTATGTAAGTCACATAACTTCATTGGGATAAAATAGGAATAATATTTTATTTGCAGAGATGTTCAGAGAGGAGAATGGCCATGTGTGAGCTTTCATAATCAAGAGCACTGGAAAATGAAAAGTGCTATAACATGCTTTTGAATTCCACTGGCACCTCTGAAGGCAGATTGAACCTAGATGTGTTAGAAGTGTGGCTTGTACAGACTACAATGTTTGATCTAGAACTTATGCTGGTTCGTGGTCTTTCCTGGGTTTGATACTCAGTGACTAGTCACTGGGCTCTTCAGGGCATTTCGTAATAATTTACAGACATGAAGAATTCTTTTCACTCCAGTCAGCCAGTTCAGATCCTTCCAGATGCCAGGGTTGACTCACACTGCATTCTTTGTGACTACTCTGCCCCCCATCTTCATCAGCACGAGTGCTAGAAGAGAGAAAAGACGATTTACTTTCACTTGTTGTGTGGCCCTGGGAGAAACAGGAACACTTGGAGCTCTTTCCTTTTTGAAAATCAACTCTGGGTCCCATGTGCACAGACTGCATACCAGAGACACCAAGGAAGAGAACCAGGAGCAAGGAAGATGAGCGCCCCCTCGCAGGGCTCCCCTGCCTAGTTTTTCGGAAGTTACCACTCTTATTCATTTTTCACTGTATCTGCTAGATCAGACAACTGTGTATCAAGTCAAGATAGAGGCTTCCTAAGAGAGGTGATAAAAGAGATGGATAAAAGTGGTGGTTGGATGTATTTTTATGAGCAGGGCAATGAAACATTCTGTGATTTAAGAAGTGCACTCAGTGATGAAATTCCTTTTCCTGGAGAGAGGATGCATGCAAATCAAATGTACCTTGGAGCACTTCCAAAGCCACAGAATGAAGATTGTGTACTTTTATTCTCCACCTTTTTGGGGAGTGAAGGAATAGAGATTCCTAAGGAAGAGAAGGTTGACACGTTTTGCTACAGTTGATAAAATTCTTGTTTGTTGTCCTGGGCTGCTTGGTTGGGGCATTCATGATTATCAGATCCCTGGTATGAACAAAATACTAATCAATTCATCCCTACCCATGACCGAATGCTTAAACACAGCTTGCTTCATAGAAAGGTGGGATGAGAGGATGGTATCCCAGTACTTTGTGGATATAAAATTCTGTCCATTGCCAGGACGGCTTTTCATTGTTTTCTACAGGTGGAGCCCTCCATGGTCTGGCTGCGGTCTCTTGAAGCTTGGCTCCTTCCGCTCCAAAAAAATGATTTAGTCTGGATCTGCACTCACCACTTTGCTTCCCCATTTCCAAACCTTTTTTTCTTTCCATGAAATCCTCTAAAACCCAGCCCTGTGCATGCAGTATTTCTTCAGGAAGCCTTTTCTGACCTCTACAGCCCACAAAATTTCTCTTTTTTCTGAACTCTCCTATAACACTTAAGGTATATAATAAACAATCTGATATTTAATTTCCTCTATCTTATCCTCTTAACTAGATTGAGGGTTACTTGAAGGCATCTGTCACAGTTGAGCAGAGCTGGACACATGTTGGCTTCTCAGCACTCTTTGTTTATTCATTTTTATTACCTTTTTTTTTTTAACCTCCTGCATTATCCTTGTCATGTCACAGGCCCTAGAAGAGGAAATGGCAGTAAAGAGGACAGTTGCTGCCTTTTTGATGTCTGTTCATTTCTAAGCATGAAGGCTTTTGGGGATTTTGATGGAAGTGCTGAATCCAGTGAGCAACATCTGTTTGTGGATGGGAAAGATCAGCCGGAAAGACTAAAAGGGCCGAATGGTAGATTTTCAAAGCTGTAGGGATTGACAAAAGGGTTTGAGTTAGTAAAAACCCATGTGAAGTTTTAAAAGTCCTTACATATATAAATTAAGCACTTCTGATTCTTCTAGATTCCTATACAAACAAGGTAACACACTTTCAAATGTGCCTGCTGTACTGTGGGCACTTTTGTTATCACATCTAATTTTCACAGTAATCCTATGAACACCAGTCAAAAGCAGATTCTAGAGGCAGGTGGTTACATTATTATTACCATTTTACCTAAGAGGCTCCTAAGATTCAGAGAGGTTAAATCACCTCCTCAAAGTCACACTGCTTAAGTGGCAAAGCTAGGATTTGGATCTGTATCTTCTAACTAAAAAGTCAACATTTGTTTTCATCATTCCATAGCTGCTTTCTACCCTAATTTTGTAAAACAAGGAAAACCTGTTGGGTATTCTAGCAATGTTTGTTTTATATAATGTTTTATTGAATAAGTGGCTCTCTCACACTTACTGAACTTGACTATGATCAGTGTAACCTGCTAAGTACTTTATATGCATAAGCATATGTACTTGTAGCCTTATAAGAGCCCTATGAGATAGCTGCTCTTGTTGTCATGTCCATTTTACAGATGAAGAAAGTGAGTCATATGCTGGTTTAAAAACTTATCCAGCATCACACAGAGCTGGCATTTGAACCCAAGACCATCAGACTCTGGAACCTGTGTTTTGACTGCTGTTTTAGTCATACACAAGACTTCGTGGGAAAAACAAAACAAAAACAAGAAGTCCTGTGGTCAGTTTAAGAAGAACTGTAGGCCGGGCATGGTGGCTCATGTCTGTAATCCCAGAACTTCAGGAGGCCGAGGTGGGCGGATCACCTGAGGTCAGGAGTTCAAGACCAGCCTGGGCAACATGGCAAAACCCCGTCTCTACTAAAAATACAAACAAAAAACAAAAAAAAACAGGCGTGGTGATGGGTGCCTATAATCCCAGCTACTCAGGAGGCCGAGGCATGAGAATTGCTTGAAACCAAGAGTGGAGGTTGCAATGAGCTGAAATCACGCCACTGCACTCTAGCCTGGGCAACAGAGCTAGAATCTGTCTCAAAAAAAAAAAAAAAAGAAAAAGAAAAGAAAAATTATAATCACCCCTGCCCCGAAAAAGACAGTACATAGTAGCATGAAGGGTCTGAGAAGTCTTATGGGAAGGGGAATGTTGATTTTGCCCCCTGAGTTTCCCACATATTAAACATAACACTTAATTTTGAGTTTACATTCTAGAAAACACTGCTTGCCATAGTGGAAGGAGAATCTGGACCTGGCAATTAGAAGAGTAAGGAAGAAGAAAATCTTTAGGTCAAAATGAATCCCAACACTTTGGAAGGTTGAAGTGGGAGGATCACTTGAGGCAAGGAGTTTGAGACCAGAGCAAGACCCTGTCTCTACCAAAAAAAAAAAATTAACCGGGCATGGTGGTACATGCTTGTGGGCCCAGCTAATCAGGAGGCTGAGGCAAAAAAGATCATGTGAGCCCAGAAATTCGAGGCTACAGTAAACAATGAGCATGCCATTGCATTCCAGCCTGGGTGACAGAGTGAGACCCCAACTCTTTAAAAAAAAAATGCGTAAGATAAAAGAGTATAAGATTAGAAGTCCCATTTGGATGTGAGCTCAGGCTCCTCCTCTTATTGGTAATTATTGTGTTATTCTGGGCAAATTATATATTCGTTTTGAGTCTCCCTTATCTGTGAAATGTGGTAGTTGTGAGGAAAAGTATGATTATATATGCAAAAATGCTTAGTAAACAGTAAAGCTTGAAGTTGTTTTTGAAATTGTTGTTTACCAAGTTTATTTCTGTCCTAGTATGTAGCACAGCAACTACCAGCTACTAGAACAATTAACAGTTGGAGGAATGAATGAAGTTTGCCTTCTGTGTCTCTGGGTTCTGTAACTGGTATGTTACAACTGAAAAACTTTTAAAATGAGACATTATTCCTCAAATTTTCTTTCTAAATTGTGTTTTTGCTGGTTTTTGTATTTTTGGAGTTAAAATGAAGTCACTCAATTAGAAAATCAGAACCTATGTTTCCTTCATTCACTGTATTGTACCCTGGTTTGGACTGTTAAGGCAGTTTATTATGTGTTTTTTTTGGCAACAACAAATGTTTTGCATAGTTCCAAGATGGTAATTTCATTCAACAGTGTATGTGTTTTTTTTTCTTTTTATATGCTGCTCACTCCCTCAGATGGGGCCATCTGTTTTCTCTTTTTTTTTTTTAATAGGAATTTCTAATGTACCACCCTATTGATGTAGTTACTCTTACTGTTTCTATGATAAAGTCTAGCTCTAATTTATTAAGAATTGTCAGGAAGAGAAATGTGCTGCCGTTTTGCATACCAGTGTGGTTTTCACTGATGGGGAGAGCGCTGAGATGTACAGGTGCGTCATTTACCCTCTTTGAGACATTTGTTTTCTAGCACCTGGCCAAAGAAACAAGTATCAGTTTGAGATTGTTCCAATAGGTAAGACATTGCACAAAGATTGAGAAATTTAAAAGAAAAGACATTCAGGTCATTTTTAGCACACCTATTTGTCTGCTAGGATCACATTATTATTTCTAGAAAGATACGTGTTTTGCCAGCAACTGGTTAGTTGGGTAGAAGGGAGCTAGCATTTTCTATTCAACAGTAATCTGACCTAACTACCTGTCATGTAGTTTATGTGGGTCTAATCCCCCACCTCACCTAGGGGGCAGCACATGACCCAGACCTGGCCAGACCAAGACTCAATCCCCTGGCTATGGTGACTGGTTTAGGGGCAGTTTTGTCATCTAAGAATTCTCTATGGCAGGGGTCCCCAACCCCTCAGGCTGAGGACCAGTACCAGTTCGTGGCCTGTTAGGAACCATTCCACACAGCAGGAGGTGAGCAGTGGTGAGCATTACTGCCTGAGCTCTGCCTCCTGTCAGATCGGCAGTGGCATTAGATTGTCATAGGACCAGAAACCCTACTGTGAACTGTGCATGCAAAGGAGCCAGGCTGTGCTCTTCTTATGAGAATCAAATGCCTGATGATCTGAGGTGGGACAGTTTTGTCCCAAAACCATCCCCCGATCCCACCCCAGTCCATGGAAAAATTGCCTTCCTTGAAACTGGTCCCTACTGCCAAAAAAAGTTGGGGACCGCTGCTCTATGGGACTTGAGCTAGAACTATTATAAAAGATACTGTTTGGTTTCTTTTTTCTGGGATCAAGAGCTGTCAAGATCATGAAAGCTTCAAATCATTATTTCCCATCATGTGGGGAAGACTAATAAGCCAAGAGAAAGGGAAGTAGAGTTCAGTAATGACAAGAGAGCAAGTTCTCATGGCAGCCTTGACCATGTGCACTCAGGTATTTAACTTAAGCCAGGCTTACCCATAAACCTTTTTTTTTGTTTTGCAGTATATAAACAACAAATTTCATTGTTCATGTCTGTTACTTGCAGCTTAAAAAATCCTGAATAATGCAAAACTGCAAGAAAAATAAAAAAGCAGACTAAAATGTGTATCATTTTACCTCCAAAGGAGATGACCATCCCAGTCATCTTCAAAATTGTCAGACCACAGCTGCAGTGTTATCTTCTGTCTAGGTGTTTAACAGAGGACCGTGGCACTCTAGGGCACTGTTACGGACTAAATTATGTCTCCCACAACTCACTGGTTGAAGCCCCTGACCTCAGTGTGACTTTATTCAGAGATAGGGCCTTTAAGGATGTAATTAAGGTTAAATTAGGTCTTAAGAGTGGCCCCTAGTCCAATAGGACTGTGAGAGGAGGTGAAGACATGAGGGATGCTCATGCTCAGAGGAAAGGCCCTCTAAGGACACAGTGAGAAGGTGGCTGTCCACAAGCCAAGGAGAGAGGCCTCCAGAGAAGGCAAACCTGCCAACACCTTCCTCTTGGGCTTCCAAAACTGTGAGAAAATACATTGCTGCTGTTAAGCTGCCCAGTCTGTGGTATTTTGTTATGGCAGCCTGAGCTAACTAAGATAGGTTTTTCTTTCAAAAGAAAGAAAGAAGAAGAAGGTGAGGGGACTCAAGACCACATCTGAAGGGCAGTCCGTTGAAGAGCCTGGAATAAAAGGCTCTGGAGAGACAATCACTGTCTAGTCTAATTTCTCCAAGGTGTAGCATCCAGATAGAAAGCTACATGACATTGATTAAAGGAATCACTTCCAGGAAAGCCTTTCTAACAGGGGCCTTCTGCTCAGTGTTCAAGGCTTACCTTTTCCTCTTTCATTCCCCCAGGTAGAGTTAATCTTCCTTCTCATATACTCTGAAAATACTCTTGCACCTACTTCTGTTTCTGTACTTCTCATGCCCTTTTGTTAACTGGATTTGTCAGTCCCTGCCTTCTAGATGATGCACTGTGGAAGGAGCACGTGACATTAATTCCAGGCTTGGCTGGTGTCCAGCATGTGTTTCAAGTCTTCAGCAGTGTTTGCTAAATGTACAAATAAAATATAGAATATTAGAACCAAAAAAGTTCCTTAGGTATCCCCTTGTTCAGATCTCTGTGAGTCCCTCTTTTGGACATGGTATTTACCTTTCGCTTCCCCAGAGCAGACATGGCCAGTTCCCTTGAGGTATTTCCAGTGGGTAAGGGAAAGAGAAGTAATATTTCCGAAACAGCCACTATGTCCCAGGCAATATATAGTTATTTTCTTTCATTCATTCAGAGCTAGACATTAGGGATACAAATGGGATAGCTTCCATTTATTTATTCAACTATTGAGGGCCGAGAACTGTATTAACAATATGTCATTTCATTAACACCACTTTCAGCAAGTTAGAAATTACAGAGGAGGAAACACACCTAGACAGGGTCAGAGCTTGGTTGTGATCACCAG
Source organism: Homo sapiens (assembly GCF_000001405.40). Lineage (NCBI taxonomy): Eukaryota > Metazoa > Chordata > Mammalia > Primates > Hominidae > Homo > Homo sapiens. Next base: position 100,038,016 of record NC_000014.9, read on the forward strand.
GTTAGTTAGCAACAGGACTGGAACTAGCTCTGTGGATTCCCATTCTGCTGCTTTTCAGTGAGGGGAAAGTGTAGACTAAGGAAAGCTGAAATCATCCTGGGTAGGATACTGTAGACGGAGAGCTGCAGGCAGCAGAAGGAAGTGCCTGGCAACCAGCTCTGTAGATTTAATAAAGCACCACGTTGGCCATGTCTATAGAATTAAGAGGAAAAGAAGGAAATTAAAATCTGAAGAAGTTGTGGCAAGTGGACAGAATTGCTAAGCATGGACAAAGCAAATAAATCCACAGCAGGTTTTAAACAAACTGATCTTATCATGCTCTTGTCTGGACAAACTTCCCAGCTCTGTTGGGCCTTCAGAATATTTAATTCTGACTTGCCATATCAAAGAGCAGAAGCGATGGACTCAGATGGCGGACAAGGTTGCCCACCACTGCCTCCTCTCGGTTTTGAAGCCCACGTGGTCTGGACAGCCAGGGCTCTTAGTCCCAAATCAGGATACTGTCTTAACAAGCGGAACAAGTCTGGGTCCCATTTGCATTTCACTTGTCCCTTTGTGCCATTAAACTTCTTTATTTTTAATAAGCTAGTTTTATTAATTGAAAAATTATTAACTGCTCATAATAAAAAGCTTAAACAGAATAATGCTAGAACTTCACTGATATCCCTCAACTCTTGGCAGAGGCCACAGCTTGGGTGGGTAGCTGTCAGAGATGGTCTTAGGTACCACTTAGTACCCTGTGTGCTGTGCCCTGGGGTGTGTGTGTGTGTGTGTGTGTGTGTGTGTGTGTTGCTGTAAAGAAAGAATATAACTTTGTACTCACAAAGATCAGAAACTAGGGATACAGTTTGGGTTATTGGTTACTTTTCCAACTTTTTTAGTTCTCTTGAATATATCCTGCCTCTCCCAAAAGCAGATGAATTCCTCAAGAGTGGGGACTGTGTTTCCTTCTGCAGCCATGACCCATAGGGCCCAGGACTGGCTTCTCAGATTTCAGAAAATAGAGTCATTAACCAAGTCACCAAATAAGTATAAGAACTGAAGGGAAAAAGGACAGGTAAGAACATTTGAGCTTTTCAAAGTTAAACCTTGGGGACAGAGACCCTGTGGGAGACAAATATTTTAAAAATAGGATTCCTCATATGAATACCCCATGATTTCAGCTTTTCTCACTTTATGAAGTTCAGTTATTTTCTAGTTAAAACAATCCTTGTTAGAGGCCATTTATTTATTTATTTGAGACGGAGTTGCACTCTTGTTCCCCATGCTGGAGTGCAGTGGCACAATTTTGGCTCACTGCAACTTCCGCCTCCCAGATTCAAGTGATTCTCCTGCCTCAGCCTCCCAAGTAGCTGGGATTACAAGCATGCACCACCACACCTGGCTAATTTTTGTATTTTTGGTAGAGACAGGGTTTTGCCATGTCGGTCAGGCTGGTCTCAAAGTCCTGATCTCAAGTGATCCACCCACCTCAGCCTCCCAAAGTGCTGGGATTACAGGCGTGAGCCACTGCACCCAGTTGTTAGAAGCTTTTAAAGCAAAACTTTAAGTCACATGAATAATTTGGACACATAATATGGGTAAAATAACTAGAGTTACTGAAGTGTTGAATAAACCACATTTAAGAAATTTCTAAATAAACAACAACAGTGAAGTTCTCTGTACAGTAGGGGATGGTAAGTAGTTTCCTAGCCTGGAATTGGTCTATATCTTCACCCACTCTGTTCTCTCTGGCTTGTGTGTCTGGGTGGTGTGGCTGACCCCATGAGCTGCTTTTTGTTTTTAATAGAGACAGGGTCTCGCTCTGTTACCGAGGTTGGAATGCAGTGACGCGATCATGGGTGTCACGACCTCCTGGGTTCAAGTGATCCTCTCACCTCAGCCTCCTGAGAGGCTGGGACCACAAGTGCACACCACCACACTGGGCTAATTTTTTAACTTTTTTGCAGAGATGGAGTCTTGCTGTGTTGCCCAGGCTGATCTCAAACTCCCGGGCTCAAGGGATCCTCCTGCCTTGACTTCTCAAAGTGCTGGGCCTACAGGCATGAGCCACTGTGCCCAGCCCCCATGAGCTGTTGATCTTTGTGGCTTCTGTCCCTTTGTGTTTGCTTGTGGCACTTGGACAGCCTTAGCAAACGGCTCAATGCACAGTGATCCTGTTACTAGCACTTTGCTGCCCTTACTACAGATTTTTACCAGCTCCTTTTGTTCCGCTTTTTTCTCTCTCCTCCTTTCTTTATGCATTTTTAACATTACTGTATTTTTTCTCTTGTGAACTCTTCCTTGTTCACAATCTACCATGTAGCTCTTCCCCTCGCCCTGTATCCTCTCCTCAGCTCAGATTAGCCTCCCGTCTAGTCTACATTCAAGCTACACGTTCTCTGGACTTGGATTAGTTCTTTTTGTCATTGTTTCCCCATGTTTTTCCTTTTAGCATGGGAGCAGAGAGAAGGTAGAGTGTGGCTGCTCGTCTGCCCCTCAGAAAGCAGCCATCTGGGCAGGACAGAACGGAGCCTGACTGCTAGTCAGCAAACGCAGTTCAACCTGAGAAAGGAGGTCTTCCTTTCCTTTGCTTTTATCTCCCCAGTCTGCACCAAAGGGTTTATATATTGAATAGTGAGGCACCTTCCCTGGGATGTGAGACCAGGAGGAGAGGTTTTGCCTCAGTATGTCTCCGTGTCTCCATTTAACTCTTCATGACCTTTATTGCCTGTGTTTTTGGTCTGTAAGTAGCTCTGAGAGCTTTCATAAATCACTTAGCTGTTGTATGCTGCAGTTTCATCCTCTTTGAAATAAGAATAATAAATGTGGGCATGGAAGAGCAAATGAAATAGAGGATGTAATAACATAAAGTTACTTTGAGAAATTAATGGTAGTTATTAGCACATTCCCCCTGAAAAAGCATAATATGCTTAAGCTACAACGTTTGTGGAGGCTAAAGACACTCCATTTGAGATGCTAATCTGCCATGTTGAATTCTGATTGACCCCAATTCCGGGTCAGTCAACACTATAAATTCACAGTGATGTTATATTAATAATATATTAATACATAATATGCAGAAATGTGTACTTAGAAACAGTGGCATTGTTGATACAATATGGTTATTGTTAACAATAAGTGTTCCTCTTCCCCCATTCCTTTTAACTCCAAACCTAGGAAGGCAGTCAGTTTTAAAAGGAGGAAGTTATGATTGGCAGCATGGAAAGGAAAAGATATTGAACTTTTTTTCCCAGAACTCCTAGGTGTAAGATTATGCTCTCCTGTTACAAGCCATGAGATGTGAGGTGGGCTTGGATGCCTCCTTTTAATACAGTAATTGTAACATCCCTGTTTACTTCACAGCATAGTTTAGATAATTAAATGATACAATGTATCAGAAAGAACGTGAACTGTCCTGTGGTGCAAATATAAAAGAAGGCAGAATGTGGGCAGAAGGAGGGATGGGGCAATTTCCTGTGGCCAAGACCTAGGTCTATGCCGCTTGCTAGTCAAATGGCCTGGAGCCACTCTCTGAGCTTCAGATTTCTCATATTTAAAGTGGAAATGATTGTAATAAATGTGAAGACCCCAACACACAGTAGGTGCTCAGTAAATGTCTTTTAAGAGATTATTATTAGACTTATATCCTTCTGAAACTGAGAAGTGATATCAGTGCAAAATACATCCCAGACTTCAAAGATATTTTCAGTTGGGTATTGCCAAATGGATTTCACCATGGACTTAGACCCCATAAATGAATGTGTCAGTTTTAGTATATTTTTCCAGGTATTTTTTGGTGAACTGTTTTTTATTTGTGTGCCAATAGTAATACCCGACTAGAAAACCCTATCTGAAAGCTTTACTTTTGATTTCTAGAAGAAAACATTTCTAAGGTGGGAATCAATTAATTGGAGAACAGAGAATAGTGAATAGTTGTGCACTGATCTCTGAAGCCACACTGCCCAGTAAAAACAACTCAAGCCACAAATGGGAGCTGCATGTGGAATTTTAAATATTTAATAACCATATGAACTAAAGTAAAAAGAATGGATCATATTAATTTAAAAAATATATGTGTTTAAACTACTGTATCCATAATATAATTTCAACAGTGTTACTATGGTAATATGAAAATTATTAATTAACTATATTACATTACATTTTTGTACTAAGTCTTTGAAATTTGGGCTGTATTTTACCCTAACATCACTTCTCAATTTGGACCGGCCACATTTCAAGTGCTCGGTAGTCACACATGGCTTGAGGCTACCAAAGGCTACCAAATTGGATGTCTAGAGCCCTGATGAACTGAGACAGAAAGTAACTAAGACAGAGAATCTCGGTTACATTGTTGCATTTAGCAAATGGGTTTAAAAGTGCCAGGCCAAATAGAATTTCCAGACTTACGTGATATTCTTTGCTCTGTATTAGATTTGCATTGATACAGGAAGTTTCAAAATACTCTCTAAATTGCTCCTCATTTCTCTGTTACTGACAAGCGCACAGTGGAGACGCTGCCTCCTTAAACTCCCCCATCTCTGGGCCCTGGGCCCAGCGACCTCTGGCCAGGGTGAGCATGCCGTGAGGGTGCTTCAGTAGCATTCACTGTGCCCAGGGCCAGTTCATATGCTTTTTTTGGTAGGAAGATTTCTTTTTGGAGACCAGGAGTTACTTTGAGGAATTAATGGTAGTTATTAGCACATTCTCCTGAAAAAGTATAATATGCTTAAGCTACAACGTTTGTGGAGGCTAAAGCCACTCCATTTGGGATGCTAATCTGCCATGTTGAATTCTGATTGACCCCAGTTCCGGGAATGCCTCTGAGATTTCTACTTTTATATACTCACCAGCATTGATGTTATTGTAAATACATACTTACCATAAACCCTGCCCTTAGTCAAGTTTTCTGAGGTATATAAGCCCTGAGTCTGGTGGATAACAGTGTGGGGATCGACTGTCTCAAGGCCACCTGAGATATGGCTTCTGTTTGTGAGTCCTTATTAAATTTTTCCTTCTGAAAAACTGGATTTGTCAACCTCTTTTTTCAGCATATCAGCTCCATCAACCTTTGTGGGTAGGTTCACATAGACCTGTTCACCATGGAACAACATGGCATAAAATTTTTAGGGTTTTATAGATCACTGAAATCCATCTGAGCACCTCAGGTTAGGAACCCCTCTGTATTAATCAGGATTCTCCAGGGAGTACCAATAGGAGATAGATATATATATATGTATGTGTGTGTGTGTATATATATATGTGTGTGTGTATATATATATGTGTGTGTGTATATATATGTGTGTGTGTGTGTGTATATGTATATGTATAGATATACAAGGGAGGACTTATTAGAGGTATTGAGTCATGATTATGGAGGTTGTAAAGTCCTACGATAGACCGTCTGCACGCTGGAGACCCAGGGAAGCAAGTATTGTGGCTCAATCCAAGTCCAAAGGCCTGTGAGCCCAGGGTGGGGGTGGGGTGGGGTGAGGTGCTCAGGCAAGTCCTGGAGCCCAAAGGCTGGAGAGCCTGGAGTTCTGATGTCCCAGGGGCAGGAGAAGAAGTGTCCCAGCTCCAGAAGAGAGAGGGAATTCACCTTTCCTCTGCCTTTTTTTTTTTTTTTTTTTCTTTTAGAGACAGGGTCTCACTCTGTTGCCTAGGCTGGAGTACAGTGGCACAATCATGGCACACTGTAGCCTCATGCTCCTGGGCTCAAGCAATCCTCCCACCTCAGCCTCCCAAGTAGCTGGGACTACAGATGCATGCCACCATGCCTGGCTAATTTTTAAATTTTTTTGTAAAGATAGAGTCTTGCTGTGTTGCCCATACTGGTCTAGAACTCCTGGGCTCAAGCGATCTTCCCACCTCAGCTTCCCAAAGTGTTTCTTCCCTTTTGTTGTATCTGGGCCCCCAGTTGTATATGTATAGATATACAAGGGAGGACTTATTAGAGGTATTGAGTCGTGATTATGGAGGTTGTAAAGTCCTACGATAGACCCGCCCACATTGAGGGTAGGTCTTCCCTACTCAGTCCACCAACTCTTAATGCCAGTCTGGAAACACCCTCAGAGGCACACCCAGAAATAACACTTTACCTGCTCTCTAGGTATTCCTTAATCCGGTCAAGTTGACATCTAAAATTATCGATCACATCCTCTTTCTATAATGGTTTATAATAGTATTACAGTGTGCACCCATTGTGAAGCAAAAGGGGGTTGGGGGATTCACAACATGTGTGAACCTGCGTAGCATAGTTGTGAAATAGTATACAAGAAACTCATGACAGTAGTTGCCTTGGGAGGAAGCTAAGATGGGAAGGGAGATAGTCCCTATATTTTTTTAATATTTTAACTTTCACAACACACAGTATTTCTTATACAGAGATTTTGGCTTACATATACATACAATAACAACGAGAACAATAAACCCTTAATCCAGAATTACATATTAAAACTGGCAAGAAGACTTCAACCAAAGGCTATAGGAGAGCAAACATAATTTGAACACTTTCAGTCTGCCGGGCACTGGGGAAGACGGGTAAGGACTGATACTTGTCCTCTGAGAGCTCACAGCATAAAGACAGACCTGGAAATAGACCATTGTAATTACAATGTGATCCAAGGAGTGCCACAGGCAGACCTGGGGTATGTGTGGGTATCTAATTCCCAGGCCCAGGGTTCTTGGAGAAGACCAAGCCTAAACCATCTCCACACATCAGCTGGAAGTAACCTAAGCAGGGGTGGTCCTCGCTGCCTGAATGGACAGTGAGAAACAGCATGGAGTGTTTCAGCAGTGAGCTCCCCAGTATAGCTTGGATGTAAGGGTTGAAGCAGGCTCACTTTGGTGGGAGCTTGGAGGGGAGACCATGGGGCATCCTTATACCACTTTCCCACTGGGGACAGTGCAGTGAGCCGTGATTGCACCACTGTACTCCAGCATGGATGACAGAGCAAGACCCTATAAAAATAAATAAAGAAATAAATACTGGAGCAAAAGCTAGGCATAGAGACAATAAAAGGAGGGAGTACCTAGTTACAGCTAGTGTGTTGTTGAACGCTGCCAGAGGGGTTGGTAAGCCTGATGATGTAGTTAAGGCAGCCACCTCACTCCCGTCTGCAGTTGGGAGCCACTGCTTTGTAGTACAATAAGGGTGACGATACAAATAGTGCCCACTTTGTGGGATTGTTTTGAGTATTAAAAGAGTGTGTGATGTTTTCTGGAAGCTGGTGCATAACTCCTACTCCTGCCTTAATCCTCTGTTCCTGGCACCTCTTCCTGGTCATCTTTTTAAGTTTCCAGAGTAATCCAAGGGCCCTCCTGTGCTCTCACATCCCCTGCTCTTGCCTTGTTATCGCACCTGCCACACTTTATCAGATATCTGAGTGTCTTCTTGAGGGCCAGGACTGCATTATGTTTTACTTCCTATCCGTGGTGTTTAGCATGAGCAGGTCACGTAATAGGCGCCCAACACATGTTTGTTAGGTGAAGAACTCTCTCGTGTAGGTCACAATGATTTTCAGTTTGCAAAGCACTTCTCATATCCTCAGTCTCATTTGATCCCTGCCAGCACTCAGTCAAGTTGAAAGGACGGGATTAATCTTCCATTTTGTCAATGAACACACATTCAGAGAGGTAGAGCTAGGACTGTCAGCTGTGCTGACTTCTGCTGTACCACACTACCCATTTGAGGAGCTATTGATAAACTACAGCATTATTGTTTTTTTAATCTCTGTCCTGCCCTGGGCAGATCAGTAAAGCTAAATCAGCCAGTGGTGTTTGTTCTCCCTGGGTGTCTGTGTTTGTGCCTAATGGGCAGAATGAATTATGGAATGAATCAATGAATTCTTGGAATGCTCTGAGGCCTGTGGGCACTGATGATTGTAAGTAGTCTTGACAACTTTTTCCTCCAGCCGTGTCCTGCATCTCATGAAAGCCAGGTTTATTTCCAGCCTAATTAGAGCAGTAGGTCACCCAGAACAGCTCAGAGCAGAAATAAAATCTTCAGAAGAGACCTGTTTGATTTGATTTTCCCCCATTTTGTCATTGGAAAAAAAGTGTTGAAATTTCAAATTGTAGGATTCCTTTCTCTGTAAAGGCCTCTGAGATAGCCAAATGATAAGAAAAACTCGGGAGACAGTGCATTATACTTACTGAGTCAGCATCCCTAACAAGGAAATCCAAGATACTCCAATGAGCATTTCCTTCGAGTGTCATGTCGGCATTCAGAAAGTTTTGAATTTTGAAGTATTTTGAATTTCAGATTTTTGGATTAAGGATACTCAGCCTCACACATACAATGAGTATATATGAGGCTTAGGTCATTGAAGAAGGCATTGGGTTATTTATTCTTTAGCAAACACAGTGTTGACTAAGAATTTTGACAAATAGACCAGGTGAGGTGGCTCACACCTGTAATCCCAACACTTTGGGAGGCCCAGGCGGGCAGATCACTTGATCTCACGATTTCAACACCAGCCTGGCTGACATGGCGAAACCCTCTCTCTAAAAAAAATACAAAAATCAGCTGCACGTGTTGGCGCTTGCCTGTAATCCCAGCTACTCGGGAGTCTGAGGTGGGAGGGTTGCTTGAGCCTGGGAGGCAGAGGCTGCAGTGAGCCAAGATGATGCCAGCGCACTCCAGCCTGGGCGACAGAGCGAGACCTTCCTCCCCCGCGCCGCCAAAAAAAAAAAAAGAATTTTGACAAATTATGGAGGCCTGGGCTAAACGTCAGGAGGGTTGATTTTCTTTTTCTTTCTTTTTTTTTTTTTTTTTGAGGAAGAGTCTTGCTCTGTTGCCCAGGCTGGAGTGCAGTGGCGCGACCTCGGCTCACTGCAACCTCCGCCTCCTGGGTTCACGCCATTCTCCTGCCTCAGCCTCCCAAGTAGCTGGGACTACAGGTGCCTGCCACCACGCCCAGCTAATTTTTTTGTATTTTTAGTAGAGATGGGGTTTCACCATGTTAGCCAGGATGGTCTTGATCTCCTGACCTCATGATCCACCCGCCTCGGCCTCCCAAAGTGCTGGGATTACAGGCGTGAGCCACCGCGCCCAGCAGGAGGGTTGATTTCTAAACTCAGTTTTGCAGCCAATATTTTGAGACCTTGGGCAGATCTCTCTCTCTTTTTTTTTTTTTTTTTTTTTTTTTTTACCTGACCCCAGTTTCTTCAGGAAGCCGTTAAACCTAGGACAGAAACTGTCCTTGGGTTTAATCTGAAAACAATCAGAGCCCTGCAAGTCCTTTGATCCAGTCTCTTACCTAAAGTAGACGGGCGCTATAGTTACCATTGGCTAGATGGCCAATGGCAAACCAAAATAGTTTTCCTGTAGCTTCCCCCTCTGAAAGCAGGAAGCATAGCCTATCTATCTCTGGACTCCCTGTACCCAAGCACAGAGCCTGGTTCTAGTCATTGGGCAGAATCGTCTCCCTAGGGATCACACAGAAGGATCCGTTCTTTCCACTGAGCTCCGTTGCACAGGTCCAGAGCCAGAGCTCACACTCTCTTTCCATTGCTCCGGGACAGACAGCCCTGCTTTCCTCAGCCAGTTGTCAGATGTTATGATTTCTATTTGCCTTATTATCTTAGTTGCCGTCAAGGAATGCTTCCAGGTTGGCAGTGCCTTGCTTATATTGTAATATCAAAAACTGATCTAAATATTTCATTTGTGTAGCCTGGGTTACACATTCTGCAACCTATATCACGGAATAAACCAGGTACCCAACCACTGTTCATTATTCAGATTGTGAGTTAGCCTGGTGTTTTTACAAGTTACCCTACAGAGAGCTTGGACACGTGGGTAGAAAGTCCAGAAATAGGTCCCGACAAAAATGCCAAGTGATGTTTGACAAAGGTAAAAAGTCCGTTCAGTGAGAAAGTATAGCCTTTTCAGCAAATGGTACTGGAACAATTGGACACCCTTATGCAAAAAGAAGTGAATTTTGGCCTAATCCTCACATGTTATACAAAAGTTACTTCAAAGTGGTTCATAAATCTGAATATAAAATCTAAAACTATAAAACTTGTGGAAGAAAACTTGAGACAATCTTCATGACCTGGGATTTAGGGAAGAGGTTCTTAGACATGACAGCGAAAGCACCATCCATAAAAGAAAAAGGATAAATTGGACTTCATCAAATTAAATTTCATCAAAAAGATAAATTTTGACTTCATCAGAATTAAAAACTATTATTCTGTGAAGGATACTTTTATAAGAATGAAAAGACGAGAGACAGACTTGGAGAAAATATTTACAAATACAAAGGGCTTGTCTTTGGAATATATAAAGAACTCTCAAAACTTAACTATAAGAAAGTAACCCAGTTTTTTCAACTGGGCAAAAGACAGACACTTCACCAAAGAGGATATACAGATGGCAAATAAGCACGAGAGAAGATGCATGACATCATTAATCATTAGAGAAATGTAGGTTAAAATTAGGATATCATATGCACTTACTAGAGTGACTAAGATGAAATACTGACAGTGCCTTGGGGGTGCAGAGCAGCAACTCTCCTACACTGCCAGAAGGAATACAAAATGGCACAGCTACTCTGGAAAGCAGTTTGGCAGTTCCTTATAAAGTTTTACATACAGTTAACATATAACCCAGCAATCCTACATAGTCAGCCTATGGAAATGAAAGCTTACGTTCGTGACCATTGCCAAAAACTGTGAACAGCCCAAATGTCCTTTGATTAAATGGATAAACAACTTGTAATACGTCCATACAACAGAACACTACTCTGCAAAAAAACAAACAAAAAAAACACTAATTATTAACTAACACAACAGCTCGGATGAATCTCAAAGCATTACACTGAATAAAGGAGGCCTATTAAGTCATAAAATGTTACACGTTGTATGATTCTATTAACATGACATTTTCCTAAAGACAAAACTGTTGAGATGGAGAACAGATCAGTGGTTGCTGGGAATTGGTGGGGGCGGATATGACTACAAAGGGAGAGCTGAGGGAGCTTGGGAGTGATGGCACTCTTCTGCCTTCTGATTGTGGTGGTGGTTACACCACCAATCTATGTAGGTGTTACATTCATGGAAATGAAATAAAAGCAAAACCAAACCAAGCAAAAAGGTCTGAGAAACAAAAACTCCAGTAATTTAAGTGGTGAAGTAGTTTTGCATTATTATGTTCCTTTGGATTTATTTGATTTGTAATTAACCAAATCTAGCTAATGTGTCCTATTTTTCTTTAAATGTTCCTTAAAACCATTGGAAATCATTGATAGGAAGCAGAAGGTTTGGAAACATATAGCTTGGGAAATAAACAGTTCTCAGGTCAAGTTCATAGGCTTGCCTCAAAGCGTGTGAGTGTAGTTCAAGTTCAAGGAATTGCCTGGAAGCCAAAGAGCACATGTACTGCAACTGTGTATTCTAGGGAGGCCTTTTTTGTCAGCAGCGCCCTTGCTTCATTTTATGTCATTGTACTCTCTGGACAGCTGAAATAACTTGAGAATTATCACCCTGGATGCAGTCCTTTATACTGAGTATTGTTTCTGATGTGAGTCAGAATGTGGGATGGTTTTCTTCAACAGTCTCAAAATTCTCCTGTTACTTCATAACCCAGTTGGAAGCATTTATATTTTCAGTCTGCATTTGGGGCATTTTTAAACAATATCTTTATTGAGATATAATATACATACCATAAAATCCACCCTTTGAAAGTATACAACTCAGTTGTTTTTAGTATATTCACTGAGTTTTGCAACCATCACCACAATTAATTTTAGAACATTTTTATCACCCCAAAAGTAGATTCTACCCATTAGCAGTCAGTCCTCAGTCTCCCCCAGCCTCTCCTCACCAGCCCTAGGCAACCCCAATCTACTTTTTTCTCTATGGATTTGCCCCTTTTGGATTTTATATCGTATACATGGAATCAGACAATATGTGACCTTTGTGACTGACTTCTTTCACGTAGCCTAATGTTCCCAAGGTTCATCCATGTTATGGCATGTTTGCATCACTTTCTGAGACATTAAGTTGCACACATTTTCTGGCCCCTTTACAAAGCAGGATTTACGTTAGTCGATCCTCGCTCAAGGGGACACAGATATAAAGGAAGCAACAGTGGACTGCCATAAATAAGAATTGTAAATCCAACAACTCCCACCCCGTAAAAACATTTTTTTCCAGTGTTAACAGTGGTTGTCTTTGGGGAAGAAAGGAGCGGGGAAAGGAGAGGAGCTTTAATTAACCTTATGTATCTTCCTTGTACTTTGAGTTTTCTGTCTTTAAACATATATAACTTTAAAAGAAATGTCAACAGGAGGTATCTCAATGGGGAGCTAACGTGTCCTTGCTTTTTTAAAAATTTGTGTATTTCATTTATTTATTTATTTATTTATTTTTTTTTAGACAGTCTCACTCTGTCGCCCAGGCTGGAGTGCAGTGGCGCGATCTCGGCTCACTGCCAACTCCACCTCCTGGGTTCACGCCATTCTCCTGCCTCAGTCTTCCGAGTAGCTGGGAGTACAGGTGCCCGCCATCGCACCCAGCTAATTTATTGTATTTTTAGTAGAGACGGGGTTTCACCGTGGTCTCGATCTCCTGACCTCGTGATCCACCCGCCTCAGCCTCCCAAAGTGCTGGGATTACAGGTGTGAGCCACCGCGCCTGGCCAAAAATTTGTGTATTTTTAAAAATATTTAATAATTCATATTTTTAAAATCTTTGCCACAATTGTTTATTTCTCTCCATAATGCTATATTACTTGTGTATGAGCTCATGATTTTTTTTTTTTTTTGAGATTGGGTCTCACTCTGTCCCCCAGGCTGAAGTGAAATAGTAAGATCATAGCTCACTGCAGCTTCAACCTCCCAGGCTCAAGCAGTCCTCCCGCCTCAGCCTCCTAAGTAGCTAGGACTACAGGCAGACACCAGCACGCCCAGCTAATTAAAAAAAAAAAAAAATTAAGAGATGGGGGTCTTACTGTGTTGCCCAGGCTGGTCTCGAACTCCTGCCTCAAGTGATCCACCCGCCTCAGCCTCCCAAAGTTCTGGGATTACAGGTGTGAACCACTGCACCCAGCCTTATTATTTTTACTAGCATACAGTAGTTCCCCCTGCCTAATCCACGGTTTTGCTTTTCACTGTTTCAGTTACCTGAGGTCAACTTTGTTCCAGAAAAATTCAATGGCAAATTCTAGAAATAATTTGTAAATTTTAAATTGTAGGCCATTCTGAGTAGCATGATGAAACCTTGCACTGTCCTGCTCCGTCCTGACTAGACATGAACCATCTGTTTGTCCAGCCTGTCCATGCTGTCCACGCTACCTGCTTGTCAGTCACTTGGCAGCTGTCTCAGTTATCAGATCTACTCTTGCTTATGATGTATACATAGGGTTCAGTACTGTCATGGTCCAGGCATCCACTGGGGGCCTTGGAACATATCCCCCCATGGATGAAGGTGACTTCTGTATAATATTCTTCTGGTTTCTTAATCTCTTTTCCTTCTTAAATTCTATTTGTCTGATATTAAAATTGCTAACTTGATTTTCTTTTTACTTATAACAGCATTATAACTTTTCCATTTCTTTATTTTCAGTCTTGAAGCATTCATTGGTTTTAGCTATCTTGTGTGGACTGCGTACCTCTGGTTCTTGTTTTTTATTCAATCTAACAATTCCTGTCTCTTGGCCAGTAATTGTAACTTGTTTATGGTATGGTCATTACTATTGCATTAGCACAGCAGTCTTCAAACTGGGGCATGTTTATTCCTGGGGGTACATAAAGACTTCCTGGGGATAAATTGGCGAGGGAGCCAGTTCCCTGGTTTCTAACTTCCGTGTATATTCCAGGCCAATGTCGATCTGTTAGGAAATGTGTCTGTGTGCTGCTGCTCCTTTCTCCCATCAGCTTTCATGGCTTCTCCTCTTACTGTACAGAAGAAAGGCATATCACTGACCCCTTCCACATTTTACGATCTTCCTTACCTTACCTCAGGACATAATACCTCGGTGGACCAAACAGAAATAGTTTGAAAACTCGTTGGCCCTAAAGGAGAGTCTCATAAAAGCAAAGCAAAGAAGGTCTCTGTAAAAAATAACGGAAGGGCAGGTCTTTTTTCTTCCAGGCTACCAACTCATGGTGCATCCCCATGCCTTACCTATCTGGTAGTTGGTTTTAAAACTAAGAATCCCGAAGTGCTATGCTTTCACTGTGATGTGTATAGCATGTTTGAGTTGAAAATAAGGTCAAACTTTTTCTGACAGAAAGTAAATCTGATTCGCCTGAATGTTTGACAGAGCAGACAGGCTTTGCCAATTATGTTCTATGTCAGACCTTCTTTGTAAATTCTGAAAGAGCTTACACTTACATATTAAATTGCATTTATAAATTTAATATATTGAATGCATGCATGCCATATATAATGTTTCTAAATATTACATCTTTTCGCAACCATTTAAATTTACCTTGAAAAATTGTAGATGTCACCTTAAAAATATGCAGGAGGGGCCAGGCACGGTGTCTCATGCCTGTAATCCCAGTACTTTGGGAGGCCAAGGCAGGAGGATTGCTTGAGCCCAGGAGGTCAAGACCAGCCTGGGCAACATGGTGAAACCCTGTCTCTACCCAAAAATACAAAAATTAGCCAGGCATGGTGGTGTGCACCTGTAGCCCCAGCTACTTGGGAGGCTGAGGTAGGAGAATCTCTTGAACCCAGGAGGCAGAGGTTGCAGTGAGCAGAGATTGCACCATTGCACTCCAGCCTGGGCAACAGCAGGAGACCGTGTCTCAAAAAAAAAAAAAATGCAAGATACATAGGTTTTCTAAATACTTTTAGAAGGTATGTGTATTAGTCTGCTTGGGCTGCTGTAGCAAAATACCATAGACTAGGTGGTTTAAACAAGACATTTATTTTCTCACAGTTCTGGAGGCTGGGAAGTCCGAGATCAAGACGCCAGGCAGTTCAGTTTCTGGCAAGGGCCCTCTTCCTGGCTTGCAGATGGCCACCTTCTTGCAGTGCACTCACCTGGCAGAGAGAGAGAGTGCACATGAGAGCATGCACATGTCTGGCATCTCTTCATATAAAAACACTAATCCTGTCAATCAGGGCCCTACCCTTAGGAGCTCATTTAACCTTAATTGACTTTCTGCAGGCCCTGTCTCTAGTTATAGTCACATTGAGGGTTAGGGCTTCAACATATGAATTTTGGGGGCCACAGTCAGTCCATAGCAGTACACAAGCAAAAGAAAGATTAACATAATAATAGCTTTTAATTCTGCTGTCTTATTCTATATTTTCTATTTTTTATGCTTTTTCTCCTCGTTTTTTCTCATTTCGCCTTCTAATGGATATATTATATTTCTTCAGTTGGTTGGAAAACTATAGGTTCTATTTTTATTCTCCTCATGGCTACTCCTCCCTTAGTGTGACCCATGCTTATACGTATTTTTCTTTATCGTCGTTTTAAAATTTGTCAGTGTCTGCAGCTTCCTTGTCTTTAATATACTCTTACTGCCTTCTGTTCTTCATAGAGTAACACCCTATACGTATACAAAAGTTGTTGTGTCTGGAATTTTTGAGCAAAGTTATGGATATTTTATTTAAAAATAGTCATTGATTATCATTGATTACTCAAACATCATTAAACCTTAGGCAATAAGAAACTTTATGAGATTTTTGTTTTAATGTGAATGTACTAAACACCACTGAATTGCACACTGTAAAACTGTGACTTTGTAACCACCATCTTTATCTAGTTTTTATATATTTTTATTACCCAGGTTCAAGCTATTCCCCCACCTCAGCCTCCTGAGTAGCTGGGACTATAGGCACATGCTACTGCACCCAGCTAATTTTTGTATTTTTTGGTAAAGACAGGGTTTCACCATGTTGCCCAGGCTGGTCTCAAACTCCTGGGCTCAAGCAATCCTGCCTCAGCCTCCCAAAGTGTTGAGAATACAGGCGTGAGCCACTGTGCCCAGCCCCTCTTGCATAGTTCTTTTTATCACAAAAGGAAGTTCCGTATTAATTAGTCTCTTCCCTCACTCTGTATCAATCATATTTTTTGCATTTTATTATTTTTGGACTTTTTTTTTTTTTTTTTTTTTTTTGAGACAGAATCTCACTCTGTTGCCAGGCTGGAGTGCAGTGGCGTGATCCCAGATCACCGCAACATCTGCCTCCCAGGTTCAAGCGATTCTCCTGCCTCAGCCTCCCAAGTAGCTGGGATTATAGGCACGCGCCACCACACCCAGCTAATTTTTGTATTTTTAGCAGAGATGGGGTTTCACCATGTTGGCCAGGATGGTCTCGATCTTCTGACCTCATGATCTGCCCACTTTGGCCTCCCAAAGTGCTGGGAATACAGGCGTGAGCCAGCGTGCCCGGCTGACGTTTTGACATCTTTACGCGGCCATGTTGGCTGGGGAAGAGACTGCCCCTCCCAGGGTTAGCTAATTCCTAGAGACAGTAAGAAGCTTTTGTTGGTGAATCTGTCTTTCGTATACAAACCAACCAATTCTGAGTCCATACCCCAGCCACTTCCTTTATCTGATGCGCACACACCAAGCCAATATTTCCCCTGCTCTAAATCAACCCAGAACCAGGTCCCAGACAACTAGGGACACCTCCTAGGCCCCAAAGCCTGCTAGAATTATTCAGGTATAGCTTTTTCTAAGCCATTTATCGTGCCTGCCTTGCCTTCTCTGTGGAAGCCCCAGTAAGGGCTGTGGCCTGTGCCTTCCCCTGGCTCCTGTCCCCTTATTGACTCTGGTGCTTCCCCCGTGGCCCTGCATGTTGTGCTGTGCCTCTTATTTTGTGGGGGAACTGTGAATGACATTAAACTTTTCTTTCAATGGCACTGACCTCTTTGTGTCATTCTCAGTGACCTTTATAAATTAACACCCAGGCACACATCCCCTGTCAACCAGCCTGTGACAACCACTAATCTGTGTCCTGGCCGGGCATGGTGGCTCATGTCTGTAATCCCAGCACTTTGGGAGGCCAAGGTGGGCAGATCACCTGAGGTCAGGAGTCAAGACCAGCCTGACCAAAATGGTGAAACCCCGTCTCTACTGAAAATACGAATTAGCTGGGCATTGTGGTGCATGCCTGTAATCCTAGCTACTTGGGAGGCCGAGGCAGGAGAATTGCTTGAACCTGGGAGGGGGAGGTTGCCGTGAGCTGAGATCGCACCATTGCACTCCAGCCTGGGCGACAAGGGTGAGACTCCTTAAAAAAAAAAAAAAAAATCTGTGTCCTCTCTCTTTAAATCTGCCTATTCTGAGTATCATATAAATGTAATCATATAATATGTGGCCTTTCGTGTCTTGCCTTTTTCTCTGCGCATAATGTTTTCTAAGTTCTGTCTATTGTACCATGTGTCAGTACCTCATTCCCTCTTCATGGCTTAAAAGTATTCAGTTGGATGCTCCCACTTGCCATACCCTGCTATTTATTCCTAGGAGCAAATTTTCTTTTTGCTAGAATATATACAGTAACATTTTTCCAAAGAAGGTCTGTATCTGGAAAACTTTCTGAAATCTTGTATACCTAAAAATATATTTCTTTCTTCCTTACATGTATATGATAGTTTAGATTGGTATAGACTGAAAAGTAAGGTTCAAAAATTTGTTTTCTCCAGCATTCTGAAGATAATATCTCATTGTTTTACCCTAGCTGAGGTGTAGAAGTCTGGTCTGATTTTTGTTCCTTTGTAGGTGACTTGGTTTTATGTGGAAAGCTTTTAGAATTGTCTGTCTCTGCTGTACTTAGATATCGTAATCAGTGTTTGTGTCTGTATGTGTGCATGTGCACACTTACGTTGTTGTCTTTTTTCTTTTTTCTTTTTCTTTCTCTTTTTCTTTTGGAGACGGAGTCTTGCTCTGTCACCAGACTGGAGTGCAATGGCTCGATCTCGGCTCACCACAACCTCTGCCTCCTGGGTTCAAGCCATTCTCCTGTCTCAGCATCCCGAGTAGCTGGGATTACAGGTGCATGCCACCACACCCTGCTAATTTTTGTATTTTTAGTAGAGACAAGGTTTCACCATGTTGGCCGGGCTGGTCTCGAACTCCTGACCTCACGATCCGCCCACCTCGGCCTCCCAAAGTGCTGGGATTACAGGCGTGAGCCACCGCGCCTGGCCCACGTTGTTTTCGTATCAGTTCTGTTTGGAACGCTGTTGACCCTTTCAGTCTTGAGCTCTTACATCTTTCTTGAATTCTATAAAATTATCTGTCATTTCATCTTTTTTTTAATTTTTTTTTTGCTTCTGAGATGCCTTTTACTTCTGTAGTCCCTGTCCCTTTTTCCCTACCTGATGTTTTTGGGTCAACTCTTTGACCCTATTCTAAGTTTCTCATCTTTGCCTCTTCTGCTGAGCATACTTACTGAGTTCTCTATTTCAGCAATTATATTTTTATACTAAAAAAAAAATTGCTTGGTTGTTCTTCCTTATGGCTTACTCTCACTTAATGTTTTAAGTATCTTCCCTTGTGTCTCCAAAGACATTTATTATACCTATTGGATTTTTAAATTCTGTTTCCCATGGTAGAGGTTGCTTCATTTGTTATCTGTCTTTTAAGTTTTTCTTTTATGCTACTTGCATTTCTCAGAGATGTTATAATTTCCTCCTGGAAATTAGTAATGATGTCCGTAGAATATTCAGTTGCCTTGGCTAGCACATGTGGTCTACTTCTGCTGCGGATGAGTTTAACCAGGAGTGTGGTTGGAAGGGAGTACCTCAGGGCAGGGTGGCCTGATATTGGAGGCTAGACTCAGCAAACTCTAAGCTTGAAAAAACGAGGCCCTATCTGTCCCCTTTTCATATCACTAGTAATTTGTGCACTTCTTGAGTCCCAGTCCTTTCAGGCAAAATAGCTTAACAAAGATTCTGAACACACACCATGTACCAAGAATTGGGCTGCCCACAATTGATTATAAAAGATGAATAAAAAATGATAGTCCCTTCCTAAAGGGTAATGCTCTGTGACCACTAAATAGATAAAATTTCAAAATACAGAAGTAGCACAGCAGCAGGAATAATTTTCTCTATCCTGGGGGCTCAGTAAACACTTCATTAAAGAAGATACAGGCAAATTGGATCTTGAAGGACAAACCCAAGTTTGCCTGTAGATGGGGTAAGAGGTTGTTTCAGGAGGTGAGGACAACTGTGTTTACAAGGCACAGGAGCCTGAACCACCAGGGCATGTGCTAGAAACTAGATTTCCCACTCCCAGGAGTCCAGTGGTGGGATTTTTACCTTTCCCCTTTACTTCTCCCTTTATATGATGAAAGATGTATATGGAGAAAGATTATATGTAGCATAGTGTCCTCATGAACACCAAGTCCACGGAAGTCTAAGGTCACAGATATCGGTGAAGAGCCATATTACAGTCCCCCTAAGAGACTGCTCAGCTGACATCGGGGTTTCTTTATTTGGCCATTCACACTTTCTTTCCAGATGCTGTAACTCTGGAAATAAAACATTTTCTGAGGACAAGTCTCAGATCATCAGAAAAATGATTTGGAGTTTGTTTTTTTTTTAATCTGAGTTTGTTGTTCTTCATGTCTTCCCTCTGGTATAAGAAACAGTTGGACTTCACAGAGCAGGCAGGCTTAGGCAGGCCCTATCAGCAAGAGCTGGAACTGAACTGTGAGTGAACTGGAAAGGAAAAGGCAACTTTTAGCGTCTTGTGGCTGGCTGAGCTATTTTAGTGTAAACTTTTTAAAGAAATGTCTCTCAGGCAAAGTGGTTGAGAATACCAGAATCTCTGGCAGATCCAATTTCCATTTTGGTTTTTGGAGCCATAGTTGAGGTTCTAGGAGTCAAATAATGATAGCACATATAAAATATTATATTTAAAAAGCCTAATGCAGCATTGTTAATAGGATTTCATAATGTGTTAGAGACTGTAACTAATTTTGGGTAGCCATTTCTCTGTCCTCCTTTTCTCTACTCCCAGGACACAAGGGCTTTGTACTCAAAACACCCTGCCTTCTTAACACAAATTCTCATGAAATGTCATTATTATACAAACATAATTCATTTCTTGTTAGTGAAAGACCCTTTCATTCACAAACATCCCAATGAGAAAGAAAGAGAAGTGAGGTTAGTCTGTTTACAGAAAAGAAAACTAAAATCCACAGAAGAAAGTTGACTTTCCCAAGTCACCACAGCAAGTTTTTGAACTAGATCTCCTAAGTAGAGTGTCTTCTAGTATAGCTCTGTGATTTATTTTCAGCCCACTCTGCCTTCTCTTGGAGTCTGGACACATGGAAAGCACATCTTTTAATTCAAGTCAACACAGTTGTTGTTTATTGAGCATTTACTGTTTTCAAAATCCAAAGCCAAATGCCTTAGGATTTAATATCAGTATCCTGTGTGAGTGTTGATGCCCGTCTTCCTCATTCATTCATTCATTCATGTATTCATCTATGCATAGTTATTCATATGATCACCACTTACACTGTACCTACTACCTAAGCAGTATACCAGGTGCTGAGCGCAATTCATGGTTTCACATTATAAGATGCTACCTCAAACAGGATACGTTTCTTAACTTGCTCACTAAATTGCGTCACAAGTGCCAACAGTTCCTATTCTATCTTTCCAACATTTTCTATTGCCCTGACATGAACGATTTAGGAATTGGTACCACTCCTGCAGTACATGGTTATTTATAAGATCATTTTTTTTTTCATCGGACCTGGAGACACCAGGGTCAAAGTAGAGACCTGAATGCCCAGGAACATACAGCATGTCAATAACAAAGCAAGGGTTGGAATCCCTATCTCATAGCACCCTACTCAGAAAGCTTGCCACATTTTTTGCTTCTTTTCATAATTCTTCTCAAGTGCTTCATTAAAGCTAGATGATAGAGTTAAAATAGTACTCTATTTTATCTACGTACGTGTAATTGGAGTGCCAAAAGGTTCACTCTTACCTGTTACCTACCTAGTGAAACTGATAAAAGACAGTAGTAACGTGTGAAGGACAGAGGAAATGAGGGGTGAAACTGAAAGGCACTTCTCACAGAAAAGATGTTTACTCTTAGGCTAGCATCTTCAGAAAATGAAAAAGAATACCCTTTGGTAGTTTAATAATCATATTTGACTTCTGCCTCTGGCCATGGCAGAATAATGGTAATGACTTGCTCTCTTGACAAAAGCAACTATGAAACTGTGTAAAATATGTGAAGCAACTGAATATACAAAGGGTACTGAGACTCATAGAAGATATTAAATCCCTGCCATTTTCAGACATTGGACAGATAAGATAGGACTTTGATTCTTGAGAGAAGAAACACCATGAGAAGCCCCTGGCTTTCTGCCTGCAGTCACTATCTAGTCTTGGCATGGAGTGGTGGAGCCCAAATGGAAAGGTGATTTTAGTCAGCTCAGTGGGCAGAAATTAGAATTCTACGCCACTGAAATAGTTGGACTTTGCAGGGCAAGGAACTAGAGAAATGGAAGCCCTGTGACAGGGCAAAGACAGCAGAGTTCTGTGTAAGGATTCTATTTGGATTGTTGGCTGAGGGCTGGGTGTGCATGTACAGAGTGAGATTCTTCATGAGGCCTGGCAGAGATCGCCTGCTGTAGGGCTGAGAGCTGAATGATGATGCCAGAGGTCATTCAGTTCTGGGAGATGTTGCAGATCCGGCTTAACCTGAATGAAGAAACCGCCCAGAACACCTCAGGCATTCAGTTGAGATCCCAGAACTGTCACACTTTAGGAGTAGGACTGTGCTCTTGAGTCAGATGGGGGGGTGGTTGCAGAGGAGGGGGATACCCTAGGGCTAAGTTCAAAATGGAAATAGAACTGAAGAAAGGTTTGAACCAAGCTTGGTAGCACCAAAAGGATCTGCCAGTAATTTCCCTGACTACCAGAACAGACTTCACATCTTTAAAGAAAGATAGCATAATCCAGACTTTCTGCAATGTATCATACAGTATCTAACATACAATCATAAGTTAGTAGACATATAGAGTCAGAAAATATGACATATACTTAAGGGGAAAAAAGCAGTCAGTAGACCCTGAAATGCTCCTGAAGTTGAAACGAGCAGGCAAGTTCTTCAAATTACCCATAATAAATATGTTCACAGACTTTAAGTAAAAGGTGGATAAAGTGAACAAACAGGAAATCCCAAAGGAGAAATGGAAATTATAAAAAACTTGCCCAGTGCCGGGCGCGGTGGCTCACGCCTGTAATCCCAGCACTTTGGGAGGCCGAGGCGGGCGGATCACGAGGTCAGGAGATCGAGACCATCCTGGCTAACACAGTGAAACCCCGTCTCTACTAAAAAATACAAAAAATTAGCCGGGCGTGGTGGCGGGCGCCTGTAGTCCCAGCTACGCGGGAGGCTGAGGCAGGAGAATGGCGTGAACCCGGGAGGCGGAGCTTGCAGTGAGCCGAGATCGCGCCACTGCACTCCAGCCTGGGCGACAGAGCGAGACTCCGTCTCAAAAAAAAAAAAAAAAAACTTGCCCAGTGAAAATTCTACTACTGGAAATGAAATGAAAAATTTACTGGATGAGACTAAAAGTGGATCAGAGATCCAGAAGAAAGGGTAGTGGACTTGGAGACAGATCAATAGATATCTAATCTGAAAAATGGGAAAATATTTTAAAAAGAATTACCAGTGCCTTGTGATAATATCAGGAGGTCTACATACGTGTAATTGGAGTGCCAGAGGAAGAGGAGAAAGAGAATGAGGCAGAAGAAAAATAATTGAGGAAATAATGACCAGAATTTCCCAAATTTGGTGAAAAGCCTTAAATTACATACCTAAGAATCTCAGTGAAACCCTAGCAAAATGAATGCAAAAAGAACCACACCTAAACCCATCAAAGTCACACTGCTGAAAACGAAAGAAAAAGAAAATATTAAAAATGACCAAAGGAAAAGGGATCCATTGCATACATTATATGTGAATGATGGCTGACTTCTCAGAAACCATGGAGGCCAGAAGACAATGAAACAATACCTTTAAAGTGCTGAAAGACAAAAAAAAAAAAAAAACCTCAGTATTCTCTATTCACAAAAAGTGCTTTGAAGCTTGAAGACAAAGATGTTTTTCAGATAAAAGAAAACTAAGAGAATGTATTGCCAACTTACCTGTTGTACAGAAAATCCTAAAGGAGGCCAGGCATGGTGGCTCACGCCTGTAATCCCAGCCCTTTCGGAGGCTGAGGTGGACGGATCCCTTGAGACCAGGAGTTTGAGACCAGCCAGGGCAACATGTTGAAACCCTTCTCTACAAAAAATACAAAAATTACAAAATACAAAAAATACAAAAATACACCAGACATGGTGGCACATGTCCTTAGTCCCAGCTACTCAGAAGGCTGAGGCAGGAGGATCATTTGAGCCTGGGAGGCAGAGGTTGCAGTGAGCTGAGATCACCCAGCTTGGGTGACAGAGCAAGACCCTGTCTCAAAAAAAAAAAAAAAAAAAAAAAAAAAAGAAATGCTAAAGGAAGTTCCTCAGGCTGCAAAAAAAAAAAAAAAAAAAAAGATACCAGGAAATTCAAGTGCTCGGGGATGGATAAAGATTACCAGAAAAGAGAAATATATGAGTAAACCTAAAGACTTTTATTTCTTCAATACACGCACACACGCACATGACTTGAACAATCCCGGGGTTAGGGTACTGGCCCCTCGAACAGTTGAAAATCCACCTAAACTTTTGCATCCCCCAAAATTTTAGCTATTAAGAGCCTGTTGTTGACAGGAAGCCCTACCAATAACATAAGCAGTTGGTTAATACATACTTTGTATATTATGTGTATTATACACTGTATTCTTATAATTAAGCTAGAGAAAAAATTTTATTAAAATCATAGGTGAAAATATGTTTTCATTAGTTTCACTAGTCATTAATTGGAAATGGATTATCTTAAAGTTCTTCATCCTTGTCATCTTCACATTGAATAGGCTGAGGAGCAAGAGGAAAAGGAGGGGTTGGTCTTGCTGTCTCGGGGTGGCAGAGGTAAAAGAAATTCCATGTGCAAGTGGACCTGGGTCAGGCATGGTGGTAGCTCATGCCTGTAGTCCTAGCACTTTGGGAGGCTGAGATGGGAGGATTGCTTGAGCCCAGGAAGTTGAGGCTGCAGTGAGCTGTAATCATACCACTGTACGCCGGCCTACGCAACAGAGTGAGACCACATCTCAAAAAAAGAAATAGTAGTATAATGGACCTGTGAAGGTCAAACCTGTGCTGTTCAAGAGTCAGCTGTGTGTATATATATATATATGTATATATATATATATGACTGTCCAAAACAAAAATATGTAACATTGTATTTTGAGTAACATATGACAGCTACACCATAAAGGATGGGAATGGAGAATGAAATTATGCAATTATGAAGTTCTTAACATTTTACTGAAGTGGTACAATATTAACTCTAAGTGTACCCTACAAAGTTAAGAATGTATATTGTAATCCCTAGAAAGACCTCTAAAAAAAAAAGAGGTATAGCTAAAAAGTCAATAGAGAAATTCAAATGGAATTCTGAAAAGTATTTAGTTTACCCACAAGAATACAGGAAACGAAGAACAGAGGAACCAGAAACAGATGAGACAAACAGAAAACAAATAGCAAAGTAGTAGACCTGTATCCATCTACATCAATAAACTAAATGTAAATAGACTAAATACCCCAATTAAAAGATAGAAATTGTCAGACTGGGTGAAAATGCAAGACTCAGTCATACACTACCTATAGGACATACTTTAAATACAAAGATACAAATCGACTGAAAGTGAAAGGATGGGTAGTAGGCAGAGTAATGCCATCACCCCGCCGTAATCCCTAGAACCTGTGACTGTGTGACTTTACATGGGATGGGCATGGTGACTCATGCCTGTAATCCTAGCACTTTGGGGGCCAAGGCAGGAGGATCACTTGAGGCCAGGAGTTTGAGATCAGCCTCGGAAACATAGCAAGACCCCATCTCTATTTAAAAAACTGTTTTCAAATTAGCCAGGCATGATGGTGTGTGCCTATAGTCCTAACTACTCAGGAAGCTGAGGTAAGGAGGATCACTTGAGCCAGGAGTTTGAGGCTGCAGTGAACTATGATCACACCACTGCATTTCAGCCTGGGTGACAGCAAGAGACCCTGCCTCTAAAAAAGTAAATAAATAAAATGTTACCTTACATGGCAAAAAGGACTCTGCAGACGTGATTAAAGTTGTGGACCTTGAGATGGAGCGGTTATCTTGGATTATCCATTGGGTCCAGTCTAATCACACGAGTCCTTAAAAGTAGAGAACCTGTCCACACCGCGGTCAGAAAGAGATGTCACTGTGGAAGAAGGGTCGGAGCACTGCTGCGTGCTTTGAAAGTGGACAGAGGGGCTATGAGAAAGCAATGCAGTCAGTGTCCAGAAGCTGAGAGAGGTGAGCAAGAGAGACCTATGTGGAACTTCTGATGATGTTGGGCTTCTGACCTCCTATCATCTTACAAAACTCTAAGATAATAAGTGTGTGTTGTTATAAGCCACTCAGTTTGTGGTAATTTGTTACAGCAGCCGCAGAAAACCAATGCTGCATGGAAAAATGTACCTAACAAGAGCTTCAAGAAATAGTGACAGAATTAAAGAGGGAAATCCACAGTCACAGTTGAAGATTTCAGGACCTTTCCCTCAGCAGTTGATAGAATAATTAGACAAAAACAAACAACAGCAACAAAAAGTAACAAGGACGTAGACGTTCTGAACAATACTATTAACCACCATGACCTAATTGACATTCTAGAACACTGCACCCGACCAGTTTCAGAATACACATTCTTTCCTTGTGCATATGCTACATCCGCCAAGGTAGACTGCATGCTGGGCCATAACGCACATTTTGATAAATGTGAAAGGATTGAGATCATACCAGGAAAAACAAAGGAAGAAGTCACACCAAATATGTTCTCTGGCCCCAGTAGAATTAAATTGGAAATAGGTAGCAACAGATATAGGAAAACACCAAATATTTCAAAATTTAACGAAGCACTTATCAATAATCCATGGATAAAAGAAGAAATCACTAGAGAAAATTAAAAATATTTTGAACCAAAAGAAAAAAGAAAACTGCAATACATCCAAACTGTGGTTTGCAACTAAAACAGTGCTTAAAGGGAAATGTATATCATTAAAAGCCTTTTAAAATGCATTTTTAGCATTCAAAGTGCATTCATCTCTCCAATTAGAACTGATACTTCTTTTGTACTGTACTCTGTACAGCTGTTTTTCACTATATCAATAATATTTTAATGGATCTATTAAATATTTGCTAACATTATCAACCTCTTCTTTTCTAAACCATAAAAGTCCTTTAAGGACAAGTACAGTCGTTCTCAATTTTTTGTCTGTGATTTCTAACACAGTGCATGCTTCTTAGTGAGTTCTCAGTAGATTTTGAAAGAAAGATTGGACTGGATCTTACCTTCATGAGAACCCTGTGGAGATAGGCAAAATAAGTATAACCCCATTTTACAGTTGAGGCCACCCACTTAATAAACAAGTGACAAAGCCAAGTTTCCAGTATTCCTCAAGTGTTTTCCTTTCAGGCTCTAAATTGCTGACTTAAATGTCATCATTAGAGAGAGTTGTCTCCTCGGTAGAAGTACAAATTTTGTTCCAGAGTCAAATATGAAGACTTGATCAGTGGCCTGGCGCGGTGGCTCACGCCTGTAATCTCAGCACTTTGGGAGGCCAAGGCAGGCGGATCACCTGAGGTCGGGAGTTCGTGACCAGCCTGACCAACATGGAGAAACCCCGTCTCTACTAAAAATACAAAATTAGCTGGGCATGGTGGCACATGCCTATAATCCCAGCTACTCAGGAGGCTGAGGCAGGAGAATCGCTTGAACCCAGGAAGCTGTGGTGGCGGTGAGCCAAGATCGTGCCATTGCACTCCAGCCTGGGTGACAGGAGTGTGAAACTCTGTCTCAAAAAAGAAAAAAAGACTTGATCAGCTTATAGCCTTTATCATCTAGTCTTCTATTCTCTGGAGAGTCAGTGGGGACTCTTCCGAGTTCTTGTAGCCTTTTCTTAAGGCCTATAGGAAGTCATCTGTGCTGAGCCTGCACTTTCTATAACAGATGGAAAACTGAAGCTCAGACATCTTAAGTGGCATTGACTTAGACTATAGAGCTAGTTAGTGGGGGGCCAGCACCATGACCTGGCCCCTACCTCCAGCAGGCTTCACCCACCCTTGCACCCTTGCAGGAAGCACTTAGAGGCTTGAGGTTGCCAGCTGTGGGGGGTTGGGCCTGTGCAGTGCCTCTCAGCCGCCCACGCTGGTGGGGCTCTGCAGTGTTAGCTTCTTGTTTCTCTATTTTCTACCTAGGTTTCAGTTTTTCACTTGGGTTTGTTTCCCCTTTGTCTCTGGTTCAGCTTCCTTTTCCTGTTTGGTTTTAAGTAGGCTATAAAAATCAAGTTGCTGTCTTCAGAGGGTCTGTGGTCCTCTGATCAACATAGGCTGGTGGGAGTACAGGACTCGCCTCCTCAGGGTTCCCTGTGCTGCCACTTTTCAGCCATGGCCACAAGGTGAGTATTGGAACCAGTGCAGGGGACAGAGGGATGTCAAGAGGAAACCTAGAATCTTAACGGTGAATGGGCTGTAGAAATTATCTCAGGTCCCCTTAGTATACTGATCGAGAAGTCCATGACCAGAGGGCAGGGGGCTTACATGAGGTTACACAGCAGGTTAGTGACAGTCTGCTCCCTCTCTAGCCGCTGGTCTTTCCATTACACAGGCCTGTGTCTCTTGATGCCTGTGACCTTTAATGGCTTCTGAGTCAAGGACTTACTTAGAAATTAGCACCTGCCTCTCATTATAGGGAGGAGGGTCTGAGCCATCTAGGGGAATTGTTGTTTAGCTCAGAGGTACATTTGGTGAGTCCTGGCCCTTCTCTCTAGAATGACCCGAGACTGGTTGTTTTTTCTAAATATAGGCAGAGAGGGTTCTTTTTATGATAGGAACTTCATGAACTTAATAGCAAGAGTCCTGACCCTCCACTTGAGAGACTTGTGGACTTAGGCTATTGCTGTTGAGCACATGTGTGAATACCAGCCAGTCTACAAACCGCACTCCTCATTGAGATTGTTCTCTCTAAAGGTGAGATTACATTTTGGACCTGCCTCTCCCCTGCCCTACAACTCTGAAAGATTATAGATGATAGGACAGACAGACTTTTATCCTGTGGGGTTTGGGGCATTTGTTTGATTGACTCATGACAGCTTTGTTTTTTAGCATAAAGTAACAATCCCTCACTTTGAAAATTATTTCACAATTTCCAAAGTGCCATTTCGCCAGTTTTCTTATTTGAATCTTTTAGCCGTGTTAGATTGATGAGAACGCTGTCATCACTCCTGTTTCGTAGCTGAGAAAACCTCTGAAAAGTTGTGGGGTTTGTCCAAGGTCACATGGCAGGTTGGGGAAGGAATGGAACCAGGGTTTAACGAGGTTGGCCTCATCCGGTGGTTTTCGCAGCACGCTACACAGGCACAGAAGCAGCTTGCAGTGAGTTGTTAAAATTGACGTGGTGATAGGTAGAACTTGTCCAGGGCTGCTTATTTTCCAGTTGGCTTTATTTCTGATCCTGTCATTTTAGTAACTTTCCTTTAACTTTAGAGGACTCGTGAGTGGAGCTTTAGAAAACAGAATGCTTTTCATTTCAAAGGCATATCAACTTCCAAAGTCATTTTCAGTTGTAAATTACATTGTGAAAACTTCTAGCAGCTTATTCTACCGTGTCAATTACTAATTGCAGAAAATTATATCAAAAGTAAATGAGGCACAGCAATTTCTTTTTCAATTTTAAAATCGTAGAAATCCTAGAAATTTCCATCTTGAAAAGACCTTGGAGGTGATCTACAGTAGATAAGATGTTTTGGGCACCTTATTCTCCACTTCAGCCAAAATAACTCTGCTTTTATGTTTTCTATGTATTCCTTGATAATTCATTGAGAAAAAACAGTCATTGTTGGTGGTGGTGATGACTTTCAAGTCTGAAGATTACACTAATCTAGCCCAGCTCTTGAGTGCGCAGATCAGGAAATTGAGGCCCAGTGTGGAGCAGAATTTGTGTACGGGGAGCGGAGTAGTGGCTGAACCAAAGCAAAAGCCCAGGTTTTCTGGTGCGTCCCTCCCCCGTACAAGGCTGCTTGCACTCTGCCACAGGTCCCTGGCCTGGCACCATAGTGACAGTCCTGGTGGAAGCAGCGTTCGTGGAGCTGCAAGGTCAGCAGCCATAGGAGCTGTGAACTTTTCGTTTTTCCTCATGCTGACTGACACATGGGGATACCGTGGCGCCTGTGGTGGGGATACAAAGGACCTTTTAAATGTGAAAATATATCTTACCAGCTCTAGCTCTGGCTACCCACCAATCAAGAAACAGTTTCCAAGCCCTGACTGGATTAGGAGCTGGGAATTCTCTTGAGTGCATGACAACGTACAGAATGCTTTCACTGACGTTATTTAGTTATCGCAATAATCCTGAAGGTAGTGTTGTGGGGCGTTTTTGTTTTTGTATTTTTTAGAGATGAGGTCTTGCTTTATTGCCCAGGCTGGCCTCAAACTCCCGGGCTCGAGCAAGCCTCCTGCCTCAGCGGGACTACAGGTGTGGGCCACCACACCCAGCTAGCATTGTTTTTATTGTTTCTGTTTCACAGGAGAGAGTAACTTGACAAGAGACATAGCCAGTGAGTGATAGACCCAGGACTTGAACCTGTGCCTCCTGACCACAGATGCTTTGCCCTTTTGCTCTTACGCCTGAATTAGAGCTGCCTCTGTCCTCAGGGACTGGTAGGGAGTGAGGAAGACAGCACTCACAGAAATGAGGAGGCGACTGGCTGTGAGGACCCTGCAGCACAGAGAGTAATAAGCATAGACAGGAGGGGCAGTAAGAGTTGAGAAGTTGGGGACTGTCAGGGAAGACCTCAAAGAGAAAGTGGGATCTCAGGTGAACTTTGAAGAATAGGGATGATTTTTTAGAAGGCACTGGCAGGCATCACAGGCAACCAGTCACCCAGCGGCTGCTCTGGGTGCTAGGGACACAGTGGTAAACAAGACAGGCAGTCTTGTCCTCAAACTGAGGGCAGAGTCGGGAGGCAGAATATAGTCAAGAAACCATCAACAAGAGACGTGAAAACAATAGAGCAGTGTGGTAGAGAGTGACTGGGCCACGCCTTAGGGGACATGTGGGGACATGAGGCAGCCATGCTAAAATCTGAAGGTTTTGGGGTGGAAAGGGCAGCAAGTATCCTCAGCTGGGGACGAGGCCCTGAGATAGGAATGGTTTGGTGGGTTCAAGGGTCAAGAAAAATACAGAGGCTGGAGCAACATGAAGAAGGAAGAGTGAAGGCAAATAAGGGCACAGAAGGCTTTATCAGGCCCAACGGCAAAGCCTGCGAGCTGTGCTGAATTTAGCGCGTATGTCAGAATTTAGTTAGGGGAAGCCTTTGGAGGGAGGGTTTGAAGCAAAGGGAAAGACATCTCATAGAAGCTTAAGAAAATCACTCTGGGCCCTGTGTGGATAATGGCTGGCAGTGTGGCAAGAATGGAGGCAGGATGACCTCTTGGGAGGCTACCGCAGTCATCCAGGTAAGAGGTGAGGGTGGTTTGGGCCAGCAGTGGAGCAGTCAGGGTAGGCGGTGAGAAGTCACCAGATTCAGGAAGTGCCGTGGTGCTGTAGCCTCCAGGACTATCTGGTGGATCACACATGGGCGTGGGGGAAACATGAGTCAGACATGGCTTAGGTGGGTGGTGATTCCTTTCACCACGCTGGGGCAGCTGGGGTGCTAGCTGGAAGAATCTGTAGAGGTGTGGGCCTAGCAGCACAGGTTCCCAGGAAATGTGGGTTGAACAAGGCTGACCTGAGCAGGAAGTAGCTGAGGTCGCGGTGCAGCAGCAGGAAACGTGATATGGATGTGTGATATGTCTGCCACTTTTGGGGCCAGCCAGTTAATTTCGTTTCCTTCCCTGGTCTCTCTGTTGTCTTTGGTAGGCTGTGGGTTTTTCCGAAGCACGTACTATCTTCTAACGTATTATAGAACTTACTTGTTCTACTGTATACTGTCTTTACCCCTCAAGAATGTAAACTCCCAGAAGGCAGGGATTTTCGCCTATTTTGTTCAGTGGTGTATCCCCAGTGCCTAAAACATTGCCTGGCAATACACATTTATTGAACTGCTGGATTTAATTAACTACTTTGATATATGGTCCTAAAGATTCCTGTGCTACCAAAGTTGCTACTCAGTGGAGCTTCCTGGTGTGGCATGTTAGAGAAGAGACCAGAAAAACAGACATTTCACTTGCTGTCAGGTAGTGAAGGAGCTGTGGCTGCTTGGGCACAGTCATTACTGTTTATTCCACTGTGCTGCACATCTTGAAGCTGTAAAGATATAAGAAGTCTCGCACAGCCGGGGTTCAGCTTACAATCCTTCGCACCTAATTGTACGCCTTTGTGTGAGGGTTTGGAGGAGTCTCCAGGAACACCTGGTGTTTCCTTTCTCACAGGTATTTCCAGTCCTCACGGGCAAGTCAGAGAGTCCCAGAGGCAATTGAACAAGCCCTCAGAGATCACGTAGTCCGTTCACTCTCCATGGGAACCCGCACTTCCCTAGAGACCTGTAGCCAAATCATTTGGAGAGCTTCTGAAGCTTCTCTGCCTTCCTCTGTCTCAAAGAATCCCATGTGCCTCTAGTTGAGAAACATTCCTCTGGAGATTCTAGGTTATTCTCATGAGAATGTTACGATACTCAGGTGGGCTGGGGCAGAAAATGGATGAGAACTAGTGTAGTCCAATGGCTTTGCTTTGGTAACTGAACCCACAGAGGAGGAAAATAACAACAGCTCAGCTTTTCTCAGTGTTATACACCAACCATTACGCTAGTTACATGATATACATACTATTTAATTCTCATCCTTTGAGGTCTGGTATCACTATTGCCACTTTACAGATAAGAAAACAAGGGTTGGCCGGGTATGGTGGCTCACTCCTGTAATCCCAACACTTTGAGAGGCCAACGCAGGTAGATCACCTGAGCTGAGGAGTTCAAGACCAGCCTAGGCATCATAGTAAGACCTCCTCTCTTAAAAAAAAAAAAAAAAAGAAAGAAAGAAAATAAAATTAAAAAATGAAAATTAGCCAGATGTGATAGTGCATGCCTGAAGCCTATAGTCCCAACTTCTCAGGAGGCTGAGGTGGGAGGATTGCTTGAGCCCAGCAGTTCAAGCCTGCAGTGAGCTGTGATCACACTACTGCACTCCACCCTGGTGACAGAGCAAGACCCTACCTCAAAAAGAAAAGAAAACAAGGGCCTACAAAGTATCGTATTCCAGGTCACATTGTTGTCACTTGACGGAGCTTTTGATCTCTGAGAGGATCAAAATCTGCCCTCTCAGCTTTAACTTCTCAAAGCTAAACTTGTCCCAATTTGCAGAGTCAAGGGTAGAATCGAGGCCCTCCTGATCTCTATTTTGCAGTCTCCGTCATTCTGTGCTGTTAATACCACAAGAGACAAAAGAGACCTCGTCTGTCCTGTAGCACCCCGTGCCTGCGTGCGTATCTCTTGTCGATGCTCTGTCGGCTCAGGATCTCTCCTACCAGCCTAGAGCTCTTTCAGAGCAGGACGCTTGTGTTATGCATTCATGTTTGTCCCTGTGCCTAGTAAATAGCACAGAGTCCAAGTGGCTACTTGTGTCTTCAGGGGTGTTTGTAAGGGCAGAGCCGGGGTCTTCATTCCCAGGCTGTTGATTCATCCTTGGAGCTGAACATACTGTCCCAATCCTTGGCCCAAGCCAGGCCTCTACAGTTGTCCCAAGGCTGTGCTAAAACCTGTTCCACTTCACAAGTGATCAGAGTCACAGACTCTGGGGACACAAATTTTGAGATGAAGACACAGAGCAAAATATATAAATGTTTTTGAGGTTTGAGTAGCCTTAACGTCCACGTGGCTGTCAGATGGCTCCCCAAAGAAAGGGCTACGCCGGTGGCCTTGAAAGAGTATGGGAGATGCATATGAGACAGGGTCAGTCTAGGAATGTCAGACTCCCCCAACAGTTGGTTGGAGTGTTTTTCCAGATTGCACCAGACTTCACAGAGTAATGGAGACCAGCTGTCCAGGCATCTGAGAGGGTGACATCCAAGGAGAAAAGGCAAACGTCTTGATTGCCCATGATGTGGGCAACCAATTTGGATAGAAAAGAAGGTGTCAGGGTTTAACACTGAATGTAGACTTTATTTACCCAAAGCCTTTCTTTAATTCTAACACTCTCAAAAATGGGGCTCAGTCACCATTTGGGTTTCCCATGTTAATATGCAGAGAGCTAATTCATTGTCTTTCATTGCTGTAATGCAGCAGTTCTCAAAATGTACTCCAGAGATTGACCCTCCTAGGAGTCTGTAGATCAGAACTGTATTTATAATATTACTAAGACATCATTTGCCATTTCAGCTCTTGTCTCATGAATTCATGGTGGAATTTTCCAGAGCTATGTGATGTTTTGACATCATCACTGTGGCAGCTAATGAAATGTCTGCTTGTATATTCTTGTGTTTTAAAAAATTATTAGTTTTAATTTCAAATAAGGTGAATATGGATAGACTTAACCTACATAAAACAGAAGCTTTTTGGCATCCTCAATAATTGAGTGTAAAGGGGTTCTCTTGACCAAAAAAGTTTGAGAACTATGTGTGTAAAATAGTCAGTTGTATGGCTGCACTACAGACAGCAAGCATGGAATTGAAAATACCACCTGCAAGGTGGCGGTTCCCCCTGGTAGAGAGGAGGGGCTCTGGGTCTGGGAGGAGGATGCAGGCGTCACTTGAACTAAACAGCTTTATGACTTGCTGTCAGATTTCCTAGACTGTGTGGTGGGATCGTGGGAACCTACTTCTCACAGGCCTGAAGTACTTCACAATAAACATTTTAAGTCTACTTCATAGCATGAAACCTGTTTCACACCTGTGCCCATTAAGAAAAAAAAATGGCACCCTATAAATGATTTAATAATTACTAAGGGGAAAATATAGCTTTCCATTGGAGATCTGGCAGTCACCTCTTAACCAACCTACAGTCTACATTCAGTTGGCCTGAATTCTTCACACACACAACATCTTTATCAATGAAAAATTTTTAAATAGTTTCACATCCTAGCTTAGCTTGAAAGGGAGTAAGCAGACGGCTCGATCAAATGTAATCCATGAGCAGATCCTACATCCCAAAAAATCAGAAACATTTTGTAAAAATTGGGTAACTTTTTTGTTGTTGTTGCATCGGAGTCTCCCTCTGTCGCTCAGGCTGGAGTGCATTGGAGCTATCTCCGCTCAGTGCATCCTACACCTCCCTGTGCCTCCTGGGTTCAAGCAGTTCTCCTGCCTCAGCCTCCCGAGTAGCTGGGACTACAGGCATGCGCCACTACACCTGGCTAATTTTTGTATTTTTAGTAGAGATGGGGTTTCACTATGTTGGCCAGGCTGATCTCGAACTCCTGATCTCAGGTGATCCACCTGCTTTGGCCTCCCAAAGTGCTGGGATTACATGGGTAAGTTTTAGTATGGACTCTGTATTAGATTTTTAGTAAAGTGTTGATTTTCTTTGTTGTAACAATGGTATTTAAGTTATATATTAGAATATCCTTATATTAAAGAAATGTATGCTCAGGTCCCTAGGACTGAAGTATCATGGTATCTGCAGCTGACTTTCAAATGGCTCAGGGGAAAGACAGAGATAACTCACATGTGGCAAATGTTAACCATGGGCAGGTTTAGTGAAAGGTAAAAGAGTGTCCCTTACATGTTCCTGTAGGTTTGAAATTTTTCAGATTAAAAAGTTGGAGTGAAAAACAGCTTCAAAGCAGGAAGTAAAAGTTGGAGCTGGGTTTTGCTGCGTCGCCAGGTGGAGCAGAAGAGCCTTACTGCACGGCGGAGCGTCAGGTTGCTGTCTAGTCCAGGCTCTGCCGCGGATCAGCCATGGGCGTTGGGCAGGTTACTTCCCTCTCCAGGCGTGTTTCCTAAGAAAATCACTGCAGAATGTTTTTCAGTTCTGATGCGGCTGTGATTTCAAGCGTCTCTGTTTCTCGGTCACTGAATTGGGACATGGCAACGTGGGTGTGCTTCCTCATTCACCTGGGTAGGTGTTGAGAAGTGATGAGGCCCCAGGGTGATGACTGAGGTCCCCCCACCCACCACTCTGCCTTTGCTGACACTCTTCCCTCTGCTTGAAATGGTTCTTTGTTTCCTCTTGAAAAGTCTTGCTTCCCCTTCATGACAACATCCCTTGGGTCCCCTGGGCAGAACTAAATGCCCTCCTCTTGTGACACTTTGCACGTACAGCACTTTTTCCTTTTTCTTTTTTTTTTTTTTTTGGGGAGACAGGGTCTTGCTCTGTCACCCAGGATGGAGTGCAGTGGTGCAAACACGGTTCACTGCAACCTTAACCTCCTCAGCTCAAGGGATCCTTCCACCTCAGGCTTCTGAGCAGCTGGGGCTACAGGCACCCACCACCATGCGTGGCTAACACTTTTTTATTTTGTGTAGAGACAGGATCTGTGTTGCCCAGGCTGGTCTCGAACTCCTGGGCTCAAGCTGTCCTCCCACCTTGGCCTCCCAAAGTGCTGGGATTACAGGTGTGAGCCACTGTGCCCGGCCCTTGTTTTATTTTTCAAATAAATGCAGGAAGAAAGAAAGAGAAAGCAGAGGTGGCCAGATCTCAAGTAAGTCATGCCACCCCCACCACAAAAATCCGTGGAGGCTGAGAAATACAATACCTGGCAAAACTCAGCAAACATAAAAGCCAGCAGTTATTCAAAGATATTTGTTGAGAAACCACTAGGGCCCAGTTACTAGAGCTACCGAGATGAACACTACTTTAAAAACCAAACCAAACAACCTGCCTCATGGAGGCACTTGCCCCTCAGTTCAGTGGCAAGTATGGTAAGTGTTCTGCAGAAAAGCTAAGCAGCTGAGGGGAGCGGCAGGGGCCCGAGGGTGTGCATTAGCATTCTCTTCAGTGGGTTCAGGGAGTCACCCCCGGGGGCGGTGGGGGCGGGGGGTCGGGGAGCAGTGTGAGTAGAGGCTAGAGGAAAGCACAGGAGCAAATCAGGGCCCGGAAACTGATTTCCCAACAGCCAGGGCTCAGGAGCGGGCCCTCAGTGACCTCCACAGTTGATCTGGGCCATTCCACAGACAGGACCCGACAGCCTGCTCCCACTTGGTGAGGCCTGAGGCAATTCTCCAGGCCACAGTGAGGAACCTGCCACCTTGTTTTTCTCGTTAGAAGTTAAAAGAGTAGTAGGTGATAATGACAGCTCTCCATGTGGACACGGAAGGCAGTTTCATGTAGATTCCACCCTAAGTCTTGCCTCATATGGATTTGCTGTTCATTCCAGCCAACATTGTCCTTTTTCAAGATAGTATCTGCTGGGTGCTAATCATGTTTAGTAAACTGCTCTCCTGTTTATTTCATCAGCCTTATTTGATCTCCAGCAAAGGTAAAAGAAAATGCAAAAAGATGATTCTACTTGTTTTACAGAGCTGTAAACTTACCTCCCTGAAGTCTTGTTGCTGGCAAACAATAGAGCCAGACCTGGGGCAGAGCTGGAGCTGTTGTCCACAGTGTTCTCACTTCCCCGCGCTGACTCCATGGTGAGGGCTGGCCTTAACTCTCTGTACCCAGCCTTGCTTCCCAGCACAGCACTGCTTCCTGGTGGGCACCAGCCAGCCAGACTTTCTCTAAAGTACTCTCTCTCTGTCTGCCCCTCTCCACCTTGGGAAAGACAGTGGTCAGAAAAGGGGCAGTCCAGAGAAGAGCCAAGCCATGCGGTGTCATGGCAGCCAAGGGAGAAGTTTCACACAGGAGGCGAGGAGGGCAAGAAGGAGGGCAAGAAGTCTGTGGCAAGAGCAGAATGGCGAGGCTGGGGCAGGCTGAGGGGAGACAGGGTGGGGCTGCCTGTGGGCAGAGGGGAGTTCATAGTGTGAGAGAGTTCTCCGAGAGCTGGAAGGAGAGGCCTCCAGATGGCAGGAGGCAGGGTCCTGTCCAGCAGTGTCTCTGACTTGACTCCCTGTGTGACTTGGGGGAGCCACACAATGAGAAGTGGGAATAAATGTGATAATGACCTCGTGATGGTGGTTTGAGCATTGTGTGAAGTCAGGTGAAGATGTCACCTATGTTACCAGAGCCAAGCTGCATGGCTGCAGGGGCTCTTCTGAACTAGCAAGTGATGTGCTTCAGAGAGAGACTGGAATTTGGCAAAGGAGAAAGCCCCTGTCTCCTCCTGTGTGCCGGGCCTTGTCTTGGGGCTCTGTGGGTAGACCCCAGCTCTGCTCTGCACTGGAGTGCCCAGACAGGTCTGTGTGAGCACCTCAGTGTGGGCTGCTCCGCTCCCATCCAGGAGGCTCCTTACTGATGGTTCTCAGCCCAGCTTTTAAGATTCACTTTTGTTGCTTGTATGTTGAAGGTAAACAAGTCAGGACTTTACAAACTGCCTCAGTCTGGCTGTGTTTCTGCCTAGCTTTGGGAACATTTATTTATGGCCACTTCTCTCTAGCCCCCGACCCTTCACTACTCACCCCTTATTAACACACTTGGCAGCTGCAGAGCCCGGGCCAGAGGCACCAGGCTACACTGAGGACGATGGCTCACTGAGGAAGGGTATCTGAACTCAGACATGGGCCTGTTCTCCAGAAGCCCACAGTCTCAGGAAGAAGATAGTTTGAAGTGGCTGTCCTGACGGCTTGAAAGTAATCAGAGGCACGTGGCACCTTGGGGTGGGGTTTGGGGGGCAGAGACATATACCTACTGAGCGTAAGGAATGTACCCAGCATGGTACTGGTCACCCTCATGTCTTGCCTGTTAATCACCATAGAAGTAGACCATGCTATTTTTATCAGCTCCGGTTTACAGACAATAACTCCTCCTACAAAGCCTGATGTTCTCCCTTCCCATTCTCATACACCCATTTTGCAGTGATCTGTTTTTCTTGATAGATTGTAATCTCCTTCAGAGCTGAGCCATATGCCTGTTAGTAGTTATTAAATGAATGGGAATGGGTGGATAGGTGTGTTTTGAAAGCAATGACAATGTGAGCTTTGAGAAAAGGTAAGATTCAAACCTCTGGATGTAGGAAAAAGAAATCATCTTGGGCAGGAGAAATATCTCTTCCTAATTACTTGAGGAGTAGCAGAAAAGACATCTTAATTGGCCCAATGTCATGGGGATGCTTTCGCTGCCATTCCTGGCTTTACCACCAGGCTGCTGGTTGGGCTATGTGATCAGACGGGTCCTTCCTCGCTGAAATGTGCTGGGCCGTTTGTGGGCAGCCTCAGGTCCAGCAGAGCAAGAAGGGAAGTTCCCTGGGACCAGCAGAGTCATCTACACTGTGGTCTTGGACCTCTAGAGGGCAACAGATAGGAAGAGAACTGTGGCCTAAGTCCTCACTCTACATAGGGAGAAGTCTGCCTAAAAGAAATGGCCCCTGCCCTGGAGGCGTTCAGTGGTGTGCAGAGGGACCTAGCATAGACATTGCTGCAGTAAGTGCTGTGATGGTAGGCACAGGACCATGATAATAGGGATAATAAGGCTCAGAGAAGGACCATCTAACTCAGCCTGGGGCTTCAGGGAAGATTTTCTAAAAGAGGTAACAGATATTCCAAGTCTTTATGGATGAGTACAAATTAGTGGGTCGGCTTGGGTCAGCTCGGCTCGGCTGAGAAAAGTATCCCAGGCAGAGGAAGTGGCCTGAGCCACAGCAGAGGCCACAGAGTGCGGGGGGTGGAGTGTTAGGGGCCTGTGTGCATTTCCACAAGACTAAGCCAAGGGTTGGGTCGGCTGTGGACACTTTGGCAAGGGCTACAATGTGAAGGCCCCTGAGTTGCCTGCCCCAGAGCTGGGATTATATTGCGTAATAACGATGACTCCCTTCCTCATGCCACATGGGGTCAGGTGCTGCTCCAAGTGCTTACACATGTTAAGTCTTAATTCTCCAGACAACCCTATAAAGAAGATGAGGAAAGAGGAAAGATATGGGTAGATAAAGGAGGATAAGCTATAGATAGATAAACTGGGGAACACAGAAGTTTTGTATGAGGTCATATAGCTGGTAAGTGGCAGAGCTCCCAATGAGGGAAGAGGCTCAGTCAGTTTGCCTTTGAGGAAGGTCTCTCTGGTGACATTGCAATTGAAGGGTTGGGGGTGTGAGACTTCAACCAGAGGCGGGGGAACAGCTAGGAGGCTGTGGTCTAAAATAAATAACAAGGGCTGGGACTGGCAGCAAGGAGGGAGAGAAAGGGCCAGATCCAAAAGATGTTTAAGAAATAGAACAGATGGCCATTGGGCCATGGAGGGTGAAGCACAAAAAAGCATCTGAAATGGCCTTCAGGTTTCAGACTCAGGGGACTGGGTAGGTGTTGCTTCCATTCCTTGAAATGGGAAACAGTGAAAAGAATACTTTCTCTCTTAAGCATGTTAAATTGTGAGGTCTCTAAGTTATGTCCAACAGTTAGAAATATGGCTCCACATTTTAGAAGAAAGGACAGGACTGGAGAGCCATCGACATGGGATTTATCAGTGTATTGGTGCTCGTGTAAACCCTGGCATGGATGACAGAGCCCATGAGGAGACGTGAAAGCGAATGGTCCTCAAAGTTTCCTTCATGGACCATTTGCCTAGAACCAGCAAACGTGTGTTACAGTAGAGACCCCGCCCCGCCTGAGACTTACCACATCAGAATCTCCTAAATGGGGGCCTAGGGATTTGTGTTTTAATAAACACTCACCTGACTCTTACAGTGCATACAGTTTTTTTGTTTGTTTTTGTTTTTTTGAGATGGAGTCTGGCTCTGTCGCCCAGGCTAGAGTGCAATGGCGCAATCTCGGCTCACTGCAAGCTCTGCCTCCCGGGTTCACGCCATTCTCCTGCCTCAGCCTCCGGAGTAGCTGGGACTACAAGCACCCGCCACCATGCCCGGCTAATTTTTTTTTGTATTTTTAGTAGAGATGGGGTTTCACCGGTTAGCCAGGATGGTCTCGATCTCCTGACCTCGTGATCCGCCCGCCTTGGCCTCCCAAAGTGCTGGGATTACAGGCGTGAGCCACTGCGCCCGGCCATGCATACAATTTTGAGGATCATGAGCATAGAGTAAAATGAGAAGAAATTCCACATAGTTCACGTTGGTTTTAAAATCTGTTTTGGAGAGCAAACCCATTTAAGAACATGGTAAATGCATTTCTAGAAGCAGCATGCACGCACACTTTTGCAGATAATTTTGGAGGTTTCTCAGACTCTTCAAGCCTTTCCCTGGACCCGGGATTAAAAACACTTGACATAAAAGATAAGTAGAAAGGAAACCTGTGAAGGAGGCTGAGCAGGAATCACAGAGAGCGAAGTGGAATGCCAGGAGAATTGGAAGGCTGGGGATTAAGGAGGAGAGGTTTTCAGAATGAGGACATAGCAGTGCCTGGCTCACTAATGGGCCCAGTGACTCGAGAGCCGGAAAGCACACATTGGAGCTGGAAGTGGAAAGGCAGTAACCTTGTCTGGGCTTATTTAAGTGTATTCTCAGGGCCAGGGGCCAGGTTCCAATGGGGGCTTGGAGAGTGACGGCAGGGTGGGGGTGGGGCAGGGTAAGGAAATGGAGAGAGCAAGTGACAAGACGAGCTGGGTGGGGAACAGCAGGAAGTAGGGAGTGAAGTCCAGTCGTATCAGCTGGCGGGGTGCTTGTTAGGTGCCCACCCTTGTGATGGTTATGTGGTGAAAGATAAAGGAGTTCCCAGCAGGGCAGCTCACTCACCCTGGTTTGCCCGGGATTATCCCAGTTTTAGTGCCGAATGCCTACCTCCTAGGAAACCCTTCTGTTATGGGCAAATGCTGGTTCACAGTCCTACTGGGAAGAAAAAATTGGCCCTCAAGACAGAGTATGAAGAGTTGTTCTGTCCAAAAGGAGCTCCCAAGTCTGAGCATTAAGGCTGAGCAGGACCACCATGCCAGTCCCAGGGAGAGAGAGTGAGGCCTTGGCCGCCTGCTTTCCAGGAAGGAGGAGTGTGGCTCCTAGGCTGACACTCCAGAGGAGCAGAAGAGGGCAGCCTGTACCTTCCCAGAGGCCTCCCTCTGGAGGAGCGGGTCTTTCTCCGCAGGCCTGGGCCCAGGCAGAGCTGAGATGCACCTTTAGAGGCAGCAGACAGGGCTGAGCCTCGCTTTGCACAGGAGCCCACCCGCAGAGCTGTGGTTTCCTGACTCGCCCATCCCAGGCTGTTGTGAGAGAGAAGGCTGATGGTAATCTGTGACAGATGCTTTTGCTTGGCAGTTACACTTTTTCTGAGAATAAATGGAGAGGATTGTGAGTAGAATGTTCCCACGGGCACACAATCATAAATGCACTGTTTTTCCCACAGTCAGGGTCATTTGTTTAACAATTATTCATGTCTACAGCATACAGGGACTGGCTTTACCAAGGGGAAAACAAAACAGTTCCTGCCTTCAAGGAGCTCACAGGCTGGTGGTGCAGACACCTCAGCAGATTCGGAGAGGCAGGACAAACTGAAAAGCGCTCTGGCAGAGGGAGAAGCAAGCATGGGGCTGCAGGAGCCAGCCTCTCTCTGGACAGGTCTACATCCTGTGCTTTTTCCAAGTTCAACCCTGCACTCACATTTCCCAAAAAACCTCTTGTGGTTAGCCTCGTTCCTCCCTGTGGACCTTCCTTTTTCCCTTACTTTATGAATTTACACTCTGTCCTTCAAGGAAATAACAGGGCTAGGATGGCGTGTCTGTGTAAGCCCATGAGAATTTCAGAAACCTTGTTCCCAGCCACACAGGGAGTGGGGGAGCAAGAGTCCAGGGGCACAGAGCCTGAACTTTTCCAGAAGGATTAGAGAGTGACAGCCCGAGATTGACTTCGGGCTGTCATCACGGAGGGCCGTGCTGCAAGATTTTTTCTGCATCCTCCTGAGTAGCTGGGACTACAGGCATGTTCCATCACACCCAGCTGCCTATGTAATAGTTTTATCTTGAAATGCATTACTGATTTCCTACATCAGGTCCTGGAAGGTCTATGATTAGGTTTCAGAACTACATGCAGAAAATTTGGGATGTGTTTTGCTTTTTTTTTTTTTTCTCTTCAGTGAGAGATTTCAACAGACATTCAAAAATGGTCTATGATATACAGCAGGGGTGTCCGATCTTTTGGCTTCCCTGGGCCACATTGGAAGAATTGTCTTGGGCCACACATAAAATACACTAACATTAACAATAGCTGATGAGCTTTTAAAAAAATCTCATAATATTTTAAGAAAGTTTACAAATTTGGGCTGCATTCAAAGCTGTCCTGGGCCACATGCGGCCCACAGCTTGGACAGGCTTGGTGTATGATCTAAAAAAATTAACTGCTGAAGCAGCGACAGGACAAAGATTGTGGCTTTTCCCATCTTCCCTGCTGTGCCCTGCCCCATGCTGGGCTCATGGACAGAGCTCAGCGAGTACTCAGCGCTTGTCTGAGGGAGCTCTTGAGGTCAGACTCACCTTGTACAGATGAGGAAACTGAGGCCTAGAGTCACATGGTCTTTCTCCTATAAGTGATAGAAGTGCAGTCTGAAGCTTTAAGAGTTTAGGTCTTGCATGACACACGGAGGGAAATTACAGGTGCAGATTATATGGGCCCCACAAATACATGTACGAAGGCCCAAAATGACAGGGGAATTGGACTGCTTGTTTGAAAAGAGCC
This sequence comes from Homo sapiens, assembly GCF_000001405.40. Classification (NCBI taxonomy): domain Eukaryota; kingdom Metazoa; phylum Chordata; class Mammalia; order Primates; family Hominidae; genus Homo; species Homo sapiens. The sequence goes on from NC_000014.9 coordinate 100,080,684, forward strand.
TTCCCCCAAGAGAGAAATTCTAGTTATACCTACAGCTCAGAGATGCCTGTTAGATCCCAGGGGGGAAAGAAGTCCACCAACCTGGTAACTTAACACCATGCAGAACAAACCAGTGTGTTTTGACTGATTTCACTCCCCAACTAATCAACAGATTGTTTTGATCATATAAAAGAAGCCTGTGAGACTTGAAGACCTCATGGGAACCATTTAGTAAATGAAATTTCATATGTATATGTTTTTTAAAAAGTTCATTCATTTATTCAATAAATAATTTAAGAAAATATTTGCCTATCAAATTTCCTTATAGCTAGGCACGGTGGCTCATGCCAGTAATCCCAGCACTTCGAGAGACCAAAGAGACCAAGATGGGAGGATCACTTGAGCCCAGGAGTTTGAGATCAGTCTGGGCAACATAGCGAAACCCTGTCTCTACAATAACAATAATAATAATACAAAATTAGATTTCCTCAAGGGATAGATGATTTGGACAAATTAAATTTATGATGCCTAGGGAGGGTGTGTATGATACAGAGTTTGAGTATTTATCCAGGTGAAGATGTCGAGAAGGCAAGTCAATATATATTGCTCAGAGGCAATGTCGAGGTTAGATAGCAATCGAGATTTTATTAAAACAAAAAATTTCAAAGGTATAATAAGCCCAAATTAGCAAAACAAATCTTAAGTAGAATAAATGTGTGTATTTTCTTGCATTTAGGTTTTGTTAGTAGCAATAAAATAAGAGACAAACCAATACTATTCAAAGGGTGGGGGGAAACCAGGGGTTTTGGTTAACCACAAGTTTAATTTGAACCTAAAGTATTAACAACAGCAAAAAAAAAAAAAAAAAAGGAACCTGTAGCTATAATTACAAGAAGAAAAATGGTTATTGGTCTTCAGGCATCTAGTGGCAAGCACAGTGCTTTATTTATGCCATCTCTGTAACTCCCCTAAAAGGTGTGTGTGATACCCCAGGTATGCTTCACCCCCACCTAGTGCTAGCGGTTCTCTACGTGCCGTGCAGTTCTTTACTCCCTGCCTCTGCTCAGCTGCCTGTCTCTTCCTCCTAGAACCCCACATCCCCTTCCTGAATTCATCTTAAAACCCACACAGCGTTTGCTTCAGAAAGCCTCCCCAGGCCTGGCGCAGTGGCTCACGCCTGTAATCCCAGCACTTTGGGAGTCCAAGGCGGGCAGATTGCTTGAGGCTGGGAGTTCAAGACCAGCCTGGGCAACATGGTAAAACCCTGTCTCTACTAAAATTTAAAACCCTGTCTCTGCTAGAATTTAAAAGATTAGCCAGGCGTGGTGGTATGTGCCTGTAGTCCCAGCTTCATGGGAGGCTGAAGCACAAGAATCGCCTGAACCTGGGAGGCGGAGGTTGCAGTGAGCCAAGATCGCGCCACTGAGCTCCAGCCTGGGCAACAGAGTGAGACTCCGTCTCAAAAAAATAAATAAATAAAAATTTAAAAGAAGAAAGCCTCCCCTGTCCCCCCCTCCCCCGCATCCCTCCAGGCTGGATAAGGTTTATAATTACTCATCTGACTGCCTTACTAGCTGTGAGCTCACTGAGGGCAGGTACTGTTCTACCCATCTCTCTTTCATTAATGTTTTTTGACTCACTACCATCTACTGGTCAGACTAAGCCTGGAATATTGTGCCCAGTTTTAGGACCCAGACTGATTAGTTACTGGGATGGCGAGGGGACTGGTAGCTTTGTCGTGTGGCTGATGGAAGGAAGCGCTCTTCCTTCAGCTATCCGGTGGGTTGTCACAGGCTCTGCAGAGCACCCTGTGTGACTCTGGAGAGAAGCGAGTGGCATGTCACTCAGAACAAGGAGGGGTTGTCTAAATTAAAACCATTTACAACCAACGGGTTGCTTTGGAGAGTAGTAAGTTAAGTTTCCCATCACCCAAAGCTCAGTGTGGACTTGTGAGGGCAGCTTCATTGGACACAAAAGTGGATTAGTGTCTATAGTTCTTTTCAGCTCTGAGATTATTTAGTGAGCATTTATTAGGCACCTGCTCTGTGCCAGGTTCTGACACAGGTCAAAAGTCTGCGAAAGGAGAAAGGCCAGGAAGGATGGACTAGAAGCATCTCAGACCACATCACAGTGCTGAGAACATTTGGGCCAGGCTGATAGGGTGTCCCCAAACCAAGGCTTCCCCCACAGAAGAGTCCTGTGTTGGGCAGGAATGGGCTGGCACTGGTGCCCCTGCCACATTCAGTCAGCGGCTGGGAGCAGCATGGCCTCTGTGCACCAGCTCTGCTCCCATAGCAGGTTCTCCTGCAGGGGAACTGAAGGGCGTGCTTCCATGGCTGCCACACAGGGACTCTAGAAAGCATTGCCCCTCACACAGCACCTTCCCAGAGTGCTCCCCCAGAATCATCTCAAGGGCTCTGTGGTCACCTTCCAGCAAATGGTAGAGCTGGGCACCAACTCAGATCCCTCTGATTTAATAAAACCCATGTTTTGTTAACCAAGACCATGCTGCATCTCAGGATCTCTCCTAGCTCCTGAGACAGCATCCAGAACACACACCTACTTGTCGACTGTCACAGTTAGCAACTGAGTGTACCAGAAGCAGTAAGTGCCAGAATTCAGCCCATCACTTGATTTATGGTTCATTTACATTGGGATAGAACTGTGATTTGACCCAACGTCTGTCTGGTTCTGTGTACAGTTTACTCTATCTTTTTTTTCTGGAGACAGTCTTACACTGTCACCCAGGCTGGAGTGCGGTGGCACAATCACAATTCCCTCTTTAAAAAAAAAAAAGAAATAAACGAGTATTGCTTTTTTAAATTTGGGAATTCTAATATGCTAGAGAAGATGTTAAAGATTATTAGGTTTATGAAGAGCCAGTGGGCTCCGAGAGACTTCCCCTGAATACCGTGGCAGGAGTTTTAGTGTATTAATTTTAGTAATGACTATTTTATCCTTTCAGGGGCTTCTCCCCTGCTTCTCTGTCATACTTTGAACAAATGAGGTTGCTTTACTACGTAAATGTCTTCAGCAAAGTATGGTGCAGCCATCTATTTATTTTGATTTATGTTGCATTTTTCTTTAGATCACCAAAATACTTCATTGCCTACATAGCTTATCTGATGCTACCCTAGCATAATACCATAAATGAAGCATTTTGTTGGATGTTGCAAAGAATATTATCTATGTCATATGCTCTAGAGTCAGACAGAAGTGGTTGGAAATCCCCAGTGTAATCACTGAATACGTGTATGAACTTGTATACATCTTTGCAAGTCTCTGAGCCACTTTTTTCTCATCTAAAAAAATGGAGAATGGAGGTAATAAATAGCTGCTTCATAAGTCATGAAGCTTAGATGCTTTAATAATGCATTCTCTCTCTCTCTCTTTTTTTTTTTTTTTTTCCGAGACAGTTTCACTCTGTTGTCCAGGCTGGAGTGCAGTGGTGCAATCTTGGCTCACTGCAACCTCCATCTCCTGGGTTCAAGCAATTCTTGTGCCTCAGCCTCCCGAGTAGCTAGGATTACAGGCATGTGCCACCGTGCCTGGCTAATTTTTGTGTTTTTAGAGGCAGGGGGCATCTCACCATGTTGGTCAGGTTGGTCCTGACCTCAAGTGGACCACCAGCCTCAGCCTCCCAAAGTGTTGAGATTACAGGCATGAGCTACCGTGCCTGGCCACATTCTCTTGTTTAATACAGTACATGGAATGTTGTGAACAGTTGGCAAATTATAATTGTAATTCCTTTCTTATTCAAGCAACTTCTCCCCTGAAAACAAAGTTGTGAGTCTTTTCCAAGCTGTTGAAAGTTTTGGCACAGAACCTCCTCTCCACTCTGCAAGCTCCTTAGAGAATGTAAGCTCATCACCTCACCAGGCAGTTCTTCCATAGATGTTGGAAGTTCTGGCAATTGGAAAGTTTCTTTATGTCAAGTAGCAATTGGCCTCTATTTCAGAAAAGGGCAAAGTCAACTTCCATCCACTGTAGCTGAGGCTGACACCAGTTTTTTCTTGCTCGGCAGTGAACAGAGTATCTGCCAAGCCCGGGCTTCCGTGATGGTCTACGATGACACCAGTAAGAAATGGGTACCAATCAAACCTGGCCAGCAGGGATTCAGCCGGATCAACATCTACCACAACACTGCCAGCAACACCTTCAGAGTCGTTGGAGTCAAGTTGCAGGATCAGCAGGTCAGTGCTGGAATTACAGATTATACCCGTGAGCCTGCGCACCACCTCCTCACCGCCCACCCCTTACACACATGTATCATTAAGAGGTCAGAACAAAAAGGTCAATATTCGGAATCAGAGGACCTGGGCTCAGATTTTGACTCCATATCCTCATAGTTCAAAGTATGACACCTTAAGCACACTGTTTCCTGGATTTCACTTTTTACCTATGTCATATGGAGACAGTAATCCGCACCCTGCCTATTTCACTGTGTTATTGTCAGATTAAAATAAATAATAGATGTGGGAAAGCTTTGAAAAAATAATATTGCAAAAATGTGTTCATCTTATTCATATGTAAGGTAGCTATTAAGATTTGGGGTTCATCAACCTTCTAAGTCTTACTTTAGAAAGAGTATCAAGATGGTTTGGAGAACCTGGGGTCATTTCTCTCCCTAATAGTTCAACCTAGGCAAATCAGATAAGATAGTTTGTGAGTGTACCTGGTAAATACCTACATAAATATGAGGGAACAATCATGTCCACCTGTGTCATGAATAGTCATATACACGTAATTAATGGCAAAATAGTCTGATGTGACATGGACTAAAATAGGGACATGGAGAAATAGGCTGGGCGACTTAACCACAGTGACTTTGGTTAGTTCGGTGCTCTCCCTCCAACTCTCTTCTTATAGATTGACAAGAGCATTTATAGCAGTGAATTTAACAGATCTGTGATTATAGCATTTGTGAAAAAGTCTATATAAACAGCATCTTGTGGCAGCCTTTGTGGGTCAAGCTTCAGCTAAGTTGAGCAGCAGGTTAGCTGCTATCTTGGAAAGAATCAGCGATCGGAAGAGAGAGAACAGAAACTCTGGGTTCTGTTTTTAGTGTGTTGCCTGTTGATTGGGTTTTTGCTTTAATCGAAATAGCCCTATTAAGTTTCATGATGCTCATGGCTAACAGAGACATCTCTACCCCAGGACCCCTGATAAAAGGTAGTCTTTCTGGCTGGGCACGGTGGCTCACGCCTGTAATCCCAGCACTTTGGGAGGCCAAGGCGGGTGGATTACAAGGTCAGGAGTTCAAGACCAGCCTGGCTAACACGGCGAAACCCCATCTCTACTAAAAAATAAAAAAAAATTAGCCGGGCGTGGTGGCGGGCACCTGTAGTCCCAGCTACTTGTGAGGCTGAGGCAGGAGAATGGCGTGAACCCAGGAGGCAGAGCTTGCAGTGAGCCGAGATCGCACCACGGCACTCCAGCCTGGGCGACGGAGCGAGACTCCGAAAAGATAGTCTTTCTAACCTTGAAATCTTGGTACCTCCAAAAGCATCCCTTTCCCTTGTTGATGAGCCTTAGTGGTATAATGGTATAAATGTCTTTCTAGAAACCTTCTAGAAGCTGCCTTCCTAAAATTCCAATTCACTAATTCTAGATCTGCCTTTCAGTGACACACTGTGCCACACGTTGCAGGATATACAGAACCTTTGGCCCCAATTATGGTGACAGTCAAAAATATCTCAAGCTTTCAGAACACCTAGTGGTTGGGGCTTGTGAGGGCAATACCTCCATGTCTTTGACACAAGGTCCACCTTGTGCAGTTCCTGAATCATAGTAGGTGTTCCATAAGTGATTGCTTTTATTATGACAAGTTTCCCATTCCCTTCCTGCCTCTTGGTTGCCCTCCAGGGCGTAGTAGGAAGACGGCATGGTGTACTGGAAAGGGCATGGGAAGGGAGAGCTCCCCAAAACCCAAACACCGCCTGTTCTCAGGGACCTCAGCACCTCACAGCCTCCTTCAGAGGAAACCACATGTTGAGAAAGAGACCTTTTCCCCACTCCGGGAGGGACTGACGGCAGTCTTCAGTGGTATCCTGTTTAAATTTGGAGGGCTGTGTTGATTCTAACTTAGAGACCTCCTAGAGTGTGATTGAGAAGTTCAGAGCACAGCCTCCCACTTGGAATCACATGTTCAGGAGACAGGCTATCAGACAGGATTGAGGATATCTCCCCACATGGATGGGGCATGTTTAGCTAGGAATAGAAAAGAGATTCTTGGTAAACCAAGACATTAGAGAAAATGGCAGGAAATCTGGTCCATAACAACTTTTAGGGACCTCAGTAGAAAGACTGATTTTCACAGATTTGGTTTTAGTCCGTGTGGGCTACCACCTTAAAGTGGTCAGACATGTTGAGAGAATCAAAGATTCCTGGTTTTATAACTAAATAGGGATATCTTACATGTTTAATGCTCTTTATGGTTAATGGAGCACTTTTCATGTCTATTATTTCATTCTCCCAGTAAGGATAATGGTACAAGAATTATCATCACCATTTTGCTAAATAGGTGGACATAAAACCAGGTAATCAGTTATGGAGAAAATATATAGTAAGTTATAGTACCATTAGCCAAAATCTAACCTAAATCTTACATTCAGGGTGACAAACCTAAAGGATTTTTAGTTGAGAATAAGTTTTGGTCACCAAAAAATGTGGCTGTTGCAGTGGCTCATGCCTGTAATCCCAACACTTTGGGAGGCCAAGGCAGGTGGATCACTTGAGCCCAGGAGTTCCAGACCAGCCTGGGCAACATAGTGAGACCCCATCTCTATAAAAAAATATATAAATTATCTGGGCGTGGTGGGGCATGCCTGTAGTCCCAGCTACTCAGGAGGCCAGGTGGGAGATTCTGTTGAGTCCAGGAGGTTGAGGCTTCAGTAAGCCGTGGTCGCGCCACTGCATTCCAGCCTGGGTGACAGGGCGAGATTCTGTCTCAAAAAACAAAAACAAAAAATGTTAGTGAGTTCTCAGGCTGAATTAGTAGAAGTAGAGTGAATTGATAGAAGTAGAATAAATTAATAGAGTAAATTAATAGAGGTGGAGCAAATTCATGGAGGCAGAGGTCCAGAAGAAGGGAGACTGCAGTCCTGCTCTGCTCTGCTCTGCTCTGCTCTGCGTGGGTCATTCTTCCCGCAGAATGCTGGGACTGCATCTGAGTACAACAAACTGGAATCTACAAGAAGAAGGGCATCCAAACTGGTGAAAGATCTGAAAGCGGGATAATATGGGGAACAATCGAAGGAGTAACAAGAGATATTTACTTGAAGAAGATAGAAACTGAAGGGGGCATGACTGCGATTTTCAAGTCTCTGAAGGGTTCCATGTGGAAGAGAAATCTCACTTTCAATGTGGACCCCGGAGAACAGACCTAGGAATATTGCGTGGATGCTATAATGAAGAAGATATTAACGCAGTAAAAGGATGAGCTTTCTTACAAGCATACTGTTGAAAGATGGAAAGTGTTACATTGCCAGCCTGAGAGGTAAGATTCTGGGAAAGACAGTTTGTCATCAAGTAGAGACTTGGATGAGATGAGACCTCCAAAGCCTTTGCCAGTCTGTAGATTCTGTAGTTTTTAGATCCAGGCATATATGGGGTCAAGAAGATAGTTCTCCACCATCAAGCATCTTTCTTTTTTGTAGAGGACTCTTGACTCTTTTTACCCAGAGGCCCCCAAAACATGTGAAGGCAGTACAGTCATGCACCTCTTAATGATGAGGATACATCCTGAGAAATGCGCCCCTGGGGGATTTTGTTGTCATGTGAGTGTGCTCACACAAACCTAGATGGTACAGCCTACTACACACCTAGGCTGTATGGTATAGCCTGTTGCTCCTAGGCTACAAACCCATACAGCATGTTACTGTACCGAATACTGCAGGCAGTTGTAACACAGTGGTATTTGTGTGTATAAATATACGTGAGCATAGAAAAAGTATAGTAAAAATACCGTACTATAGTCTTATGGGACCACCATCATATATGCAGTCTGTTGTTGACCAAAACATCATTATGTGGTCCATGATTATATATGGAGTTGCAAGACCTTCCTTTAAATGAAGAGGAAAGGCACTCCTACACTCCCCAGAATAAAACTTGTGTAAACGTTGTAATTATGGGCTCCTATGCAAAAAGTATGACATTTTAAAATGTTAATCCTTCAGCAAGTGTCCAGATCAGTCCTGCCAAACCTTGGAGAATTATTTTTAAAATAAAGCTGATAAGGAGATCCCAACGAGGCCTCCAAAAACAAAAAGTTGAAAGTAAAAAATTGGAAAAAGATAAACCTTACAAACACCAAAAGAAATTGATGTGGCTATGTTAATATCAGACAAAGCAGACTTTAAGGCAATAAGTATTCCTAAAGATAATGACAGACCTTTTTAATGCTAAAAGGGCAATTGAAAAAGAAGTCATAGCATCCCTACATTTGTATGAATCCATTCATATATCTTCAAAACACATAACGCAAAAATCTAAAGGGAGAAGAGACAAATTCAGAAGCATAGTTGGAGATTCTAATCATACCTCCAAGCTACTAATTGAATAAAGACATAGAAATAAGTAAAGACAGAAAACTTGAATAACATTATTAACCAACTTGAGCTAATTTTCATTTGTAGAAACTATAGCCAACAACTGTACGATGCATAGTCTTCTCAAGTAAACAAAACATTTACCAAAATAGACCATATGCTGGGCCATAAAGCAAGTGTCAAGTTAAAAAGGATGGAACTCACACAGAGTATGTTCTTTGACCACAGAGGAATTAAACCAGAAATTAGTAACAGAGGGTAACTTTTAAAATCTCCAAATGTTTGGAAATTAAGTGGTCTAATACTGGATGAACCATGAGACAGAAAAGAAATCACAGTGTAAACTAGAAAATATTTTGAACTGAACAGTAATGACAATATAACATAGCAATACTTGTGGGACGCAGCTAGAACAGTACATATGAGCCAGGCGCAGTGGCTCATGCCTGTAATCCCGGCATTTTGGGAGGCCAATGAGGGAGGACCACCTGGGGCCAGGAGTTTTGAGACCATCCTGGTCAATATAGTGGGACTCCAAAATCCACCTCTACCAACAAAAAATTTTTTAATTAACTGGGTGTGGTGGCATGTGCCTGTAGTCCTTGCTACTCAGGAGGCTGAAGCTGGAGGATCACTTGAGCCAAGGAGTTTGAGGCTGCAGTGAGCCATGGTGGTACTACTGCACTCCAGCCTGGACAACAAAGTGATAACCTTGTCTCAAAAAAAAAGCCCCAAAAAGTACATATGGGGAAATTTATAGCTATAAATGCATATATTAGAAAAAGAAGAGTATTTGAAAATCAGTGATCTATGCCACTATCTCAAGATGGTAGAAGAAAAATGAAAGCAAATTAAACCCAACAAAAGTAGAAGGAAGGAAAAAATAAAAACTAATGAAATAGAAAGCAGATGTATGATAGAGAAACACAAAATGTCGCGGTTTTTTTGAATGAGAAAGTTGGTTCTTTGAAAAAAAATTAAATTAATAAACCTTTATTGAGAGTGAGAAAGAGAAAACACAAATTGCCAATATAATGAATGAAAGGGGAAATCACTACAGATCCTATAAACTAAAAACATAGAATATCGTTAGTAATAACCTTGTGCCGGTAAACTTGACAGCTTAGATAAGATGGACATATTCCTTGAAAAACATAAAGAAGAAACAATGCCAGTCTTACATTACTCCTTCGGAGATGAGAGAAACAAAGCCTGCTTCCTATAATGTCTTCTTACAACCATGCTGTATAACCATGATACAAAAACTGCACAAAAACCTTACAAGAAAAGAAAATTACAAGTTATTATTTCTAATGAACAATAATGCAGTAAGTAAGCCTGAACAAACGATTAATGACTTGAATCTAATAATGTATTAAAAAGAAAATTTTGAAAAATAAGATTTATTCCAGGAATGCAAGATTGATTTAATGGAATAAAGCCGGAAAACCGTAAGGTCATCTCACAGATGGAGAAAAAGCATTTGGTAAAATTCAGTATCCCTTCATGATAAAAACTGAGGAAACTAGGAATTAAAAGTACAAAAGTGATTTATTTAATCAGATAAAGGGTATCTACAAACAACAACAAAACAAAAACCATAGCTGACGTCATAGTATCCCACTTTCCACCTGAATTCAAGAACAAGACAAGAATGTTCACTCTCACCTCTTTGATTTAGCAGTTGGAAAGGAAGAAGCAAAACCATCTCGCATTGCAGATGACTTAATAGTGTATGTGGAAAATGTGAAAGTAGCTACAAACTATTATAGTAATATAATAATATATACTAATATTATATTAAGTGAATTTGGCATGGTCACTGGATAGAAGATTGTGATATTATCATATATGTATTAGTTTTCATCGACGCTTCCTAGCTGGTAGCTCCCAGAGCCCTTATTAGAATGTCGGCGTGCTGCCCGCCTCAGAAAACAAGAGTCTCTCTCTGCCTTTCTCCTGCCCTCCTTTCACCTGCCCCTTTTCTCCCCAAGGCAGGAATCGTCCCCTGCTTTTCTGACTGGAAGCTGGTCTTAACGAAATTCCCTGACCTACCTTGTCTGATTGTGGGTGCTAAGACCCTCATTTCAGAATGGGTTCCGCCCCATATCCTAGAGGAAGGAATGCTACAGAGAGGCCGAGGAGAATCTGAATCAACAGGCCTTGCTGGGTTTCCCCACTCTGTTATTGTGAGATCATACCCTTTTTATCCAATCACATTTCTACACAGTGGTCAATCGTACCCATCCAGTAAAGTCTCCATAAAAGGACCAAAAAGGCAGAGTTGGGAGAGCTTCCAGAGAGCTGACCTGGTGGAGGTTCCTGGAGGGGGGGCAGGCCTAGGGAGAGCGGAGGAGCTCCATCCTCTTCCTGCATCCTTTGCCCTGTGCGTCTCTTATCTGCCCACTCATCTGTAGCCTTTCTTATGCCCTTTATTAAGAAACCCGTAAACCTAGGTAAACGGTTTCCCTGAGTTTTGTGAGCATGCTAGCAAATTCATCAGACCCAAGGCAGGGGTCATGATAACCATGATTTATAGCCCGTGGGTCGGAAGCACAAGTCACAACCTGCACTTGCGACTGGCATCTGAAGTTGGGGTAGTCTTGTGGGACTCAGCCCTCAACCCGTGGAACCTGATGCTGTCTCCAGGTGTATAATGTCAGAATTATAGAGGACACTTGACGTCTACTTGAGAATCTGCAGAATTGCTTGCTTGTTGTATGAGAGTAGAGAATAGAGGCTGGGTGCAGTGGCTCTTGACTGTATGAGTGTACAGCACTTTGGGAGGCCGAGGCAGGAGGATCACTTGAGCCCAGGAGTTCAAGACCAGCCTGGGCAACATAGCAAGACCTCGTCTCTACAAATAAAAAAGTTGTAAATTAGCTAGGCATGGTGGCACACACTTATGTCCCAGCTACTCGGGAGGCTGAGGCAGGAGGATCCCTTGCGCCCAGGAGTTTGAGGCTGCAGTGAGCCATGATCATGCCAGTGCACTCCAGTGTGGGTAACAGAATGAGACCCCATCTCATTCTAGGGTCTCAAAAAGAATAGGAAAAACACTTTAGTTTTTCTTATATCCTTACAAGTACATATGTCCACTAAAATATATGTATGAAAATGTTCATAACAGTTGTATTCATATCAGCCAAGAATGCAAAACTACCCATGTCCATCAGCAGGAGAATGGAGAAGTTGTGGTTAAAAAAATGGAATACTATGTAGCAGTCAATAAGAATTCAGCCAGACTCAGTGGTTCACACCCATAATCCCAACACTTTGGGAGACCGAGGTGGGCAGATCACCTGAGGTCAGGGTTTCAAGATCAGCCTGGCCAACATGGTGAAACCCCATCAATACTAAAAATACAAACATTAGCCAGGTGTAATGGCATGCACCTGTAATCCCAGCTACTTGGGAGGCTGAAGCAGGAGAATCGCTTGAACCCAGGAGGCAGAGGTTGCAGTGAGCTGAGATTGTGCCATTACACTCCAGCCTGGGTGACAGGAGCGAAACTCCATCTCAAAAAAACAAACAAACAAACAAAAAGAATGAAATATGGATATATGCGGTAACATGGTGAATCTCATAAAGATTGTGTTGAGGGAAATAAGCCAGAAACAAAAGAGTACATACCATATACCACAGGAGTCCATTTCTATGTAGCTTAAGAACAGACACATTTTGCCAATGGTGTTAGAAATAAGAAACATGGTTATCTCTACAAGTGAGTGTTGGGTGATGGGTACTAAATGAAGCAGCCTCACCCAAAAGTGGACTTGCAAAAATGCACGTGTTCAGGTGGATCCTTTGACTCACTCTAAGCAGAGTAAACAAAGAGGTGGAACCATTAGGTACTGAGATTTTAGCTGTTGGCTGGTCAGGTCTGGCAGTTAATAAACACTGGCCACCTCAACAAATGGTCAAGTGACATTGGCCTTGTGTCACTGCACATACATCCAAAACACATTGCACTGGACTCTCCTGTTTTAGAAGTCAATTTTCAAATAATAAATATAAATTTTGTAATGGTCATGTCTCTCTAGCCATTTGGCTTACAGGGATATATCCTGTAGAAATACATCTTCACAGGAATATTCAGTGCAGTATTATTTATAATATTATCTTCATCTTACATGTGAGGAAACTGATATGAGCAACTTGTCTAAGGTTATACAGCTGAAAAGTAATAACGCCAGGGTTTTAATGCAGAACCCTCTGACGTAAAACCCTCTGCTCATTCCTTGTACCTAGTATGCTTGTCTTCAAAGCAGTCATAGACCGTTGGGGGCTGTGTGTAGACACCAAACAGCAGCAGTTGGTGAGCAGCCTTTGTACTGCAGTTGTAGATAGAACAGAAACGGCAGGGCCAGGGGCCTTCAATCAGCGACCAAGCATGTGTGGCAGAGCCCAGAGAACTTACAGAACTGGGATACGTCCTCTAGAAAGGCTTCACTGCACTCTCTCAGTCCCATATCCTAAAACTTCCTGAGTTGGAAGTGATTTATGAGGCTCCAAAGGTTAGTGCTAGGACCAGAGAGGGAATTATAGGAAGAAGGATTTCAGCTCATTATACAACAGTCCTCCACTTAGCTGTGGCTTTGCTTTCTGAGGTTTCACATACCCAAGATCCACTGCAGGCTGAAAATATTAATTAAATGGGAAATTCCAGAAATAAGTCATAAATTTTAAATTATGTGCCATTCCAAATATTATAATTGTTCCATTTTATTATTAGTTATTGTTGTTAATCTCTGACTATGGCTAATTTATGAGTTAAATTTTATCATAGGTATGTATGTATAGGAAAAAACATAGTCTATATAGGGTTCTGTACTACCCACATTTCAGGTATCCACTGGGGGTCTTGGAACCAATTCTGCATGGATAAGCGGGGACTACCATACTGGCAACAAAAAAAAATCACGAAGTCCTCGGCTTCTAAATCCAATTTCCCCATTAGCTTACTGTGTAACTTTGGACAAGTCACTCATTCTCCCTGGACCTCATTTCCTGACTGTAAAAAGAGCGGATTGAGTTAGATAATCCCTAAGGTGCTATTTAGCCCCTTCAGTGGTTGTCTGCTGGCCATATTGTCCATATTCTGGATTAGGCGTCATCTGCCCCTCAATTCTCATTTCCCCCCCAAGAGCCACTTTGAGGTTTGGAAAAAAAGAAAAATTCTCACTCATCTTAAGTTCCTCTCTAAGAATGTAGCCAACCAGAGAGTTCAAATCATAGGGTTCTAGGCCAGGCCCAGTGGCTCATGCCTGTAATCCCAGCACTTTGGGAGGCCAAGGCGGGAGCATTACTTGAGGTCAGGAGTTCGAGACAGCCTGGTCAACATGGTGAAACCCTGACTCTACTTTAAAAAAAAAAAAATTGGATGGGGCATGGTGGCATGTACCTGTAGTCCCAGCTACTCAGGAGGCTGAGACAGGAGGATCACTTGAACCTAGGAGGTGGAGGCTGCAGTGAGCCAAGATCGTGCCACTGCACTCCAGCCTGGGCGACAGAGCAAGACTCCATCTTAAAAAACCATACTACGGGCCAGGCACGGTGGCTCACGCCTGTAATCTCAGCACTTTGGGAGGCCGAGGCGGGCAGATCACGAGGTCAGGAGATTGAGACCATCCCAGCTAACACAGTGAAGCCCCGTCTCTACTAAAAATACAAAAAATTAGCTGGGCGTGGTGGCAGGCGTCTATAGTTCCAGCTACTCTGGAGGCTGAGGCAGGAGAAACGTTTGAACCCGGGAGGTGGAGGTTGCAGTGAGCCAAGATCGCACCACTGCACTCCAGCCTGGGTGACAGAGCGAGACTCCGTCTAAAAAAACAAAACAAAACAAAACAAAAACGGTACTAAAAATTTTTTTTGTTTTAAATCAAGTCAAATCATAGGGTTCTAAATTTCATTTCCCCAGAATATCTCCTCACGTATCTGGAGACAGTAGTCGTGAGACACTAAAGTATCTTTTATCTTGCTTCAGTATCTCTTAACCATTCCTGATATAAGGTGGTTTCAAGACCTTCTTCAATTTTTAAAGCATTTTCCTCTGGCTTGCTTCAGTTTGCTACTGTCCACTAGAAATGCAACACCAAAAATGAAAACAAAAAACTTGAACACAGAACTTCTGATAGGGACTTACCAGGGCAGAATGGAGCAGGTTCTTCTCTTCCCTCATGCTGGTCACTGTACCACTGTTAATGTGTCCTATAATCTAAAGAGCTGTTTTCACAACAGTTAACTTTGCTGGTTCTTATTATTTGGTAGTTATTAGTTACTAGTTATTATTTGCTAGTTCTTATGAGTCCTTTTTCTGATGACCTATAACTAAACCTAGTCACCCCCAGTCTAGTTCTTTTGGTTTAGCTGTGTGTGCATGTGAATCTATACCCCTGGCACAAAGAGCAAAAAAACAGAGAACTACCCTGGAACTTGTGTGTAGTTGTTGGCCAAAATATGTGCCTGTCAATATGTAACAATTAAGTTGTGAAACAATTACAGGTTTTGTTGTTGTTGTTGTTGTTGTTTGAGACAGAGTCTGGCTCTGTTGCCCAGGCTGGAGTGCAATGGCGCAATCTCGGCTCACTGCAATCTCCACCTCCTGGGTTCAAGCGATTCTCGTGCCTCAGCCTCCCAAGTAGCTGGGACTACAGGCACCCACCACCATTCTCGGCTTATTTTTGTATTTTTAGTAGAGACGGGGTTTTGCCATATTGGCCAGGCTGATCTTGAACTTCTGACCTCAGGTGATCCGCCCACCTTGGCCTCCCAAAGTCCTGGGATTACAGGTGTGAGCCACCATGCCCAGCTTCAATTACGTTTTTTTAGCTGATTTAGTGTACTGTGTGTGTGTCCCCTCTTTCCCTGCCTGTGCCTGTCATAGGAAGACCCAAGCCCACCTTCCACCCAAGACTTGGAAAACAGCTTTTCTGGATGTCACTCATGTTTGCTGTCCTCTGGCTTTACCTTATCCAGCAGCACAGCAGTGTGGAGCAATAAAGGAAAGTGATAAATCAGCATAGAGAGCGTTATCCCCAACCTCAGATCACACAGTCCTTGCAACCTTAAAGCCAGACAAAATCTGAGAAATCATCTTGTACTTCTAAAGCAAAATCCTTTCCATGGCGTCTCTAAGAGCTGGCTCTCCGGCCTCATCCAGACTCTGCTTGCATACTTCCATTCGTAGAGATCTTCATATTTCTCCATTCAGTCACTGGCAGCCTACCTTGTGCCAGGAGCTGTGTCAGTTACTTTCTCATATATAATTTAATCCTCACAACACACTGTGAGGGTGCCATGCCATAGCCATATCACATTCTTCTCCATTTGACAGACCAGAAAACCGATCATTCATAAGTGTCATGATGTTAGATCATCTGACTCCAAGCTAGAAGGGATGGGAAGCAGAATGAGGGCTCCAGCCCCAGCATCTTTTCCTCCAGGGCACGACTTAGGAATATAGTCTTAAAGTACTTTGAAATAATCTTCTTTTAAATCTCTGAAAGAGCAGAAGTTTAGAGGTCAGGCAGACCTGGTGTTGAATCCCCTAGCAGCTTGTAAGCACCTGAATGTCTGGATTCTGTCGTCTCTGTATCCTTCCCTGCTGGGCCTGGCATTGCTCCTGGCAGTCAGTTGATGCTTTTTGATTGAGTAATAAGATATGAATAATGCTGTATACATGTGTGGTACATAAACTTTCCCAAGTTATTCTTTCGACACATAGCCCACTTATTAATGCATTCAAAGTACTAGACACTATGCAGAGGGCTATAGGAGGCATAAATATGAATTATAGAAGACTTGCCCTTAGGAGCTTTATATCTAGAAGGTAAGCTATAAATAAGATACGTATCACAATGTGATCTTCGCAGTAACCCCATTGGATTGGTAAAGCCAGAATTATTATCCCCATCTTATAAGTGGAGAAACTGAGCCCCAGCAAAGTGCAGTGACTGCCATGAGTGGAGTGGCTGAGAGGCAGGGCCAAACCAGAGCCAGGGAACCTGCCTCCCAGCTCAGCTGTTCATCTGGAGGTTGTAACTACATAGCATTATTAGTTAAAGGAAAGAACAGGTTTTGCAAACCCTCACTGTTCTATAGATTATGGTCTGAAAGTCTACCTGATATTGCTTTTCCCTTCTTCAAACCCCATCCCCATCTTCCTGTCCTCTCAAGGATACAGTATACTTGCTCCATCGCAGCGCCCTCGAGCTCACTTACATTTTATTTATTTACACGTATTTCTCTCTCCTTTCTCCTCCAGGTTGTGATCAATTATTCAATCGTGAAAGGGCTGAAGTACAATCAGGCCACGCCAACCTTCCACCAGTGGCGAGATGCCCGCCAGGTCTACGGCTTAAACTTTGCAAGTAAAGAAGAGGCAACCACGTTCTCCAATGCAATGCTGTTTGCCCTGAACATCATGAATTCCCAAGAAGGAGGTAAGTAGGGCTTTGTCTTGGCCTGATGCTGAGACCCTCTCTTGTTCTACCTCTGCCCTCCCACAGCTCTGGCTCTCCGGGTATCCTAGCACTGTCACTGCATTGAGCTGAGGTTGCATGTGTTCTCAGAGAAACCTGCTGCCTGCCTTTAGATTTAGAGATATTAACAATTCAGAGGAGGAAAGAATGGAGTTTGTATCTCTTTGCCACTTGTGAGATATAGATTTGTACAGATGTGTCCCTGAAGCCACATATCCAGATCTGTTTTAAACTTGCCATCCTGTTTCCATATTCCAGAGCAAACATTTGAGAGAGATGGGAGAAAACAGTCAAGAATTTATTTTTGAATTTAATTATTCATTCATATGTTTAACAAAAGTTTATTAAATGCTTACTGAGGGCAAGAAACCGTGTAGGCAAAATAGATAAGAAATGAACAGCGGCCTTCCCCTCAAGGCATTTAGTTTTTCATGGTAGACAGGTTCATAAACAGCTAACTGGAATGTATTGCAGTAAGTGTTTAAATAAAGGTACGTGCAAGGTACTTAGGGACCACAGAATAGGACATAAGTAACTGCCCTTCAGAGCCGCCAAGGGAGACCTCCACAGTGGTGGTGCCGTCTGAGCCGGAGTTCTGGGTGAGCAGTTCACAGGCAGAGGCAGGAGTGGGCATCGCAGGCGGGAAAAGCAGCAAAGGCAGAAGGGCCTGAGTGAGCCCGTAGTGCTGGGAAGAGGGCGATGCAGCATTTCTGGGGCCTGGAGTGCAGATAGGAAAGAGATTGGAAATGAAATTGGAAAGGCATCAGGGCTTGCACAGTGAAAGGCCCCAAATACCTGGAAGACTTTGGGCTTGCTTGATACTTAGGGTAGACATTGGGAGAGGGGCTAGCAAAAAGTTTCTCAGCAGGACAGTTAAAGCAAAGAAGCAGAATTACATGTGGCTTTTATTGGACATTTGCAGTGGTAGCTTTGGAGGGAGAAACAAGGCTTTCCCAGGATGGGTGTCTTGATTGACTGGGTTATGGTCCTGCCATCGGCTGGAGAGCCTACCTTGGGAGAACTTGGTAGTTAAGAACCAGGCATGGAGTCACACTGGTCAGTTTGAGTCCTGGTTCTGACATATGCTAGCAGAGGAACTCTTGAGCAAGTTACTGAATGTTTTTGTGCCTCAATTTCCTTACCTATAAAATCGGGGGATATAGAGTTGTTTTTACATTTAAATGAACTAGAATGTAAAATGTTTCTCAGGTTGCCTGGCCTAGTAACAACTCTATTAGCATTTGTGAGTATTATTACGATCATTATTGTTGCTGCTGCTGTTACTGCTATCAGAATTGAGGTGGGAAATGAAGAGACATAGTACTCAGAACCTGGAGGGCTGTGGCATTTAAATATCTACTGGCGCCAGGCGTGGTGGCTCAGGCCTATAATCCTAACACTTTGAGAGACCAAGGCAGAAGGATCACTTGAGGTCCGGAGTTCAAGACCAACCTAGGCAACATAGCAAGACCCTGTCTCTACAAAAAAAAAAAAAAAAAAAAGAAAAAGTGTGTACTGGGCCTGATATATTGGAGCTTTAGGACCCAGTTTAAGTGTTAGGAGATCTGGGCATTGTGGTGCATGCCTGCAATTCATGAGGCTGAGGTAGAAGAATCACTTGAGTCCAAGAGTTCGAGTCCAGCCTGGACAACATAGTGAGAGCCTGTGTCTTACATACAAACACACACCCACACACACACACACTGTAGGAGAGTTTTGTGGTTTTTTTAAGTAAATAAAGAACATGTTTTGAACATGCTTCCCATGGGTCGTGCGTAGAGCAGGTACTGGCAGCTTTCCCTATCTTGACAATGCTCCAAAGTTTGTAGATTTTCTGCTTAGTACTTGGAGAGCATGGTAAGGAAGCATCTTAATCATGGCAGTGTTGAGTGATGAGCACAGGGCCTGAGGCATCGTAAGTGCCCAGCAAATGTTTACTAAACTGTCTGTTTCCACCCAAGAGCCATGAGGTGAATTTAACATTTCCGTCTGAACTTACCTCGCCTGCCTCCAGGATGTGGGAGTTAAGCTTTTTTTTTTTTTTTTAATTTTATTTTAGTAGAGACAGAGTTTCACTATGTTGGCCAGGATAGTCTTGATCTCCTGACCTTGTGATCCGCCCACCTTGGCCTTCCAAAGTGCTGGGATTACAGGCGTGAGCCACTGCGCCCGGCCCAGCTTTATTTTACTTGTACATGCAGATACTTGTAGTTTTTATTTAATTTAAGTGGTTGGTCTGAAAGTGCTTTTTTTTTTTGCCCCCAAGGTAGCTTTATTTTACTTGTACATGCAGATACCTTGGGGGCAAAAAAAAAAAAAAAAAACACTTTCAGAGCAAGTGCTTAAATTAAATAAAAACTGCTAGTTATTTTATTAAATTCACCAGAGAATCACAGGTAAATCTGTTAATCCTGCCCTCATTTTCAGATAAGAAAGCCATGCCGCATTATGAGGAAACAACTTCTCGTTGTCAGATAGTAAGATCCAGAACCCGACCTCCTACATTCCCTGGGGTTGAATGAGTGTCTTGTTGAGGCGGGGGCGGGAGACATCAGCTAGTTTGGATGTATGCATACAATGTGAGAGTACCCCAATTTGAAGCTTTCATGAGGAGGAACAGTTAGTTGTCCACTCTGGTTCAGCTGGTAGTGACCTCCTTTGCATGGACTGCAGGTCCTGCAGCCCACTGACGAATAAGCTTTTGCTTCAGCCGAGGTCCAAGCCTACTGACAATACCATGCGCAGATAAGCAGATGCAACTTGATGAACTGTTAACACGTGTGTGCGCAGTTCCCAGTGCCAGACCGAGAAAGAAAATGTAGTCAGCACCAAAAGGCCCTCCCCGCAGTCCCTGCACTTAAGAATAGATACGAAGTCCACTTTTGTTTTTGTTTTTGAGCGTCATGTAAATGAAATCATACAGTGTGTATGATTAGCTTGGCTTGTTGGCATGTGTCTGTAGTCTCAACTACTTGGGAGGCTGAGGTGGGAGGATTGCTTGAGCCCAGGAGGCAGAGATTGCAGTTGCAGTGAGCCAAGATTGCACCACTGCACTCCAGCCTGTGTGACAGAGCAAGAGTCTGTCTCAAAAAAAAAAAAAAAAAAAAAAAAATGGAAGTATGAACCTTCCAACATTTATGTGGCTAAGGTACTCTGCCGAGGACCATGCAAAGATGTGCCATAATGTAAGCACCATCTACTTTTAAACATGTTGGTTGTCCCCATTTTCCACGATTATCCTCATGTGGTAGAGGGCATTCTTGTTATTTTTATGTGTATGTATACTTTGTATCTCATGTGTCCATATTCGCATGCTTGTCCAGTTATTTTCCTTGGGCATGTTTCTGTGTCAAACAATATATGTGCTTTTCAAGTTTTGGGTCCGGGCATGGTGGCTCATGCCTGTAATCCCAGCACTTTGGGAGGCCGAGGTGGGCAGATCACCTGAGGTCAAGAGTTCGAGACCAGCCTGGCCAACCTCGTCTCTACTAAAAAGACAAAATTAGGCCGGGCGCGGTGGCTCACACCTGTAATCCCAATACTTGGGGAGGCCAAGGCAGGCAGATCACCTGAGGTCGGGAGTTCCAAGACCAGCCTGACAAACATAGGGAAACCCCATCTCTACTAAAAATATAAAATTAGGCATGATGGTGCGTGCCTGTAATCCCAGTTACTCGGGAGGCTGAGGCAGGAGAATCGCTTGAACCCAGGGGGCGGGATTACGGTGAGCTGAGATTGTGCCATTGCACTCCACTTTGGGCAACAAGAGCGAAACTCTGTCTCAAAAAAAAGAAAATTAGCTGGGTGTGGTGACGCATGCCTATAATTCCAGCTACTCGGGAGGCTGAGACAGGAGAATCACTTGAACCCAGGAGGCAGAGGTTGCAGTAAGCCGAGATTGTACCATTATGCTCCAGCCTGGGCAACAAGAGTGAAACTCCGTCTCAAAAAAATAAGTAAAAATTAGAAAATAAAGTTTTGGGAAGTCTTGCCAAATGCCTTCTAGCATGACTATACTGGTTTACACGCTGTCCAGCACAAGACAGTTGCCCACTCCTCAGACTTCATAATTCATAAGCACTAGGCATTAGTACTCTCATTAATCTTTGTAAACACAAGAGAAGGGAAACATTTTTATTTGCATTTTTCTTTTTTTGGGAGGATGGAGTCTCGCTCTGTCACTCAGGCTGGAGTGCAGTGGCACTATCTCGGCTTATTGCAACCTCTGCCTCCTGGTTCAAGTGATTCCCTTGCCTCAGCCTCATGAGAAGCTGTGATTACAGGCGCCCACCACTATGCCTGGCTAATTTTTGTATTTTTAGTAGAGACGAGGTTTCACCATGTTGGCCAGGCCAGTCTCAAACTCCTGACCTCAAGTGATCCGCCCACCTCAGCCTCCCAAAGTGCTGGGATTAAGGTGTAAGTCACCATGCCCGGTCTGACTTGCATTTTTCCTTACTGGTAAGGGTGAACATTTGCATACATTAGTAGGCAATTTCATCTTTTCTGTTATTTTTATCAGTACCTTTGACAAGTGCAGCGCAGCATAGAGGAACACAGCCTCCTTGCACCTTTTGCTATATCTGCATAATTTCCCTCTCCCCAGGTGCGTGCATCCTCTAATGACAAAGCAACCTTGTATTTCCTTCCACAAATGAATGGAGGCAGCCTAACGTCATGTGGTATGTTCCAGGCTCATGATAGAGGATAAGTACACCTCCTTGGCTGTCAGGTGACATCTACATTGTCTACATTTTAGGAGTTGTTATTGTTATTCGTGTTTGTCATTCCTTGGACCTTTCCTTCTGCTGGAGAAACTTCTTGTTTAGCTTCTAGAGCCATGTTGGTGGGTCACAGATTCCTTGGCTCTTCCTCGTCTGGCTTCTGAAAGAGACGCCATCTGGTGTAATGATGGGGAAGGGAGAGCTAGCAGCTAAGAGACCTAGATTCCTCCAGAAGTGCCAGAGGGAGGGTTGGCGTTTTTCTCCCATGCTGGCCCCTACCCACCCGTTCCTCTTCTCTCCTTAAAGGGCAGTTCTGACCAGAGTATTTCTCTGCTGCCTGCTGATCTTGGCACCCACCATCATACTGTCACCTACTTTTAAAAATGGACATAAAGGGTGGGCACAGTGGCTCACGCCTGTAATCCCACCACTTTGTGAGGCTGAGGCGGGCGGATCACAAGGTCAAGAGATCAAGACCATCCTGGCCAACATGGTGAAACTCTGTCTCTACTAAAAGAAAAAATACAAAAATTAGCTGGGCTTGGTGGCGTGCACCTCTAGTCCCAGCTACTTGGGAGGCTGAGGCAGGAGAATCGCTTGAACCCGGAAGAAAAAGGTTGCAGTGAGCCGAGATCGCCTCACTGCACTCCAGCCTGGCAACAGAGCAAGACTCCGTCTCAAAAAAAAAAAAAAAAAGACACAAATCAGAGGCAAGATTCTGTGGCTCTGGGGCTTAAGAGGTTGTCATTTTATATTTTCCCAGAGAGTTTTTTTTTTTTTTTGAAGGAAAAGGATACCAAAAGTGACAAGAGCACACAGGGAGCTTTCAGATGAGCTTGTGTTTTTGTTTTCTAAAAATATGCAAACAGTAGAAAGGCACACAGCCAAGGACAGATGTAGAAAAGTCAGCGTCCTGTAGGGATTGGATGCCAAGCTTTTCAAATATTGTTCTCTCCCTGGAATGTTTTCTTACCATCTCTGCTTATCAACATCCTCCCCAGCCCTCTGGATCCAGCCTAGTGCTCTCTCAGCAAAGCTTTCCTCCTCCTTCAACTTCTGTCTCCCCGCTTGGCCTCCTGGGACACTTGGTTTCTGCCTCTCTTTATCCATTTCCTCTTCATTTTGCCTGCTCATGTACTGATCTTTCCTCTCCTACTGGGTTTCCCTTTCTCTGGGAAGACTTCTGTGGCCCCCCATGCCCACCCCAGGTGAGGATGAGGCGCCCCTTCTATGTGCTCCCCATGCTCCCCATTGCCATTCACCACTTTGTAACATTAAGGCCCGGCTGCTGTTTGGTCTCCCACAAGGCTGTTGTGAGAGGCAGAGACACAGCAGCTGACCTGGATCCCCATTGGATCCCAGCGCCCATCACAGTGCATGATGCATCCACAGACCCAAAAGAGCTGTTGAGTGTTGAGTGCATAGATACAAGCTCCTGAGGGCAAGGAGGTATGTGCTTTTCTCTGCGTTTTTCACATCCCGGCACCCAGGGCCCTGTGTGCTGTGGGTATATGCATGCACGTGCTGCAGGAGGGTGCGTGTGAGCGTGTGTGTGTGCATATGTACTTATTCTGAGCAAGTTACTTGATCTCCCTGTGCCCCAGTCGCCTGACCTGTACCTGCCCGTTGGTTGTTCTGAGGACTAACTGTGATCATCCCTTTAGAGTGCTCAGGACAGTTCCTAACACCAAGTAAGTGTTTGGTAAATAGTTGCTGTCTTTTTAAAACCCACTGTGACCTTTTCAGGTGGCACTGGGCCGGGGACAAGTACATAGTCTACCTCTGCATTCAGCAGCCCCAGGGGACTTGACTTTTGAGTTCTTCTATTTATTATGATGGTGGTGGTTTAAATCTTCTTCCTCTCAGGCAGACCTTCAGCCGTTACTTTTCTTTTTCTTTATTGTAATATCTGGTCCTGAAAGCTGAAAGTCATTACTTTCATTGTTGATCAGATCTCTGGCTTTAGCTTCTCCTTTTCTCATATTGGATTAATTGGTTATTTATGTGGATAATACTGTCTCAAAGCATGAGTTATTCTCTGGGTTGTGCCTCCTAATTGGTGAAGGTGGCCACTTGGTTTATTTGAGACAATTCTAAGGAATAAGGAGCTCTCCACACTAGTGTGAGGGCCCCAGGGCAAAAGATGTTTTTCTGCTCCTCAGAAAGTTCTCAGAGAACTTGGCAAGGTTTTTATAAACCCTGCAAAGCTCCCGTTATGATGGGGATGAGGTAGTTCTGCATTAAAAATAGTCATAACAGTTACCAGTCCTCATAATAATTTTTATTGGAACTATCAGAAGTCTGAGTGCCTATTTGAGAAAGAGTTTCCTTGGATGAATCACTGCAGGAACATGAGAAAGAAACATGGCACTGTGAGATCAAATGTGTAGATAAATAATCCCCCGCTGAGCTGCAGTCACAAGTGAATTTAAAGATAGGAAGGGTTTTAGGGGTATATAATCCAGTTTCTCCTCTCTTTACTTTTTTTTTTTTTTTTTTTTTTTTTTAACTTTTGGAGCTACTCCTGTAGCTGAAGGAGAAGAAGGGATGGGAGCTGGCCTCACAGAGGGCTTTGTAGAGCCACGGGGCCCCAGGGTCAGACCTTGTGCCGGTCATGCCAACATCCAGGGCCACCTCCTTGCTGCTCCATCTACTGCCTCCTGTTGGGCAGCTGCAGCCAGTGCCCTTGGCCCTGCATGTTTACTCAATCATGCTACTTAGCATGTTTTATTCAGGACACCTCTTTGGTACCAGCATCCCTACTAGCACGCTAGTCCTGTTGGGAGCAGGACCTGTGTTGTCTCAGTCATCCCTGCCTCTCTAGAACAAGTACAGAGGCGACACACCACGGGGACTCAGGATATGTGTGATAACTGCATGAGCCTTTTCACCTTTTGAATCTCAGCAACCCTCTAAGAACAGGGACCCCAATTCTAGCCTTCCAGACTGAGACTCAGGAGGCCTGGCTCTTGCCCTAGTCCCACCATCTGCTGACTGTGTGACTTCATCAGGTCTAGTGACATTTTCGAGCCTCAGTATCCTCATTTGGAAGACAGAGTACTGATTGTCCTCCACAGTCTTTTGCCAGGCAAGGCGCCCTTCAGGGTGCCGGGTAAGCTGTCATCTGCTTGGTAAGAGGTCATGGTGTTGAGGTAACCAAGAGACCTGGGTGCTAGACCTGGCTGTGCTCTTTCTTTGCATGTGCCTTGGGCAACTCATTTCCCTTTCTTGGACCTTGGTTTCTTCGTCTGTGAAATGTAGGTGGTTATCCGTGGCATGTCTGTCTCGCAGCATGAGAGTCCAAGGGGACGATGGCTGTAGAAGTATTTGAGACAGACAGCCTAGCACAAGCAGGAAGGGCTGTGATGGTGACTAGCAGTAAGTAGTAGTGGTTGTAGCAGCAGCAGCCGCTTGGCCACATCCCAACTGAATAGGGAACATGCCTCCCCTGCCACAGTGTCTGAAACTCTGCAGAAAGTTTGACTGTCCATGAGCTTCCTTGAGTCGGGGGAGAACCTGCCCTGCAAGCCGGGAGGAGGCTCTTGCCCCCACTCAGCCTTTGCCTCGCATGTGGCTTTAGTTACGTTTTGTCTTCTTTGTAGGTGTTGATGTTCTAGACTCTGAAATGGCAGTGTCAGACCAGACAAGAAGCTCTCACCAGAGACAAAGTGGAAACGGAGAGCTGTTGGCGATTTAGGGGACAGCGGGGACAGGTGCACATTGCAATGTGCAGGATCATCCTGCGCAGTGAAGTCTTGTCTTGCGTGTCCCACCAAAACATGCAGTTGAAAAACTCAAGCCAGAGCTTGCTCTGTTTTAAGAAAAAGCACTTATTTTTTTAACCAGGTTTAGTATGTGCTGAATTTTCTAGGAATTTGACTACTGCATCCGTCAAAAGAAAATCATACTTAATTTTGTTTGTAACTTTACCAAGAGTTGTTTTCTGTTTCGTAAAGTCCTATCTCCAGCATCGTCACTGTGACGTTTCAGTCATCCATAGACCTCCCCTTCGTCACATCCCATTTGCAGCAGCAGCACTCCCAGTGGGTCTGTGGGTAGGTGCAAGCGTGGACCGCCTCCGTCTCCTAGTGTAGCTGGGTCTGGCCCTTTATGTGTTGTAATGCACATTTTATTATAGACTGCTTCTCTTTTCTCTCTCCTTTGCAGTACATGTAAGGCATTATATCCGAATTTAGGTAGGTAGGTTATGTAATCTATGAATTTCACTTCAGGATAATGCAAGGATCATTACAAAACATTATAATAAAAAGAGGACCATCGGGCCTGAGAGGGTTGAAGTTTTGTGAAACTCGGGCTGGTTCCTTCCTGCATTGCATCTGTGTCTTGCCTGGTTGTCGCTTAACAGTGCCATGGAGATAGCACAGTGTCTGTCTCATTTCACAGCCAGGAAAACTGAGCCCCAGAGGGAGGAAGTTTGTACTTGGCCCAAACCACTTCCTGATATGACCCAGTCAGGAAGAGAAGCCAGGATGAGAACATGCTCCTCTTCTCCTCCAGTGCCTGGAAGTGTGGTGGGAGCAGCTTGGTCTAGCAGGAAGAGTGCATGTCCTGGAGCCGGGCTACGTTGGGTCTGTGTGACCCTGAGCAAGTCACCTCCTCCATCAGCAGGTGGAATGACACCACAGGCCCGTGGCAGTTCACATGACACGAAGATGCCCGGTGCCTGGTATGTGGCCTTCAGGGCCGTGCCCCATGCTGCTCCTCTTTTTGTCCCCACATCCAGCAGTTTTCCATTAAACCACTGTAGGTCCTCTCAGAACTTACTAGAGTCATCGTGTCATCGTCTCCCATTACTCCAGGAGAGCAGGGCCCTGGTGGCACTTGAGGCAAGACCCCAAGCTGATGGCACTCGACCACATAGTGGGAGTGAATTTTAAAGAAAATCCCCCTCAAAGCCTCTGCTGGTGTAGAAGGCAGATAGTCTAGGCCGGGGTAGGGCCAGTGAGTGGGAGCCAGGGAAGGAGGCTTGGGTGTCATGAGACTGGGTTTACATTTACAGATGACAAAACCAAGACCCAGTGAGGGGGAGGATGTGTGCAGGCCACAGGACAAGTCTGAGCAGAACCATGGCCACGCCCAACGTTCCTCCACTAGCATTCCCTCATGAAAGATCACTTTTTCCAGGCCAAGGACCAGAAAAGGACCAGGCTTTAGGAAGAGGGCCGAGGTGCATGGAAAGCAGTGCTGGTGAGGAGAGGGTTGAGTAACTGGATTTTGACTGTTTCTTCGCATTTGGTTCTCACTAATGAAATCTTGTCAGACGTGCCCCTGCTGCTGGATTGGGTGGGGGTGGGACAGAAGCATGTGTGGTCAAAGGCAAGTTTATTTGCAGTTTGGGGGTTGAATGCAGTGGATTTCAAACTGGATATTTTGAGGAGTTCCAGGGGTCCACCAAGGTATACCAGGGTCCTCGCCCTGATGCAACCAGAGTAGTTCTTCATCGACTTTATACAGTGGGACTCTGAAGAAAAGAAAAAGGAAAACCCCATAGCTTAGTGGGAATCCGGGCGAATTAAAACACAGGATGAAGTGCTTGTTCTCTTTGGCTCTTGGAGCATAATGTATGTCCTTTTCCTACTTGGTTTGCGTGTAATAACATCATTGGTATATTTCAAAATATGAAGCTCCTGGTGCTGGATAATAAATGTTTTCCCAGTTTTTCAACCTCTTATGTCCTTCATTGATGCCCAGTGGCCCAGGGGCTGCACCTTCAGCACAGTGTTGAGAAAGAGCCCCGGAAAGGGACTTACAGGCAGACCTTCCCGGGAAGAGTCAGGCCCAGCTCCATGTGCTCTTTGGAGGGGAGTGGAAGGTTGTTAAACCTCATAGCTCTTGGAGGTGGGGCTGAATTTTGCTTCTTGTAAACCTCTTTCCATTGGAAATTACCTCTTTCTCCCCTAAAGAGAAGGAAGTACTGGACTGTCTTCATCTCCCTGGCTGCCGAGGCCATTTGACACCTTGTGCCACCTGAGAGAAAGCAGGCCCAGCATGGCCCTGCCTGAGGGGAACAGGACGGCAAGCCCCTGGCCTCCTGCCTGCTCCCAGCTGCCCTCTGGCGGCCACTTTCTGAAAGCCGGATATGTCTCTTTGCTGACCCACCCCTGTTCTCACCCCAGGGCTCCAGATGTTGTATCAGGCAGGGCCTTTGTACGCCTCCATGCCAACAGCTACCCAAGTCGCACCGTCAGTCACACTCTTACTCAGGCTCTCCTGTGCCCCTGGCCCTTCTTCCCCTCTCACTTTTCCCCACACTTCTAAAATCTCACTCGTCCTGTCAGAATGTGGCTCCACAGATGGAGCCTTTCCCAGCCGCCCCGCTCCCTGTGACTTTGCACTCCCTCCTGCACTCCCACGGGGCTTTATTTTTGCCTCTGTCCTAACAGTCAGCTGCCACTTGGCCTGTCCTGCTATTCCCACTGCATGAATCTAGTCAGGTTGGAAATTCAGAAAGTGGCCTCTTTGTCTCTGGACCCCAAAAACCCACACATCGTCTGCCTTATAAGCTCTCAGTATATCCATCCCTGGCTGCAGGAACACACCAGGACCCAGAGGCTGCCGTGCCTGGAGCCCTGTCTCCTGACTCAGCCCAGGCCCCAGCTCAGCATCGAGGTCCTGTGGGACCATGTCCAGCAGTGAAGGCTGTGCATTGGCCTGAGCCCCTGGTCCCTCTGACTCACTGGCTCCCATTTTCACCACCTGCACTGCATATTCTCACCGTCTCTCCCCTGACACTCTCTCCCCTGAAGTGTTGTAATGGGGTTGTAACCCATCCACCTTCTCTTGTCCTTCTTCAGTCTGTCCTCCCTGGGCTGCGTCTAAAGGGGCCCCGCCCCTGCCCTCATGCATGTTCTCTCCATACTCCTGGTCACCTTCTGCTCATCCTTTGCCCTGCTGTTGTGAAGCCTTCCCAGTGCCCCAGAAGACCTCAGGCACCCCTTCCCAGTCCTCGCACACTGTTGGTGTCCCATTTGTTTGGACCCTGGGTTTGTTTGTCTAGACTGTGAGCTCCTCGAGGGCAGGTGTCTGTTTCTGTGTCTCGGGAGCCCTGAAGAGAGACTGACACATCAGAGGTGTCTGGTGACTGAACAAGCTCCCAGCTTGCGCCCATGTCATATTGTGTGCCTCTCATAGCCTGGCACTTCCTGCCATTGCATCCTTCTCTGCAGACTAAGATGGAGTTCCTGAACCAAGACCGCTTGCTGGCCAACCTGTGAAACTGGGCTCAAGGTGAGGGGTGCTATCTGTGATTGAGGGACATGGTTAATGGAATTGTCTCACACAGAAATCGCACCCGTCACCTTGGCCTACTTATCACCACCCCAAACAGAGGAACACGCCTTCTCCAGCCACAGCCTATGGAAGGGCCTTCAGCTGCTGTGGCCCCGAGGTGTGCATACTGTGGAAGGAACTTCGGACGTGAACTCGGATCTGGTTCCAGTACCAGCTGTGCCAGGAGTGTGCCCTTGGGCATGTCACTGACCTAAGACTCAGTTTCGCCATCTGTGAAATGGCTGAATCAGACTCACCTCACAGGGTTGTTGTGAGGGTACCATGAGATGATGTTTGTAAACATTCTTTGTCACCTCTAAATTACTATAACAGTTTGAAGTTACTCTTTTTAAAAAAATTATTTGCAAAGGTAACTAACAATATCAGCCGTGCACAGTGGCTCATGCCTGTAATCCCAGCACTTTAGGAGGTCAGGGGATCACTTCAGTGTGAGAGTTCGAGACCTGCCTGGTCAACATAGCAAGACCCTTGTCTCTACAAAAGCATTAAAAATTAGCTAAGTGTGATGGCGTGTGCCTGTGGTCCCAGCTACTCAGGAGGCTGGGGTAGCAGAATTGCTTGAGCCCTGGAGTCTGAGGCTGCAGTGAGCCATGGTTACACCACTGCACTTCAGCCTGGGCAACAGAGCAAGACGCTGTCTCAGGAAAAAAAAAAAAAGGTAACTAACAATATCAACTCCTGTGTGGTGCCAGCAGCCATCACGTTGGGACACAGAGGGAAGCCAGGCTTCTTGGATCCTGATGGTCAGAGAACACTTTCTGAGGGAAGCGGGGCTTGAACCTGGGCCCTGCAGGGCTGGGGGTGAATGGGGGGATCTGATGAGGAGGAGGACGGCGGCACCAGCAGATCTTGGTGGTTTGGAAGTTCAAATCAAGATCTGAGAAGAGGCTCTGTCTGACCCTGGGGGTCTCCCTCGGCACATTGGTAGTACTGTGCATGCCTCACGGGTGCCCCTAATTTCAGAGCATCCCACCTGCATCCTGCTGCTGCCATTGTCCTCCTCAAAAGAGCTGCTGGCTTATTGCAGTTTACATCCTAGAGAAGAGAGGTCTCCTCCTTCCACCAGTCCCAGGATTATCTCCCTAACGCTAATGGCGAGATTCCTTTGGAGTTTTAGTCTTCTGTAGATACAGCCCAGGCGCCATGTGCCCAGTCAGGGTTTGAGATAGGTGGTGGTTCATTCCCCAGCCTTGCCTCACCAGCACCTTCCTGACGCCTCCTGGTAGGGCTCAGGAAGCAGCCAGCTGAGGTGTGCCTGCCATGGTCAGCACAGTGGTTGACAGAAGTGGCACAGATTGTGGGGGCAGGTGACAGGGTACCATGCCCTAGCTCCAGGCACCCGCTCCACCCTGTCACATGGAGCAGCTGTGAAACCTTGAGCAAGCCATTTCACCATTCTAAGCCTTAGTGTCCTCATTTTTTTTTTTTTTTTTTTTTTTTTGTGATAGAGTCTAGCTCTTGTTGCCCAGGCCGGAGTGCAGTGGTGCAAACTCAGCTCACTGCAACCTCTGCCTCCCAGGTTCAAGCGATTCTCCTGCCTCAGCCTCCCAAGTAGCTGGGACTACAGGCATGCGCCACCACGCCCGGCTAATTTTTGTATTTTTAGTAGAGACAGGGTTTCACCATGTTGGCCAGGCTGGTCTTGAACTCCTGACCTCTGGTGATCCACCCACCTCGGCCTCCCAAAGTGCTGGGATTACAGGTGTGAGCCACCGTGCCCGGCCAGTTTCCTTGTCTTTAAAATGGGTGTGACAACCACCTCACAGAGTTGTCATGAGGCTCAAATGATAAAATAGATGGGACTGTGATTTGTAAGCATATGGCACAGTGAATGCAAGTTGTTCCTGGAGTGCCCAATCCCTAGATACTGGGATCTCACCCCTCAGTCGTAGCCAGAGTCATTTCATTCTGGTGTGCCACCACCCAGAGCTAAGCCGTATACTCCTTACAGAAAGGAACAAACCCCTTCCTGGATGCTCTTGTGCCTGGATCTTGGCTCCCTGAGATTGCAGGGAGATAGCAGGAATTACTTTCTCCATTTTAAGAAGGAAGAAACAAAGGCTCACAGTGCTAAGAAACTTGCCCCAGGCCACTCTGGTGAATGCAGAGCTTAAGGCCCAGAGCCCAGATGTTCTGATTTCCAGTCCAGGTCTCTGCCCAGTGGACCAGACTGCCTCTCAAAAGACCCTGCTCAGCTGGCAGCCCCCCAGCTTTCTAAACTATAACCCGGCTTGGTCAGAGGTTGATTATTATAAACACTTAACCTGCCCCATCTTTCTAGCCACATACCCACATCTTCGAAAGTGAGGGAAGAATTCATTCACAGCTGTTTTCTTTTTTCCTCGCGTAGCGTGTATCATTTCTTTCCTAAGGAAGGAGTTTTACAAGTAGCCTCCTGCCAGCTTCAGCTCATATAGGATAAAAGCCAGCTCAAATATTTTGGTAGATAACTCCGGAGACTCAGAAAGCCAACTGCTGAACTTGAGATACAGTTTCCAGTTTGAGAGTGGACAGGCTGCGAGTGTTTGAGGCCCTGCCCCCTGCCTATCTGCTGCCTGCCCTCTCTCATCCAGGTGTCCATGCAGCAGGGGGTTTCACAGCAGCCACTGTCTGACTGGCTTGCTCCTGCATTTAGCCCACTCTGATCCATTCCCCGCAAAGCAAGCAGACTGCATTTCACCTCTCAGTCAGGTCTCAGTCCTTGCCCAGAACTCTCTAGGATTTTAGGCTTAACTCAGAATATAGTCCACATCCTTACCAAGGCCTGCTTAGCCCGGCATGCTGTGGCCCTGGCTGTCTTTCTGAACTCACTTCCTCCCTACTCTCTACCTCTCCTCCTTCATCCCAGTTACGCCATGCCCCAGATGTGCCAAGCATGCTCCTAAAGTCAGGGCCTCTACACCCAAGGCCCCTTGTGCCCAGAATGTTTTCTCCCCAAAACCTCAGGGCTCCTTCCCTCACTTCTTCCGGGTGTCTGCTTATACCACGTAATCGCAGAGTTTGTCTTAAGAACGACCCACACACATTCCTTTAATTCTCATTCTCTGCTGTGTTTTTCTTCCTACATGTTGTGTCTTTATTTGTTGCCTGTCTCTCCTCTCTAGATTGTAAGTTCCAGGGGAGCAGTTTGTATCCACAGCTATGACCCCATCTGTGAATTACTGAGCACCTATTCTGGGCCATGCACCAGAACACAAAGATGAATAAGACTTGGTCCCTGTGTTCACAGAGCTCACAGCCAGGTGGAGAGAGAGCCTTGTCAATACAGTGTATGTTATGCTATGATGCAGAGAACACAGGGCTTCTTGCAGGGGAGGCTGTGGTGAAGGGGAGAGCTACTGGGAGAGCCCTGGGGGCGGGCATGCCTGATCTGAGTCTTAAAGGGGATGGACAGACGTTCACCAGTTAGAAGAGTAGCCCAAAAAGAAGCAAAATAGGCAACGGCACAGAGGCATGTGAACCTAGTGCTGCCATCTTGGATGCATGCGGGAGAAGAGAAAGGGGAGGCTGAGGAACAAGCAGAACCAGGCCTAGAAGGGCAGGCTTTGAGCGTAACATCCCAGGCTTAGCCTCATGCCTGGAGCTGCGAGGAAGGTCAAAGAGCAAGTGAGAGCCAGGACTCAGATTTAACTCTTAAGTGGCTTCAAGTCTATATGCTCAGAACGGTGCCCGGCAGGTAGTGAGCACTCAGCGGTGGGTGTTGCTCTCATCATCTTCCTCATGCTTCCTCTCTAGCCCCTCAGGTGCGGAAATTAAGTCCCAGTGAAAGGAAGTGAGTAGCTGGCCCAGGGTCAAAGGCCCACTAGAATCAGTCTGCTCATCGTGTGGGGGAAGGATTTGGGCTAGGAGGAGGGAAATCAAGGAAGGAATGAGGTGCCAAGCTTCAGATGCCCCCACAAGGCAGCAAGTGTGAGGGGTGGAGGGGGGATTCCTTTGAAGTCCAGTGTTGTGCTCTTAAAATCCATGCGTATTTTGCCTATTTGAACTGGATTCCAGGGAAGGAAAGAGGGAATGATGGTGTATTCCTGAGGGAGGGTGCTAAGGGAGTTGGGACATTCAGGGAGGAGAGAGGTTTGGTGGGATTGGCTGGGAGCAGCAGTCAGGGCACCGGGACAGGCAAGTTGGAGCCTGAGAGGCCTCCAATCCCAAAGTAAGGATGAACCCAATCCCAAGCTTCCCACATGGACCAGTGGAGAACCACAGTAGTTTCCTGGCCAAGGAATGGCCTGGAAGACCAGTGCTTTCCAGAATTGACTCTGTAAGCAGACTCAGTGGGATAAGCGGAGGCAGAGAGGCCAGTTGGAGACCCTTGGAAAGCCCTTCAAGTGAGAGCATGAGGCTTGGATCTAGACAGGCCAGAGAGGATGCACCTAAGAGACAGTTTGCAGGAGAGGCAGCATTTCATGGAGTCCAGCAAGGAGCGAAGCGAAGGAGGGCCGGGGGGGAATCAAATGAGCCTTACTTCTGTGAGCGGGTGCCAACTTGGTTTTCCCATACCAAAGTTTGGGGTGGTGCCAAATTTAGGCATGCCTCACAGGCATTCTCTGCACACTTGCTCCCTTCTGACGCCACACCTACCCTGTTCCATCCCATTGCCCACAGGGTTAAGAGGAGTGCCACCTACAGGGTATCTCTTGGCAGACACCTGGTGTCACCAAGGCCTGTGAGCTGAGCCCCACAAGGGGTCTGGACAGTCCTCCAGGGCCAGGGCCCTGGGAGCTTGCTGGAGTCAGGTGGGCAGGAAGGTTCTGATAGGTTAGCTGAGCAGCCTCATTAAAGATTGAGGTGGGGAAGCCCACTTGATGGCTGGAAGGCGTATCAGTTACCCACTGCACCAGCCAGGCGACAGAGGAGAAGAGGTAAGTGGCCCAGTACGAGAGGTGCCCCCGGCCTGTGCCGCGGAGCCCTGCCCGTGATGGTCAGCAGGGAGTGGGCCTTCCACTGCTTTTGCTTCTGCCACTGGGACTGCACCGTGCTTTGCAGAGTGAGCTGTAGGTGATGGGAGCCCCTCTCTCTCCTCCCTGCTCCTCATGGGCCTCTCCTTTCACTCCCACCTGCTCCGGGGGTGGGGGTGGGAGTGCTGGATCTTGGGGCGAGTATCTGCCACTGACCAATTACAGGGTTTGCAATGACATCCTTGCGGAAGCGGCAGGGTGGAAGCAGCAGCTGGGTACTGGGAGGCCTGAGCTTCTGTTCCAGCAGCACCGTTCACTGGAGGCACATGACCTCGGGTAGCTTTTCCGAGCCTCAGTTTCCCCACCTATAAAATAGGGTTAATAAGCCCAGCCATGGATGATTGGAGAGATTAGTCACAAAAAAAAAAACAATGCAGTTATGCTC
This sequence comes from Homo sapiens, assembly GCF_000001405.40. Taxonomy (NCBI): domain Eukaryota; kingdom Metazoa; phylum Chordata; class Mammalia; order Primates; family Hominidae; genus Homo; species Homo sapiens. The sequence goes on from NC_000014.9 coordinate 100,115,073, forward strand.
AGTAAACCATTAAGCATTAAGATGTGGCAGATTTTTATTGCTATTTGTTCTGTTTGAGGTTCATTTTAAGGTTAGTTTTGTGTCCTGAAATAAGCATATTAGGAAGACAGAAAGAATATTCTGCAGGGAAAACAACTCCCCTAAGGAACACAGCCTAGTGGGCCCAAACAGTGGGGGTGGGGTGTCCTGGCCTGGAAGCTGGAGACTGGGTCTAGCCCTCCTTTCCTCATTGTGAATGTGAGCTTGGGCAAGCCCCTGCCCTTTCCCTGGGCCTCGGGACCCCTCTACACAAGGGGTGCTTCTCGCCGGTACATGCGCAGCACCAGGCCCCCTGCTGTCCTTTGTCAGAACTCAAGCGCTTTTCCTCTCCAGTGTCTCCTTGTTAGTGCATGACTGCAAGGGCTGGGTGCTTCCCACTGTGGCCCTGGTCAGTCCCCCACTCTCTGAAGTGCCATCCCCACATCTGTAAGTGATGACCTTCTAACTTGACAGGTCTTTCAGACCCTGAGCGCCTAGACACAGCTTTACCTATTGGTCACCATGGAGCTGAGCTGTCTCTGCTAAGCCCAGGGCCAGGGCTTAGGTAGGAGGGTCTGTTGCAGGATTTCAGTGGGTCAGTTGGCTCTGGTAATCTGAGTAAGACATGTCAGCCTGCTTGAGCCTAAATTCATGTGGTAAGAACTCAGCAGAAAAGACTAGAAAATTCACGCCGGGTTCCTTTAAGCAAGCAACTAAGCTGTCTAAGCTCGTGTTAGAATGGGGAGGGTGACAATCAGGTATTTGTCTCCTCCTGAGCTGAGCTCGGAGGATAGGGTTCAACACTAGCTGCCTTTGTTTCCCAAAGACAAATGCAGAGCTGTTTGTTTATTAATCAGTGCTGAGCATCAGTGCACTGGGGTGGACAGAGCCCTGGGCCGGGAGACATTTGTCGTGGGCTCTGGTCCCAGCTCTGCCACCAATTCTTGTATGGCCTTGGCCAGGTGACGGTAAAGATAGTGGCCAGACCAAGCTTAGCCCAGTTCACAGACTCCATTCTCGCTTAGACACTTGCTCGCTTGGTGATAGGAATGGCACCTGTGAGGAAAGCAGGGCCTTGTAACAAGAGGGAAAGGTGTGCCGGGGATGGCCCAGTCTCACTGTAAAATGAGGGGACCCTCTGGAAAGAGGGAAAGGAGCCAGCCAGAAAGATGGCAGAGCAGGGAGGAGGCCTTAGAAGAACTTGGGACTCTGCCCAGCTCAGACCAGGTGGCTGTCGTTTGTTGGCCAGAAATTCCATCAAGCATCACTGAGCAAGTGCTGGATCCTTTGTCTCTGGCACCCCTGACATCTCCGGTTCTATCTTTTCAGGAGCCCCAGGGAGACTTCCCATAGAGACTAACTGGAAACTGAGCCCATCCCTTCCATCCCAGAGGAGCTGGGGGCTGGTCTCCCAGAGCCTCATAAATGTTCAGGGGTGGCCAAGAGGAAGGCCTTCTTCAGGAGGAGGGGTCAGTAGTTCCTCGCCTTGTCTGCCTGCCTTTGGCTGTATAAATTAATGCATTACCTCAGACAGGAGCCACACCGCTCCCTGCCTACCCCGCGCCCACCATACCTCGCGGAGGATGGATCGCAGAGCAGGGATTCTCCTCCGTAGGGTCTCTTAGACATTTATTTGTTTAGAGGTAGTGCATGATTTGGAAATTCAGAGAGAGGAATATAAGCCCACAATCCCGAGATAGCCACTGTGAACATTTTAGTATATTTCCTCCTTTGTCCTTTAGAGTTGTAGAAATTTGGAGCTGATGATCCTTGGTTCCACGCTTCTCACTTTATAGAAAATGGAAGTCCAGAGAGGAGAGAGACTCCCACACACCTAACTTACTGGCAGAGCTCCAGCACAGTTCACTCTGAAGGGGATTCGTACAATCCAGAACCGTCCAGGAGAGCACAGCCAAGGCGGAAAGGGACTGGAAGACAGGACGGGGACCAAGGGAGGCCTGGAGGGGAGTGCACCAGGGCTGCCAGGCCAGCACAGAGAGACGGTCTTTGTGGTCCTGACAGACCACTGGGGGCAGTCCTGGCAAGACAGATTTCACCCTTTGGGAAGAAGACTTTGCCAGTGAGAACCACCCACCCCAGCTAGGGCCTCGCACTTGAGGTCAGACCGGGTGGCTCCTAAGGCTCTCTGTACAGCCCTGAGAACCTGTCCAGCTCCTGGGATACCTCTCCCGGTGCCACGTGGATGGGCATTGAGGCAGCAAGGCCATTGGGTGCTGGCAATGTGCCACACTCCTGCCCAAGAAGGGGCTCCGCCAGGGGGCTCCGAGCCGCAGCTTCTCACACTCGCACCAGGGCTGGGCTCCCCTTCTTGCTCTCCCTGTCTCTGTGCCCCGCTTGACCCTTCTTCCTCCATGTGTCCTATCCCCCTGCAGTCTTGGTGACTCTGTGGAGGGCTTTAGAGTCCTCTCTTTTGGGGTTGAAGCCTGGCTTAACTGTTGACTGTTCAGAGGCCACAAAGATGCTACTTCAGTTTTCCAACTCTCCAGCTTTCTTACGGGTAGAGTGGAGCTCACAGCAGGATTCCTAGGACGAGGGAGGCTAAACGAGGTGGTGTCTGAGTCTCTGGCACAGGATCTAGTACGTAGTGTAATACACACTCAATAAACTTGAGTTCTCTCCTTACCCCAACTCATTGTATTTTCTAAGTGCCACTGCCACTGGTGGCCTATGGTGTGTCACTCACTGATAGCTCGTGAGGCCCAGTCCTCAGCTCAGCCACTGTTTCCTGCTCTGGGAGCTTATAAGCCATTAGACTTCTGCTATTTTCTCTAAGACTGTGTCACTCGCTCTAGGCTCGCCCAGTGGCTGGAGATGCTCAGTTTGCCTGGGGCCAGTCATCCACGTACTTAACAAATATGTATTGCATTGACTATAGGTCAAAAACTATGGTAAGTACTGGGAATACAGAGGTGAGCAAAACAGTTATGTCCATGGAGTTAAAGTCAGGCTGTTCTGTTGGCCACGCTCTTCCTCCTGCCCTTCCTGGTATGTGCAAGCATATGTCATGGATCCTGGTGAACTCGGACTCACATTCAGAGTCCCATGAGCAGGTGCTCTCCTACACCTGGGCCACGCCTGACCGCCCGAGTCTCAGCAGGCTATGAGGAAGTGGGAGGGGAGGAGTGTCACCTGCATCTGGCTCATTCTCCGTGAAGCCCATAATGCGTGCCCAGATTTTCCCTCTTCTGTGCTCTCCCTACCCCTTTCCACTACACTAGGACAGCTTTCTTGAAGATGGCAGTACCTTGCTTTGGAATCCTTTGTCAAATCCTTATGTCAGAGAGAGATGCTATAAAAGCCTTTTGAAAAGGTACAATACAAGGACCATGTATAAGCTCATCTCCTCCTTGGAGCAGCCTGTGAAGGGCACATGGCAATTCTTCATGTCCCTGCTTGCAGAATAGCAGCAAAGGGGAGTGACCGCCAAACGCCTGTAGTGTGTCCCAGGTAGAGATGCTGCCAGACGGGAGCCCGCCTCTTGCAGTGCTCACTCTCCCCAGTGAGAAGGGACTCGGACCTCCTGGCCCCACTCCCCATCAGTCATATAGACTCTGCCCTGAGTCTGTCAGCTCCTGTCCCCTGTGGCTGGCCCCCTCACCCCACCTCACCACCCCTCCCTTTCAGGAGGGCTCATGGCTGAGTCTGGCCCAGCCTTCCCTCCCCTCTTGTGTGTTTCTCCCCAGCTCATGGCTCCTAAGAGTAAAAGGGCTCCTCTGACTCACCACTGTGTTTGGGAGGAGTGGGTGTTTGATGGAACTTAGACTCGAAGCTGGAAAGTGGGCCTCCAAGACAGCAAGAAGTCAGCTCCTTCCCAAGAATCATCACAGTCCAGCGGGCCCTGGAGCAGGCCAGCCTGGACTTGAGCCTTGGCTGGGTCTCAGCCTCTGTCCTCCTGCAGCTCTTTGTGTTCAGAGAAGAGGTCAGCCAGGGAACCTATGGCCCGTCCTGCTACCAGTGGTGAGCCCTGCCACCAAGGGCTGGACCCACATGACACCATGAATGCCCAGCCACCCTGCTCTTGTTTGATGTTGGACCTGAAATTTCCCTTTCTCTTTTTCATTTGTCTGTGGCATGATGGGTTCTTTTATTTTTCCTTTTTTAATTTTTGAATTTCTTCTCATGCTTGTTTCCTATCTCATCCTCTTTATTTTGACTTGACAAAATTTGTCTGAGATGAATGAGAAGAGGGTGAGAGTTTTCTTAGTTGGAGTCCCAGGTGAATGGGCCAGGCCCCTGCCTCGGCAAAATCAGCTCCCAGACTCAACAAGCTTGGGACACTGGGGCCAGCGTCACAAACCCTGTGGCTCTGGGCAAGTCCCCTCACCCCTGAGAACCACCACCACTCATCCCGTATACTTCAGGGGGCCGTGGTGGAACCAGCTGGGCAGTGAGTGCACGCAGCCTGTGGAGAAGAAAGCGCTCCACCGAGGGGACCACACCAGCAAGGCTTGGGGGGCAGAGGGCCACTTAAGCCAGCACATAGGCAGGTTCCCGTCCAACTCAGCAGAAAGATCAACAGTGTGCTTTCAACAGTAATGCGAACAAATATTTCCAGCACTTTATGGATTACCATGTGGTTTTTACTCCTAGAGTTTGTTTATTCCTCACCGCAGCTTGGTGAGGTACCACTGTTAGCGTTAGTGTATTAGGACTCCCATTTTACAGATGAGGGCACAGCAGCTTGCCTAGGGGTGCATGACTAGGCAGATGTGAGGCAGAACTTAGGCCAGGTCCTCTCGTGCCCACTGCCTGCCCAGGTTAGTACCTCATGGGAACAAGACAATTAAGATGTGATCCGCAGACCATCGTTGCCATACATTCACTGTACAAAGGAGGGCACCTCATGGCCACAGAAGGTGACTCTGCGCTCTGCCACTGTGTGCAGAGCCACAGGGTCCTCTAGCAGAAAGGCATCTGAAACTCACAGCCCTGAGAAAAAGGCTGGGTCAGCAGCTCTGTGACTTTAGTTTGTCCCTAAGGCCTCTGGTCAGCAGAGGGTACCTGGTGCTGGCAGGGCATCGTTACACTGCTGCATCCTCTCTGGACAAGCATGAACTTGGGGGACCCCTTCTAATCCCTATATCTCCGTGGCTCACCTCCTAGGTTTTTCTTTTCACTCAAGTCAGTTCAGCATGACTCCTTCACCTGAACTTTTCCCCAAGGGTGAGTGAGCTTGAGCCCCCTCTCCCCTTCCTGACTTAGTTCAGTGGAATATGAACTAAGTGTCTGATGCGAGCCAGGCTATGAGCGTGGAGTGCGGAGTGAGACGTGCTCTCTGCCTGCAAGAAGCCCAGGGTCTAGTACAGAAAAGAAGGCAGCTCCCAAATTACTGGAATATGGGTGAGAAAGCTGTCAGTTTTTAAGAGAGGCGCATGGGCACCGGTTGGTGAGAAGGAGCATGAGGACCTGGGGAGGGCTTCATGGAAGAGGTGACCACTGAGCTGGGCCTGGAAGCCTTGCTTGGTGGAGACGGCAGGAAAAGGTGACCCACATGGGTTGAGTAGCGCACAAAACACAGAGAGACAGGAAGCATGGTGGGGCCGGGCCCAGTGTCCAGGTGCAGGAGGTCAGCTATGGAGGACTGTCGGGGAGGCGCAGCCACAAGGTGGCCTGGGGCCTAGGCTGAAACCTTGAATCTTATTCAATGGAGCCTGGACCCAACCCTGTGCAGGTCATGTCTGTGTTTCCCAGACATCACTTAGGCCACACTGTCAGAATGAGAGAGAGTGGAGGTGAGGGTCCAAGAGAGAGACGCCAAGGCTGCCAGGTGGCAGCAGAGAAGCAGGGTGTTTTGTGGGGCAGCCGACACAGCACCAACAAGACTCCGTTACCTAACGAGCCGTGGGAGGCAGAGAGGGAAGAGCTGGGACTCCCACCATCCCCATCGCCCTGACTCCTGTGGAATCCAAGCTCAGCTCGGGCGACGAGAGGTGGCTCCAAGGTGCTCATCTGCAGCACGGGACAGGTGCCACATCCTCCGCCTTGGCTTCTGCCTGCATCACGCAGGGAAGTCATGTGTAGTGCCTCACCACTAGACACGAGGGAGTCTGATTACTAGCAGCCAGGAGCCTTCCTTAGCTACTCCTCCCACTGAACAAGCACCTGCCAAGGGGCTGCTGCTTGGAGCTTCCCAAGGGCCACCAGCAGTCTGCAGCAATGACCTTCCCTGTCCCTCCCCCCGACTGCCACGGGGAAGCTGTGCCGGGGGACGGAGGAGGCCAGGAGTAAGGGGGCGATGGGAACCTCAGGTCTGTCACAGTTACCCTGGGTGACATTGGACAGACCCCTGCGCCTTGCTGGGCCTTAGCTCCCACCCCTAAAACAAAAGGACTGTACTTTTATAATGTTCAGGGCCATGGTGGCTCAAAACAATTGAACATTTTCTTCGTTTAAGAAGAATGGCAAGCCTTACGTAATCAGTGCAATCAAGTGTTATCCTTTCCTGCTCTGTCGGGTCTAAAACTCCAGCCAATTTTTAATCAGGTCTTAGGTGCAGGGGCCAGAGCCCTCTGGAAGGGCCAGGGCTCCTATTAGACTTTCCCAGCCTCTGGAGAAACAGGTTGGGAGGGTGTTGGGAGGACGTCAGCCCAGCAGGCAAAATGGGGAATCCAAAGCACACAACCACACAGGCCTGTGTGTGGGCAGCTGGCTGCCATCGGGGTCCTGACAAGGGTGGAAAACAGTTACAGTGACCTGGGCAAGGCCAGACCACAGACACAGAAGGATCTTGCGACAGCTGGTGGAGCCCAAGCGTGGAAAGGCCTCCATCCTAGGGCAGGGCCAACCCTCAGACCAAATGCTAGACAGGGTCGCTGGGACAGGGACTCAGCTCCCAGAAGGACAAAATCCAGATCCAGGAGTGAACTCAGCCGTTGAGACCCGGTCTTAGAACAAGGCAGATGTCCAGTTGTCCAAGCCAGAGCCCAAAGCCTGTGCCAAGCTCACAGCAGAGCAGCTCAGGTGCAAGTCCCGGACGTGGAGCTGAAACGCCAGGAATCCCTCCCGCCTCAGCCAGGATGAGTGGCAGTCAGGGGGCGGGGGGACACATGCCCACAGCACCTTGCACACCATCCAAGGGCAGCTTATGAGTCTGCCACATTCATCCTTCTTTCTTCAAGCTGGTCTCAATCTGACACCACTGTCTGATTGAGTTTAAGAAAGAACGTGGCATTTGCAGTTGGTTTGCATCTGCCACTTGCTGTATGTAAGACCTTGGGCAAGCCATTTAGCCTTTCTGGGCCTGGCTTCCCAGCTGTTACAAGTCCTTATGGGAGCCTTCTTATAGGGCTGTGAGAATTAGAGTTAAATTTAACATTAAATTTTAAAAAGTGCCTGGACGTTGCTCTGGTAATAATGTTCACATATTCATTCCTTCTGTTTCTTGAGAACAAGGAGGGAAGAACCACTAAGACCTTGGTCCTCTATGAAGTAGGAGGGAACAGGGCTGTCCCCACATCATCAGTGCAGTTGTAACTTGAATATTGCTGTGACCCCATCCTGCGGCAGAAACAAAGCCACTTCCCCATCTTGTCAGGGAGGTATGAGAGCAGCCTGCCCAGAGTCCCTCTCCCAGTCACTGCGACTCTCTGCAGTTCCCTAGTGACACCTGAGCTGGCAGAGAAGGAACAGTCAGCTCTTTCTTAGGTGGCGGCAGAAGCTTAACTGTGGCACAGCATGGGAAGCCCTGCACAGGCCCCAGCTCCAGCCTCCTCTGAACAGGAGGTCTGCACAGCAGACTTCGCCTATGCCGGGGTCCCTCCTTCAGGGTCCAGGGCAGGGTGTGGCCAGAAAGTTCCACACCAGTCTAGAACAAGGGGAGCAAGGGCAGGGTCTGGCTCCTTCCCACCCGCAGCTCCAGACACCCTTTGTAGACAGCAGGGGTCACCCCAGGTCTAGAAGCATAGGCCTCAGCTCAGACACACCCAGGTTTTAACTCTGACCAAGACATCCGCCAGCTGTCAGTGTCAGTCCTTTGCTCAGAAAGTGGAATCAAGTGGACTTGTTAGGTTTGGCAATTCCCAGTTCCCCGCTGATTTTAATTAGAACATCCTGGTGGGATGTAAAGAGGCCAGATTCAATGTTAAAGGGTTGAGGGGGTGGTGGCCAGCAAGAAGGTCGAAGCAGTGAGAAGATAGTTTGAGAGAGAAGGCGAGCAGGGTCAGTAACTGAAAGGGTTAATTTTTAACCATGTGAAAGTTTGGGTCTCATTTATTGGTTCAGAATGAAGAGCCGTGAGAGAGAGAGGGTGATTGAGAGAGGAGATGGAGTGAGTGATGCACAGGTGTGAGTGAGGCCAACATTTAAAAAGATTCTTAAGGATGTCTCTTCTGCAGCCAGAAGGTGGGCAGAGATAGAGAGCACTCCAGTTGGGTTTGCTGGGGCCTTTCTTCCTCTAACCACACTGTTTCTGTGCTTCTCTGCCCACAGGCCCCTCCAGCCAGCGTCAGGTGCAGAATGGCCCCTCTCCTGATGAGATGGACATCCAGAGAAGGTAACCCAGCACCCGCAGGGGCCAGGCTGGTCATCTCCCAATCAGGCTGGGTGGCCAGGGGTGCCTTCAGCGGGTGAGGATGCACCAGCAGCCAAGGCCAGGACTCCTAGAGGCATACACTGCGGGAGGGTGCAAGGTGCAAGCCAGACCAGGAAGAAAGAGGGGGCCGATGCGCAGCCGCTGGTCCCGGACACCAAGACCAGGAATGACTGTGGGAGTCTGGCATTCTACAGAGAGTGCTGCTGACCTCCAGCGGGACGGCTCTCAGGGTGACCCAGCAGGGCCCAAGTGCTGCTCCCTTGTTGCCTCACTTGCCCTTCCCCAACGTAGCAGGAGGCAGTCCAGGCATGAGGGATTCAGCCTGTTGGGGCAGTCACGCCCATGGGATGGGGCTAGGGACCATAGGAATGAACCCCCTCACCCCATGGAGCTTCTAAAGTGTTACCACAGTGGGGAAGAGGAAGGGCCAAGGCTGTTGTCCCGAAATTACAGAGTCGTGGTGAGTCCCCATGGAGCAGCCTCCCAAGGTCACATTGCTCTGAAATGGCAGAGTCAGGACTTGAACCCAGGTCTGCCCTCTCAGCGATGGGTCCTCTGCCTCTTCTGTGTCGAGGGAGGTAGGGCCTGGCCCGGGCCTTCCTCACTCAGCTTTGTCAGATAGGGAGTCAAGCTGCAGCTCTCTGTGGCTACACTTATGTCCAGCCCTGGACTAGGAGTCAGGAAAGCCGGCTTCTGCCCCCACCTACCCCTCTCACCAAATGGCATACGGACTTCTCCCAAGACCTCCTCTCCTCTGGCCTTTTCCTAAGACTGAGAAATGAATGCCTTGCAACCTTGGGCAAGTTCCTGCTCCAAGCCTCCGTTTCCCGGTTTGAAGATGGTGTTGGCTTTGCTCCCCACCTGTCTCACCCACTCACCCTCAGGGCTTTTCTTACTGTTGTCCCCATGAGCCAGCTGAAGCCGAGAATGGAAGTGACTTGCCCAGAGTAACCAGAGAGTCAGGCAGAACCTAGACTGGCAGTCAAGTCTCACTCCAGCTGCAGCTCCCTGCCGGGACCCAAGGCTGGTCCCACCCACAAAAGGGCGTGAAGGAGTGAGCCACCAGACGCCAGGTGTAAGCGTACAGGCGTGGATGGCTAAATGGGTACTTCATTTCTCTCGAAACTGCTTCATCACCCGCAGTGCTGAATTCTGTACCCCAGGGCCCAATCCAAGCTGTGTGGGGTCACTGGCCGTCCGGGAATGGGCATACCGCCTGGCGGTCGGGGTGTGAACAGCAGGGGACACACACACAAGCACATACACTTGTCCCAAGGCAGGACCACACACATAGCTGCCCCCAGACGAGACCACGTACGGACGGACACACACACCTGCTGCAAGACGAGACCACACACATGCGCACACACACACACCTGCCCCAAGATGAGACCACATGTGGATAGACACACACACACACACCTGCTCCACGGTGGGACCACACACAGACACAGACACACACACCTGCCCCAAGGCGGGACCACACACACACACACACACACACACACACCTGCCCCAAGGCAGGAATACACACACACACACACACACACACACCTGCCCCAAGACGGGATCACACACACAGACACACACACACCTGCCCCAAGGCAGGAATACACACACACACACACACACACACACACACACACACACACGGCAGGGAGACTCTCGCTTGTCCCACGCAACTTTACTGGAGGTGGGCAGGGGCAAGACTTACTCAGTGACGCAGAGACTCCAAGCATCCAAACAGTACCATAGGTTCAGACCTGACTTGAGTATTTTTCACACATCCTCATTTTACCATGGTGTTCTAGGTGTGTGGCTCCTGCTGGGGAGGTTTCAGCAGTTTGAGCAGAGACACTAATGTAGATGCTGCTGGGAGCTTTTCAGACCTTAATGCTAAAAGGGGCTTTTCCGTAATTTTTTTTTTTTTTTGAGATGGAGTCTTGCTCTGTCACCCGGGCTGGAGTGTAGTGACGCAATCTTGGCTAACTGCAACCTCCACTTCCTGGGTTCAAGAGATTCTTCTGCCTCAGCCCCTTGAGTAGCTGGGATTACAGGCGCGCGCCACCACACCCAGCTCATTTTTGTATTTTTAGTAGAGATGGGGTTTCACCATGTTGGTCAGGCTGGTCTCAAACTCCTGGCCTCGTCATCCGCCCGCCTCACCCTCCCAAAGTGCTGTGATTACAGGCGTGAGCCACCACGCCCAGCCATTCCATAATGTTTTAGTTAAGGCATACACCCTACAAGAACCCCATGAAATAGATGTTTCTGGCACTCCCACCAAGCCCAGAGCTGCCTTCAGAACAATCCTTAGCCCTGTGTTTCCACAGCACATGTTCAGTTTGCACCACACGAGCTGAGCTCTTGATGCTGTCTGTGGCCTGGATGATTTCTTAAAGTGCCTCCCACTCCAGAACTCGATCCCTGGATTCTGGAGATGTATCTGGGCCTCAGTGTCCTCACTCAGCTTGCCTTTAAGAGCACCCTGAGGCCACCCTGCCATAAGGCACTGGGATGTGAGTTCCCACTGCTGTGCACGTAGCAGTGTGCCACGGTGCACCAAATGGCCCTCTAGACGAAGGCGGGCCTATGACCGCTCAGTGGTAAAGAAAATGAGGAGTGTGGCCTTTGTGTCCATTTCTGCTGGCAACCAAAACACACCTGAGAACTGTCCCAGGAAGCTTGGCCAGGTCCACTAAGAACAGGCGTTCCTGAGGCTGGGTCTGTTGAGGCCACAGGCTCCCAAAAGCCAGGTGCGCCCATCTAGCCCAGGGAAGAGCTTGGTCACTCTGGGGAGTGGAATCACACTGGCCTTCCATAAGGAGCTCTGTGTTCAGTGTGCCTGAGACTCAGGAGACAGCCGGTGCTCCCACTTGCGGGAGCTGGACCCAGTCACATCCCCCTCCTCTGTTAAGTGGAGGCAGCCGTGGCACACAGTGGCGCTTGTGGAGCGCTGGCGAAACCTGACTCTGAAGCCGGGGCCGGCGGGTACAGCACAGGCACAGAGTGTGGTGGTCTCCAGAGTGGAGGAGTCAGACTGCCCTGCTGTGATTACTTTCCAGACAAGTGATGGAGCAGCACCAGCAGCAGCGTCAGGAATCTCTAGAAAGAAGAACCTCGGCCACAGGTGAGAGCCCTCCTCCCCTAGGGCCGACTCCCATGCTGCTGCCAGGTGGCAGCCCCTCCACGTAGATGAGGCCCAGGGACACACGGGGCGCTCTGTGAGCAGCTATGGGGAGCCTAGGTCTCAAAGTGCAACCACCACTTCAGATGGTGAGGGTAGCAAGAGAGCAGAGCAGAGGCTTGGGGAGTCTGCTCAGCTGGGTCTGGCCACTACCTGCCAACCTTCTCCGGAGTGGACATTCAGCAAGCACCTCCTGTGTCTCAGGCACCGTGCTAAGGGCTGGGGACACAACTATGACTGCAGATGCAGTTCCTGCCCTCAGGAAGCCCGCTGTCCACTCAAGGAGACAGTGAACCCACCCTTGTCATGTCACGTAGTGAACACTGTGGCAAGTGACGTGCAGGTGCTGAAGGCCTACCTTGGGTCAGGAAGACTTCCCACAGGAGGCGCTGCCACGCGTCTGTCTTGGACGTTCGGTGGAGCTTAGCACGTTAAAGGAGAAGGACGAGGGTTTTCCAGAAATTGTCATGTTCACTGATAGGCAAAGGACTGGATAATTTACCAAGTGCTTTCATGTCCTTTGTCTTGTTTAATTTTCTCAAACACCCTATGAAGTGAGCAGGTGACTATTATCCTGTTGACTGATGAGAAACCCGAGCCCCCACTGGTTACAGGAACGCTCTGCTCGTGAGATGCTGGCTGACCCCATCACCCCCACCTAGCTGCTGCTGGCCTCCTGCTCCCCGGCCAGTCTGCATTTCTGATGCAGGTCTGACACTGTCATCATGTCGTCCCTTCCCCATCACTCTTGGAACAGCCTGTGCCTGCCCTCTCTCCCTCTAGTGCCTCGCAAGCACTTCCCATCCTTTTCCTCCTTCCTCACACTTGCCTCCCCCCTTCACCTAACTGAACCCCTGCTCTCCGGTCGTGTCCCAGCTCCACAGTCACTTCCGTGAGGACGTCATGGAGGACGTCCGTCTTCCATGAACTTCTGGCCAGGCTGGAGCCCCTCTTTGTATGCCAACATGGCGCCGTGTGCCTGCCCTTGGTAACACTTGTCAGCTTGCCACAGTCCTCCATCTGCGTTTACCTCTGCGATTCGTTGACTGTTCCTCATAGGCTGTGAGCACCCTGAGCAGAGAGCTTGTGGCTGGTTTTCCTCAGCACCATACCCAGCACCTAGCACAGTGCCTGGCACAAAACAGGCTTAGGCAGCACTGGCGGAAGGGGCTGGATGGATGATGCTGGAGCCCAGCACTCGGCATTGCGCCCTGACCCATGCCCCCAGTCGGCCCTGGGACCCACAGGACCTGCCACGGCCCCCAACGACCCAAGTGTCAGTCACAGTTGGATCTTGGTGACCAACTTCTGCCTAGGGGGTGCTAGGTGCTTAGAAGGAGCAGAGAAGAGAAGAGGCACAGACTGTAACCAGACAGCTTCCTCTCCCCCTGGAAAAACATGATTGGAGCAAGAGGAAATTGCCTGGGCTCAAGGAATGTTAAGCAAATAGAGGACACCTGTGGGTCCAGCCAGGCCCCGGAGTACTGAGGACACCAGAATAGGGAATAATTGTGCCAGAGCCAAGTTCATCCCGCGGAGGCTTCCTGGATGAAGCAGGCCTGGAGCTGTTTCTCATCCCTTTGGGGAGCAGCCTGCCCCTGTCCTTCCTCCGGGGAACCTGAGCTGAGAGCAGCAGGCTTGGCCCCCAGCTGGGTGCTGGAGCTGGCTGAGCCTCACTGTTGTGTTTCAGGGCCCATCCTCCCACCAGGACATCCTTCATCTGCAGCCAGCGCCCCCGTCTCATGTAGTGGGCCTCCACCGCCCCCCCCACCCCCAGTCCCACCTCCACCCACTGGGGCTACCCCACCTCCCCCACCCCCACTGCCAGCCGGAGGAGCCCAGGGGTCCAGCCACGACGAGAGCTCCATGTCAGGACTGGCCGCTGCCATAGCTGGGGCCAAGCTGAGAAGAGTCCAACGGGTAAGAGCTCCTGTGTGCGGGGTGGGAATGGGACCGAGGGGACCCTTGTGCCATCTGCAGAGCGCTTGTGTTCCTTCCCGCATCTGCGAGACACAGCAAACTGCTTCCCTGCCCAAAGCTAGCTGGCCCTTGGCCACTTGTTCTCAAACGAGAAATCACATGGGACAGCACTTTGAAATTATGAAGTTAGCCTTTGAGCCTCACGTTGACCTTCACACGTGGGGCAAGAACTATGTCCCCCTTTAGAGATGAGGAAATTGAAGCACAAAGAGCACGAGTAATTTGCTCAAGTCACACCGTTTACAAATTGCAGATTTTGGACTCAAGCCTGGGTCTCCTGAATCTATGTCCATTGCCCTTTCCACTGTAGGAAGCTGTATGCTGGCAACTAGGTCCACCCGGCTGTTTCTTCCCTAACCCTTGCTCATATGTTCTAGAACTGTGCTTGTAAGAATAGCTCTAATACAGACCTTTGGCTTACATTGTGTTTCCTTCCCACAGGATAGTCTCTTCTCCCCTCCCTCCCTCCCTCCATGTGTCATGGCTGGTCTTGGCAAAGACACTAACCATGAGTCTGCAGGCCTGGGGAGTGTCTGCGACTTGTGTGACCTGGGCTGGTCCTTGTCCCTCTCTCGATTCTGGTTTTCTCCCCTGTGGGGTTGGAGAATAATGGACCAGATGGCCCCTGAGGCCCCTTGCAGTGCTGCTGCCATAGGATTCACACGCACACAGTCCCCTGCATCCCCTCACATCGTTGCTGCTCCTGTTCTGCCATCAGCAGCAGAATCTAAAACGCGGCCTCCTTTTTCCTCAGCCAGAAGACGCATCTGGAGGCTCCAGTCCCAGTGGGACCTCAAAGTCCGATGCCAACCGGGCAAGCAGCGGGGGTGGCGGAGGAGGCCTCATGGAGGAAATGAACAAACTGCTGGCCAAGAGGTGGGTCTCTACACCTCCCGAGACTTGGTGTGCCTAGCAGGAAGCTCCTGCCCCCGCCCCCAGCGCTGCACAGAGAATCCTCTCTTGACCCCAGAATCTTTGTTCCCTGGGTTTAGCCAAGCAGGGGAAACTGTTACTTAAGTTTTCCCTTCCCAAGGGGTTAGTCTGAAGCGCAAGCCCACAGGAGTCCTCTAAACTCCAGATCCTTCATTTTAGCTCAGCAAATATTTCCTGAAGCATCTACCATGTACCAGCCCTGTCCTGAGCAGAGATAAATGTGGAGACAATTTCAGAGATAAATGCGGGAAAAAGAACAGTCCTTGCTCTTAAGATCCTAACAGAAATAAGATGTGGCCGCAGTGGTCGAGTTTGCAGAGGACACTCTGGTGAATGTGTGGTGAAGGCACCCCATTCTCCAGGGTTCTTTATGGAGGACTCAGGAGAAGGAGTTATGAAGGGTAGGAGCCCAGAGGGCATTGCCCTGAGCGACGGAGAGAGAGTAGTTCCATCTACATCCCGGCCGGGCTCTTGGGCCTGAGACCTGGCCATGTGTGTCTGCTCGCTGCAGCGGGTGTGGCTGCAGCCTGCCATTGTGGCTCTCCGCTGTTCCCCAAATGAAACCCGAGCAGATGGGGAGATCGTCCAGGTCTTTCTCAAAAGGGATGCAAAGCTTGGATTTTATTTTTAAATATGACTTGGCATCAGGAATGTGCTCACCTTGGACTACCAATATCGTGGCTCACTTAGGCACCAGAGGGCACGGGAGTAGGCCTCACCTGCCAGAACAGAGGAAGCTGCAGCGGGGGCCCTGCTCCCTTGGTAACCCCACCTCCACCCCCTGCCACTTTGTCGCCTTCTCCTGGCCCTCCCAGCTGCCTTCCAATTGGCTGACCCAAGTGAGAACTCTGTGTGCCCAGGGTCTTCACACTGCAGTCCTAGTTCCTCTCATTACCTTCCCGTGGCTCCATGAGGATGATGCGAGATGACAGAGGCCCACAGCTGCAGGCAGCTGGTGTGGCGCTTCATGGCAGGGCCACAGCCTGGGTTTCCTGCCAAGGGGCTCTTTGCTTGCATCACAGATGGCAGGGAGGGGAGGCTCCCCGTGTGTCAGGGAGCAGCAAGGTGGATCCGCAGCACGGGCGTCTCCGGAGCCTCTACTGGGCCTGGGCGTTTGTACATCGCCAAGACAGGAGGCAGGCTTCTGAGCAGTTTCCTGTGAGAGTAAGTCCAGGTGTGTGGGGCTTACAGTGGCCACACAAAGGCGAATGGCTCCGTGGGTGAGAGAGCCGGGAGGGCTCGCAGAACGATGAGGACGTCCCGTGCTGTAAGAGGGACAGTGGGCAGAGTTAAGGTAAGGCTGGGAAGGCTGACGCCCCCTGTGCCTGGAGAGCTAGGTGTGGAGGAAATGGACCAAAAGTCAGGCTGGAAGAGGGAGCCTCCTGGTGCAGGGCATCGGGTTCCACCTCAGAGCACTCAGAGGCGAGGATGGGCCACAGAGAAATAGAAATAGTTTTGGAAAAGAAAATATGAATGCTTTCCCTAAGTCCTAGACCAAGCTGAGGGGAAGCACCTTTCTGTCTGAGAACAGGAAAAGGCCAGTATTGCCAGGAGCCAGTGAGATGCCAGATGCCGGTGGGAGAGTCAAGGCCCTCCCAAGAACAAACATGCTTTGCATAGCTCAGCAGGGATCAATCAGGTGCTCTCTGAAATCCACCTCAGTGATGGCTACTGGGTGGAGCCGACGATGAAAGTGCCCTTGCCAGGTTTCTTTTCATGTAGGTTGTCTCCCGCCTCTGAGGGCATGCAGTTGAGTCTCCCAACAGTGGAGGGCAGGAGGGAAATGAACGTGGACAGAAAGCTCCTGTTCAGCAGCACTTTCACAGACACTCATCCCGCCTACACTCCCCGTGAGCAGGTGGCTTGGTCAGCGTTCTGTTTCTAGGAGATGGGACACTGGCTGCTGGGGGGTAGCTGGTGAGGTGTAAGTGATCGTGGCTAGGCCAGTTAGGAGACTCTGACAGTCCAGGAAGAGATGATAGGGGCATGCAGGAAGGTGTTGAAGGTGAAGACAAAAAAGACAGGCAGGTACCCAGATTTAGAGAACTGACCAGGCTGACAGTTATAAGAAGCTGGTGTCAGGGATGATTCCCTGGTTTCTGGGCTGAGGGACGAGGTGGGCAGACCTGTCCTGAGATGGGAGCTAAAGAAGGGGGCCCCTGCTGTAGCTGAGGAGGCTGCCAGGTAGGCCCATCACAGACAGGTGACAGCCTGGCCACGGCCCATTATCACACCTCAGACCAGCTCCATGCTTGATGGGCAGCTCATCTCAAGTTGAAAAGCCACAGAAGCGTATCTCTGGGAAACACTGAGGGTCTGCCTGCCTCTGTAGACCTGGGAGGTCAGCAGATACCACTGAGGCCAAAAAATATGGGTGAGGTTTTAGAGTACATGAAACGGGGATTCATACTGGGGAGGTGCACGAACCGACTCAAGGGCGTCACGTGGACCTATTCCAGGGCTCCTCTTCTGAGCATTTCCAGGCTCTGAGTGGCATTCTAGATTGGGGAGGGCGTGGCTGGGTTAACTGAGTTCCAAGACACAAGGGCCTTAGAGTGACACAAGAAAGTGTCCAGTGTCCCGACCTGTGGGACAGACTGCAGCCCAGAGAGATGCCTCTCTGTCCCGTGTGGCCAGGCCTTCAGTGTCCTGGGGACAGAGCGTGCCCGCCTCCCCTCCACGCCTCAGATGCTACAGCTGCTGCCAGTAGAGCTAAACAGACATAGAGGCATCTCGCCCTCTCTGCCTAGACCAGTTTTGTGTCCCAGGCCATGACCACACGGAGGGCCTGGACATTTGCCTGGGCCTGGCTCCTCACCAGACGGGGCCTAGACAAGCCGCCTCCTTCACGCCATCGTTTTCCCACACAGGTTTATCTGAGGACCGGGGTGAGTCTGGCAGGGTGGAGGCAGAAGAGTTCTGGGACAGTGAGAGAACGTGAGGAGCTGATCTGTATCTTCCCCTTCTCTGTGCCTAGGAGAAAAGCAGCCTCCCAGTCAGACAAGCCAGCCGAGAAGAAGGAAGATGAAAGCCAAATGGTGAGCAAGCAGCCCGCCCCACCCTCAGGCTCCCCACTGAGATGAGCGCATCGCCAGGGAGGCTCTCTGGTCTCAGGCGAGGCCTTTGGGACATGCGTGGGATGGGCGCTTCATCAGGTGATTCACAGGAGGGGCGGAGGGTCTCTGCGGTGCTTGTCCCTGCGCCACCCTGGCCCCAGCAGCAGGCCTGCCCTCACTGAGCACCCCCTACCAGACACTGCTCCACCCTTGGAGCTGCAGCCTGAGGCGCTGGCCGCTGCACCGCAGGGCTACCTCGCCTTCCCAGGAGCCCCGGGGAGCACAGACCAGCCAGGGTCTCGGCGGGACTGGGACTCCAGGAGTACACTGCAGAGGGGCACGTCTGCCAGAAGCCCAGAGAGGTTTTTATTTTCAAATTATTTCTGTTTCTAAAGACTCCTCTTCCAGCAGGAGCTTCAGGTGAGCTGTGGCAAAGGAGCCCTGGACCCCTGGCTCTTGTCCTTACCAGGCAGCCCAGAGCCAGCCTGGCTGCCAGAGCTCCCAACATCTGCTTCCAGTTAGGGCGGCTAATTCTCTTTTCCTCCATGTTAAGCTTTTCCTATAAAAAGACTCCTACTGACAGGGCTAAGTTTAGCCTTAACTACAAATGCCTTGAAGGTTCCACCTCAGTGCAGAATCAGAGAGGAAATAAAACTGCCAGGGACCAGAGCAGGCTTCCTGCCCTGTCCTCCCATCAGTCAGGGTCATGCTGGTGTTACCCTGAGGCTATAGCCCTCCCAGCTGATCCACGCCTCTCAGCCCCGTCCTGGGCACATATGGGTCCCTTTGCCCCACCAGCCAACTCCCATTCAGCCTGCACTTCCCTGCATCACCCTTACACCTTAAAAAACAGCCTCCCGGCCGGCTCAACACTTCACACTTGTAGTCCCAGCACTTTGGGAGGCCGAGGCAGACGGATCACCTGAGGTCAGGAGTTTGAGACCAGCCTGGCCAACATAGTGAAACGTCATCTCTACTAAAAATACAAAATTAGCGGGGCATGGTGGCGCATGCCTGTAATCCCAGCTACTCGGGAGGCTGAGGCAGGAGAATTGCTTGAACCTGGGAGGCGGAGGTTGTAGTGAGCAGAGATCGCACCATTGCACTCCAGCCTGGGCAACAAGAACGAGACTCCGTCTCAAAAACAAAACAAACAACAACAACAAAAAAACAGCCTCCCGACCCCCAGGCCTCACAAAGCTCCTCACTACTTGATCCCAGCCCCGGTCTTCTCCCGAGGCCCTCTGCACAGGCACGACTGCTTGTGGAGACTCGTTGTCTCCTGCCAGATCTTAGGCCCTTGGAGGGCGAGGCCTGGGCTTCTCACACGTCCACCATTCCCATACCTTGCACATGCTGTGGAGTTTAGCCAACTGACTTGCCATGAATTTCTGAAATTGCAGGCCACGGGATAATCACAGACATCAAAATACTGTGGCCTCGCTCCAGCCACAGCCCTGGGGATCTGAAGACATCGCTGGCCTTTCTTAGTCAGGTGCCAGTATGTTGCAGTCCCAGCCCCTGAAAACTAAAACTCTCGCTCCTGGAGCTCTAAGAAGAATGGATTTCAAAGCCCAGGGGCTTCTGGAAGAGGAACATTCTTGAAACCTTCAACCCCAAGGATAGCACTCTCCTCCTCAGACCCCCATCTTTTCTGTCTTGTTTTTCACAGGCCCCTGGCTACAGCTGGTTCTTGTTTGCCATGGTCCCTTCTCATACCCAGGACTAGCGTCTAAAGAGAGCAGGGCCTTCAGAAGATCCACACACCACACAAGTGCAGTGGGAGGGAGAGAGGCTGATGGCCGGCACTCGTTTTCTTGTTCATGCTTCCTGGTATTTCCCCAATTCTCTGCAGTGAACATGCACTAAGTTTATCATTAACAGAGAAGAAAGAAGGCTTATTTGAAAGACGAAAAGAGCCCCAAATGTGGAGTCCGGTGACTTGGGCAGGCCCTCTGCCATGGCAGAGCTGGCCCTGGGCCAATGGAGTTACTGCTCCGAGGACCAGTTCCACCACCTGAAAACCTGCACCCAGGCATGGCCGCCTCACAGACTGTGCGACTGCCAGAGGTGGGGTGCAAGTCTCTGTGCCCAGGGCCTGGGAGTGCTGCGGCCACCTCTTTCCCAGCCTAGAGTCAAAGCATAACTTCCCTTTTAAGCAGGGAGGGTTTTAAAAAAATAACATACAAGAAAAGATGATAATTTTTTAGTGACTCTGATGTCACCCTGTATCGCTTTCATCGTGGCCCCCACATGTGTGTGTTGATTGACATAATCTGTTATTCAGCTGTCTTTAAAATGAGGAGGCCTGAGAACCTCATCCCAGCACCTGCAGGCTGGCACCTGCTTTTGCCTCTCGACCAGAGCCTCCCGGGACTTACTCGTTCACCACACAGATACGCAGGGCGTTCCTGATTCTCGTGTGGGGATGTAGTGAGCAGAGGAGACAAAGCAAAGACCTCTGCCCACGGTGACAAGGGAGAGGTTCTTTGCTTCAGATCAGAATGACACATCAGGTTGGGTGGCCGCCTGTCAACAGCTCAAATGCTGTGCATTCTGCTTCATCAAGTGGAAGGATTACTCTTATTACTTAATCAGTGGCATGTTCCTGATGCTGAAAAACCATCCTGACGCACATGCCATGCATGATGAGTGTTAGGTGTCCCCACTGCTGGATGAACACGTCCACTGTTCGAGCACTGCCACAGACCTATTACACGGGCAGGTGTGTGTGCTGCACAGGGGGAGCAGGCCAGTCCACGGGGTGCTCATGAGAAGTCAGTGAGATGACATACGGGAGGCATCCGGCCCAAGGGGGGCTCAGGGCTTGCGGGTGTTGAGGGCCAGAAGGAAGTTCTATATCACCCTGCTGAGAGCCTGTAGCTCCCTGTAGCCTTCCCCTTCCCCAGCTTTGTCCACTGGCTCGATTCTCTCCCCACTGAGATTTTGCGTTTTCACTTTTAAATATTTAATGTTTTGCTAATTATAAAAGTCATATGTGTTCATTGGGAACATTTGGAAAACTGAGGTTTTATGAAGTGTCCAATGATGTCCTGCCCTGGCCCCAGGTGGCCTTCCTAAACAGACTCCCTTCTTCTCCATTTTAGGAAGATCCTAGTACCTCCCCCTCTCCGGGGACCCGAGCAGCCAGCCAGCCACCTAACTCCTCAGGTGAGAGGGCGCCCCCCGCTGACCCCAGTGAGGCATGAGGTCTCAGAGTGGGAGGGGGGACCCTTCGGACAGGACCCTCTGATCCAGCCTCTTTAGTATGCCTGAGCAGAGGGCCAGGCCACAGGGAAGCCCATTTCTTATGGGTCCCCCAGAGCCTCCCCCAGGAGCCCATGTGGGAGCACAGGAAGTGCTAGAGCAGAGCCACTGTGATGGGTCCCCAGGGTGACCTGCGTGTCACCTTCCCACCAGGACCCTGAGTCCCGCACGAGAGAAGGCACTTGCCTGACGGCACATATTCAGGGTGGGAGTTTGTGTCCAGGGCTCCTGAGGCAGGCTGGGGCCAGTGCTCTTAAGAGGTATCAGTGTCAGGACTCATGTCTCCCAGTGAAACGCCAGCTGATGACCGACATTACAGAGATGGCAGTAGATCTCGCTCCACCCAAAACGCAGCCCCTTCCCTGGCTCAGGTTTCTCTCTGTCTAAGCTGTGGCAGATGGGAGGTAGTTAGGAGAGTATGATGAGGCTTCGCAGGGGAGGAAGACCCCAGGGTTGGTTGTTCATTCGACAAACATCTTTGCAGCACCTGCTCTGTGCCAGGCCTGTGCTCATGAGCACAGCGAGGAGAGACAGGGGCATCAGGCTGCCCTAGCTGGGCAGAGGAGGCTCTTGCCAGCTGTTCGCGTGTGTCTCTGGGGCATGCTCAGGTTGGGTGTCGCCTCCCTGTGAAACTGCACGCCATGTCCTCTCCTCCTAAGATTTTTGCCTGGTGTCTTGATTTGCCAGGATGCATAGGTTCCTGGCTGATGAACGTGATCAATACCCCTGCCCTGTTTGCTTCTTCCAACAGCCCAGTGAGTGGGCTACGTGGTTCCCATCTGTGTGCAAAGTGGTTTGCTCAAGGCCACACACCTGGGACATGTCTGTAGCCCCAGGTCTAGTGCCTGCAGGCCCAGCGCCTGTCCCAGAAGGTGGCTTTGAGGAAAACTGCCTCAATCCCACCGTTGGTCCGCAGGGTGCCAAGGCTTAGCTCTGGGCCAGGCAGCTGCCCCACTACCCCCTAGAGATTTTGTCTTCTGCCTCTGCTTGTCCTGCACAGTCAACGAATTCAAGTTAATGCAACAAATCTTTTGGAGTAGAACAAAATATAATCCAATACCACTTAAAAAAGACAAGCCAGCCAGAATGGGACAGAGCCAGGCGCAGCATGGGAGGCAGACTAAGGAGCCCCTCAGTAGCAGGTGCCGGGCCGAGGGGCCTGGCCGCCACACCACACGTGGGAGCAAGGCTGTGCTGGGATGTCCGGGGAGGTCGTGCTTGCTCGCCCTGTGGCTCTAGTCACTGGGTCCCTTACCAGCAGGCTCACATTCCAGAGAGACCTGGCACAGTGAAGGGCTCAGAACCAGATCACAGGTCAGGGTCAACCTGACCTAGGCCATGGGGGACTGAGAACAAGGTGCCAGGTTTTGGCTTAACTCAATCAGACCTTCCTGCCACGGGGCTCTGCACCCTTGGCATGGGTGAGGGCTTCCTGTTGGGGTGTTTAGGGGATTGGGGTGGCTACTGAGTCCCTTCACCTGTGAGGTTCTTCATCCATGAAATGAACTGACAGAGGCTGGCCGGAAGCCCTGGGAGCGGAGCAACTCGGTGGAGAAGCCTGTGTCCTCGATTCTGTCCAGGTGAGCTGCCCCAGGAAGGCCTGAGCAGCGAGGCTGGTGGGGCAGAGGCGGGCGCTGGCGCCGATTCACATGTCTGTTTCATTCCATTGCCGTAGAACCCCGTCTGTGGCAAAGAGCCCCGAAGCTAAGAGCCCCCTTCAGTCGCAGCCTCACTCTAGGTACCGAACAACCCTCCTGCTCACATGTCCCCCAGGGTTTGGGGCTCCTCTGTCCCCCGTCCCGTGACTAACACCCTTGCACGCTGTCTCACGTCCTGGCATTTAACAACTTGCTCTGCGAAGGTGGTCTGTTCTTTCAGACCCAGGACCTCGGGGTCCTGTCAGTCAGCTGCTCCGTCTTTTCCCTCTGAGAGAGAGACCAAGGGCAAGGAGGGCAGTGACCTGTCCACAGAGGTAGTGCAGGGGGGGGCCAACATGGAGTCCCAGCTCTGGACTCACTACGTGTGACAGTGGGCAAGTTAGGGGACCTCTCCAAGCCTCTGTTTTCCCCCCACAAAGTGAGGTCTGTTAACCCCTGCTGCACAGGGTGGTGGTGGGGACAGCTGTGAGCAACAGCTGGACATGGGGTGTGGTCACTAGCCAGGGCTGCACCCTACAGTTCAACCAGTCCTAGCACTGGCGCTGAGCCCTACCCCTTTCCTCCAGCCCAGAGTCCTTCCTCTGCGGCCGGCACACAGAATCAGTTTCCCCACAGACATACTGACCATATTTCCCAAGCCAAAAGCTGGCATGACAACATGATAGAATATTTGGAACTGAGATTGCCCAAAAAGGCAGAGGCAGCCAGCCACATAGTATCTGGAGGTACATGTGGCCTGAATTGGAAGGCCTCTAGAACCTGCGTCAAGAATGTCTCCATCGCCACCACAAATTGAAGGGAAACCACCCTTATCACAGAGCAGGAGGCATTGAAACTGGCCTTGCAGAGCTGAACAGGTGGTGAGAGCAGAGCAGTGCAGGTGGACAGAGATGAGGAAGTCTTAGCAGTCAGCTGGGGTTTGTCCAAGGCTTGTGGTCAGCCAGGCCGTGTGCTGGGGACAGTCCCTGCCTGCAAAGAGCACCGTGTGAACAAGGCCACTGTGGTCCTGAGGGGTGCTCTGGACAGGGTGCAGGGCCACATGGTGGAAGGGACAGGGTGCTTTGCGGAGTGGGGTGGGGCAAGCCTCTGTCGGGAGCTGGCATTTTCGTTGACCCGGACGAGGAGGAGTCTGCTCTGCGGAGATCATGGGGACAGCCTCCCAAGCTGAAGGAAGGGTAAGTGCCAGGGCCCTGAGCCTGCAGCCACCCGCCAAGCTCCCCCGCACCTCCACCTGGAAGCAGACAGGCCATGGGGCAGGGGAACGGGAAGGGTGAGGAAGAGGGTGTGGGGGAGCGCGGAGTTAGAAGTTTGCATTGTGTTCATGCGCAGGGCCCAGTCATGGAACTTGAGGCACAGGGTGCCATGGTGGAGGCTGGGAAGGGGAAGGCAACCAGAGTGGGCAAAACGAGGGCCCTGGAGCAGACACGGCAGCAAGGGGAGCCTGCAGCGCTCCCAGCGGACTCCGCCACGTCCTGCTGGTGGAGCAAAGGCGGGCTGCCATGTTGTGAGTGGCCAAGGGTCGCTCACTGGGCAGGAACATTGTCAAGGCCATTCATGCTTGGAATAGGGTCTCTCTTCAGCTCTGAGGCAAATCTGTTCTCTAATTTTCAGATGACTTCAAGGGGAACGTGTACCACCACCCCTCTGGTGCGTCACATTGCTTAGGAAGCCTGCTGTGTTTATCACTGGGTGGCTGTCAGGGCTGAGATGGAGAGGGCCAGGGCCTGGCGAGGTGGAGCAGTCGGCCCAGGTGTCCCAGCAATTGTTGCTGGAACAGGGTCTGGAACCCACAGGAGAGGCCTGAAGGACCCAGGGCCCTCTGGCTGGATGCGTTTGCCTATCAGGACCCAGAATTACTTACAGACCTGTTTAGGGCTAGGCTTGGCCTCTTTCTTGAGCTCATCTGGAGGGGTGTGGCAACACTCATTCTTCATCCTTATTCTCCCTGGCTGTGGGCAACACTGGTCCTCAGTGTCACCAGATGGTCCTCCTCTGTGCCCATGACCCCTCAGCAGCCAAGGCTGGCCCTGCCAGATAAATGTGTGTGCCCATGATCACACCCAGGGGCACAGGCCACATACGTTTCCCTGAAACCTTGGGCTCCAGCCTCCATCCCGTCCATGTGGGAGGGAACTTGGGTCCCAGCAGTGTGTCTTTCAGCACCAAGTCATGTTTAAAAGACCAGAGAGACAAGCATTTTGCCAAGATCTTCCAGGGAAGATGCATGTGTGACACATTAACATTCAAATCAGGCCAGCGCGGTGCTCATGCCTGTCATCCCAGCACTTTGGGAGGCCGAGGCGGGAGGATCACTTGAGCCCAGGACTTGGAGACCAGTCTGGGCAACACAGTGAGACCCCATCTCTACAAAAAGTTAAAAAAGAAAAAAAAAAGGGCACATGTCTGTAGTCCCAGCTACTCGGGAGGCTCACTTGAGCCTGGGAGGTTGAGGCTGCAGTGAGGCATGATACGCCTCTGTACTCCAGCCTGGTTGACAGAGTGAGACCCTGTCTCAAATAAGTAAAAATAAAATTCAAATCGGTTACCTTAGTTTGGAAACTTTTCAAAGAAGTAGTCCACGAGAACTACCTTGAAAGAGCAAAACCAGCCAGGTGCAGGGGCTCACGCCCATAATCCCAGCACTCTGGGAGGCCCAGGTGGGTGGATCTCGTGAGGTCAGGAGTTCAAGACCAGCTTGGCCAACATGGTGAAACCCCATCTCTGCTGAAAATACAAAAGTTAGCTGAAAATACAAAAGTGGCACATGCCTGTAATGCCAGCTACTGGGGAGGCTGAGGTAGGAGAATTGCTTGAACCTGGGAGGCAGAGGTTGCAGTGAGCCAAGATTGCGCCATTGCACTCCAATCTGGGGAACAAGAGCAAAACTCTGTCTGAAAAAAAAAAAGCGACACCACATGGGAGGATGTTTCTTGGGGGAGGTGTGCTATGCCCGAGCAGGCTCCAGCACCAGGGGCGCTGGTGTGTCAGGAGCGCGCCTCCAGGCCGGTGTGAACTCTGCAACTTCACATTGTGCCTCCTGCCGCCGCTGCTGCTTCCCCGAGCCCCAAGCTCAACCTGGAGCATGAGCTCCCACCCTGAGGAGGAGGCTGTCAATACTGTGTTTCTTTCCAGGGAGGCAACGGGTGGGTGCGATGTTGTCACTTAAGTTGCCACCTCTGCATAAGAGCTCTCTGATCAGAAAGCAGTTTCTTTGTTGACCCCAGCCAGCCTTGGCTCTCGGGTTGGGAAATACAGTCACGGTATCCATGGAGACCTCTTGAGGTGGAGACGGGCGTTAAATCCTTCTCAGGCAGTCTGAGGTGGCCAGAGTCTGAAGCAAGCAGCCTCTATGGAGCGAGGGGAGCAGGTGGGCCCAGCCTGAGCGGGGCCTCTGCACAGCCAGCTTTCCCCCACACCTGTCTCCAGCCAGGGCACCCACAGGCCCTTTCTCTCCCAGGATGAAGCCTGCTGGGAGCGTGAATGACATGGCCCTGGATGCCTTCGACTTGGACCGGATGAAGCAGGTGAGCATGCCCTGTGCCCTTCCCTCAAGAGGCTGAGGGCAGCCAGCAGGCGGGGGACCGTCTCTGACCAGCATGGCCAGGCAGGCCCTGGGGGCCCACATGTAGCTGCCAAAAGGCCAGTCAGGGAGCAGCCACGGCAGAAAGGGGGTGCCCAAGCCTGTCCTTTGTCCCCAGCCCCTGCCATCACCAGAACTAGGATGTCCCTCAACCTTTCTGGGCACCTCCCTCAGGCCTGCCTCTGGGGCTTTCTGCCCCGAGGAAGCCCTTAGTTTCAGTGGCGTCTACCTGAGGGAGGTGGCAGCAGGATTTTCCCAGGCCTCCCATGCCGTCCCCCCTCAGCGTGGGAAGGGGGCCACGAGGAGACAAGGGTGACAGATGCAACTCTGGAGAGGCCCAGGAGACCCCAAGCCCTTTGGACATGGCCCAGCCCAGGCCGGCTTTTCCGTCTCCACTGCCTGTCCCTTCACCTGGACACTCCTCTCCCAACAGGAGATCCTAGAGGAGGTGGTGAGAGAGCTCCACAAGGTGAAGGAGGAGATCATCGACGGTGAGTGCAGCCCCACCGGGGAGGGTGGCACCCAGGTGTGGCCGCAGGACAAGGGTCCCTGTCACCCAGGCTGGGGGCCTCCAGTTTTGAGCTGGAGCCCATACTGCACTGGGCCCTGTGAGAGATTTCATTCTTACCATCTCTAGTTGAGGAAACAGGCTCAGGAAAGCTGAAAGCTAAGTGGCTTGCCTAAGAATTTGTAGCTCCCTGGTAGCATGACACCCGAATCTGACCTTCCACATCCCCGGCACCTTCCTGGAAGACCCACGTGGGAAGAGCATGGAGGGGAGACCCCAGCATCGTTCCAGAGCCAGGTCTGGAGGAGCCACCTGAGCTGCTGTCATTCCACCCCCTGGCGGTTTATACTGCCTTCTTGATACTGCCACCTCCAGTCACTGGTGTTGGGCTTCTGAGGTGACCACTCTGCCTTCCTGGGGGTACAGGAAGACCAAGGTCTACAGAAGCACCTTCCAGGCTTGAGCTCGTTCACAGCCTGCCTGGCCCTGGGCTGGGGAACAGGCAGGGAGCAGCCTCTGGCTCCAGAGCAGGGTGGGTCTCAATGCATCACATCCGTCCTTCCGGTTCCCAGCAGAGCCTTTGAATGCTCTGCCTCAGATCTGCAGCCAGAGGAAAAGGGGGAGTGGGCAGGGCAGACTCAGTCTAGGGACGAGCTATGCAGCACAGCCAGTGCCAGCTCCCCACGTGCCTCCCCAACCAGGGTGATAAAGGCTGACACCTGGGTGTGTAGCTGGGTCTGGCCCCCAGGGCATCACAGTGACCGGGGCAAAAGGGTCCCACAAGCGCACAGGGGTGGAGGCTGATGGCAGAGGGAAGAGGCAGGTGGGAGCCCAAAGACCCAGGCCTCCTCCCCCAGCCGGCCCACCCTTGTTTGAGCAGAGAGCACTCAGTTCCTGTTTGTCCAGTTCCCCCAAAGGCCTGGGCTGGGGAGATAAGGAGTTAACAAATGAGGGGAATGAGGCAGCCTGGGCGATAGGCAGGCACTCAGCCAACTGGTCACACCGCCTTACTGCTGGGTGCCGTCTGGCCCCAGGCATAGCTGGGTCAGAAACCCAGGGCCCACCACAGCCTCTCCACCTGCTGTGGGTGCAGCCCCAGGTGGAACCCACCCTGGCTGAGAGCCCGGGGGTAGGCATGGGCCATACCAGGGGCTCTGAGAAGCAGCTCCCATCCCCCAGCCCCCACAACCTTCTCCTGGCTGTTGGCTCTTGGCCCAGCAAGGTCCATCCAGAGAGAGGCCTGAGTTGACATAGAGGAGGGGGAGTCCGGGAGGGGATGGATACCAGAGGAAGGAGGGAAAGGCCCAAATTTGGGAGGCCGGGGGTTGGAGCACTAGCTTGGGGTGATGAGGAAGCTGGGGGGAGGCAAGAGAGGACCCTGCCTCTCCTGAGGAGTGAGCAGAGCCAGGGCAGTCCCTGGGGTCCAGGGCCAAGATTTCCTGCTGACCCCTGCAGGAGCTGGGAGGGCAGAGCCTCAGCCTCCACTATGTTGGGGGAAGGGCTCCCGGGCCCCCGGCACCTGGACACCCACCTGTCCAGAGCCTACAGAGACCCTGCGTCCCCACACAGCAGCTCCTCACACCAGAGTTCTGGTGCCCAGCACTCCTCAGCAGCAGTGAGGCCACAGGCAGGGCACAGGCCTCTGTCCCTACGCCAGGTCCTCCCCTAAAAGGGCAGTGGCAGCAGGGGCCGCCGCAGAAGGAATGGCAGATGAGACCCAAAGCCTTTGGTCATCACCCCAGAGGTCTATGCCAAAGCCTGGGTGGGGCTCCCAGGAGATGGAACAGGGACACATACCAGGCAGGTCCACGCCAGGGGTGCGGGGCCCTGATGAGGAACCGGGCTGCACTGGTCATGGCTGCACCTGAGCCGCCGCCACCTGTCCCGCAGCCATCAGGCAGGAGCTGAGTGGGATCAGCACCACGTAAGGGGCCGGCCTCGCTGCGCTGATTCGTCGAGCCCATCCGGCGACAGAGGACAGCCAGAAGCCCAGCCAGCCCCAGACTCCAGTGCACCAGAGCACGCACAGGAGCCTGGGCGCGCTGCTGTGAAACGTCCTGACCTGTGATCACACATGACAGTGAGGAAACCAAGTGCAACTCCTGGGTTTTTTTAGATTCTGCCTGACACGGAACACCAGGTCTGCTCGTCTTTTTTGTGTTTTATATTTGCTTATTTAAGGTACATTTCTTTGGGTTTCTAGAGACGCCCCTAAGTCACCTGCTTCATTAGACGGTTTCCAGGTTTTCTCCCAGGTGACGCTGTTAGCGCCTCAGCTGGCGGTGACAGCCGGCCCAGCGTGGCGCCACCACACACCGCAGAGCTGTCCAGGCACAGCTCCGTCCCCAGCGCTCATGGTGTTGAAACTGTCTGTCATGCACCACGGTGTCTGTGTCCACACAGTAATAAACGGTTTACTGTCCGCACCCTCGGGCTCAGGCCCTCGCATTGGTCCATCACGCTCCGGGCTGGGGATGCCCCTTTTCAGAGAAGGGCCCGGGACCACGGTGACCAGGAGTCGTAGGAGCAAGATGGCGGTCTTCGACAGGAAGCTGGGCTCAGAACATTCCCAAGCCCCGGGAAGGTGGGGTGGTGTCCTGGGGCTGGGCCTCAGGTCCTGCCTGTAGGGAACTCCCTACGGGATCTCCAGGAAGATGGTCCCTCAAGTGCAACCCACACCCCCGAACCTCAGAGGACTCCACGTGCATTCTGACGGGCAGGGCCCTGCGAGCGTCCTGTTCAGGGGAGGGATGGACTTGGGGCTTAGCAGGCACCAGGCAAATGCAAGGCAGCTTTGCCTTCTCCTCGGCCCCACAAAGTCTCCTGGGAGGACCACCTGGCCTGCAATGGGCTGTCCCAGGCCCCTGCCCTGAGGCAGCAGCCAGAGACAGAGGTTCTGACCCTCAGCTTCAAGGAACCAGGGCCACCAACAGGCAGGCCTTGAGATCCTGTGACCACTCATGCCCCCAGTTCTCCCACATGACCTCCTGCAGCCACAGAGCAGTGTGCCCAGCAGCCCCCAAGGGCCATGGCAGGGGAGGGAGCCGGCACTGCCTGCTGGGACCCAGTGGCTGATCTCAAGGGCCGGCTCCTAGCACACTGCACGTTGTTGGGCTTCCCGGCAGCCCTAGCAACAGGAATATGACTGCTCTGCCCCTTAGGAGGCTCCACTCTCTGAGTGGCTTCGCCTAGGCTTCACCTAGGTCTGGTGGCACTTTTAACCCAGGGCCTGCAGACCACAGCTCAGAGCTGCTCTCTCCCGCTTCCCTGCCGCCCCCCAGGCCAGGAGGGCTCCCCCCAAGGCCAGGAGTCTCCCCAGGAGCGCTCAAAGGACTGTCTGTCTTCGGAGCCACCCTCTGACCCTGGGCCTGGCCTTCAGTTTGTGGGTGAGGCCTGGACATGCCCCTTTGCGCTGTCTGCAGAAAAGTGTGCTGAACGAGGCACCCCCTCAGGCACAGCAGGAGGAGCGGGTGCTCTGGGTTCCCCTCAGCCTGTGGGCGGGCCTGTGTGCACAGGGAGGGGCCGCCCGGCTCAAAGTCCTGGTGCCGGGGCCAGCAGCACTTCCTTTGCAGAACAAGTCCTGGGCTCAGGCCTCTTCCCTGCGCCACTCAGCAGGCTGCCCACTCGGACATGGGAGGCCGGCGCTGTGCGGGGCCACTCCCAGGTATAGGGGGAGACCTGCATCTCCCAGGTCAGCAGGGACAGCCCCTGGCACCCCACTCATGGAGAGGCCTTCAAGCCCTGACTGTAGCCTCAGTCTCCATTCCTAAGTCCTGGAGGCTGAGGCCGCCTTCCCCAAGGCAGTGGTGGGAGCTGCATCCACTGCTGGATTGCAGTGGGCCCGCTCCATCCCTCTCTGGCAGGGAGGGCCTCCTCGCTCAGGCACCCCTCCTGCTGCCTGCCCACCTCTGGGACATCAGGACCCAACCCAGCCCTGCCCTCCAGGAGAAGACAACCTCCTAGGTCGCAGCTGCACCCTCAGCCCTTCTGTAGAAAGGACCGACACGTCTCACGTCACGCACACTCCCAGGACGCTGCCCGACCCGCATCCCATCTGAGCTGTGGCTCACCAGGACAGTCACCTGCCCGGCCAGCCCCCGGGCTTGGGTGCCAGATCTGGGCAGAGCTCCTCCAGCCCCTCCTCCGAGCTGGTGTGGGGGATAGACCCTCTCTGGGCTCAGGGACGCTCCCTGCCGCGGGAGGGCATACAGAGAGCAGGAGGTGAGCAGGCCCAAGGGGTGGGGGCAAGGCAGGTGGTGTGGGCTCAGGGGGATGGGGGAGCCAGCCTCTGCGTGGCTCAGCCAGGCAAGGGAGCCGTGGGATCCCCGGGCTGCTAGGAGGGATTTGGAGCCACACAGATGACCAAAGTGAGCTTTCTGCTGTCCACACCTCAGTGTGTGTGCACACCACAGTGGCAGGCCCTGAGGGAGCACTGCCAGCAGCAGCCACCGTCCCACAAAGAGCCAGGAGTGCATGGCAGGACCTGGGCCTGGCCTGGACGAAGCGGCACTCAGGCCTCAAGCTCCACTCATCGGGGCGGCCCAGCGCCCCATTCCCTGGGGCCAGGCTCAAGCCCAGACCACCCCCTCAGAAGCACAATCCATGGGCTGTGAAACAAACGCCGGGTTTAATGTAGGGCACAGGCACCCCGGAGAAGTCAGCTCCGTGGGAACCGTGGGCTCAGAGCACCCAGGTCATGGTGGGGCAGGGCCAGGCCTCACCTGGGGAGGCCCAGAAAGGGAGGGCCACACTCAAGGTCCAGGGCAAGTCCACGTGCAGACGGAGCCCTGCAGCCCACACTGCTGTTGCCAGGTGTGGCTGCGCGGGACACTCCTCGGGGACAAGGGCAGCAGTCCAGAGCACAGGAAGGAAATGTAGCTTCTCAGTGCTGGGGTGCAAGGCTGAGGGGCCGATGGGGGACAATGGCCACCACCAGGAGGCAGCCCGGGCTCACAGACCATCTTTTGCCAGCCTGTACACCCGCTTCACCCTGGCATAGGGCCCCAGGGAGTCCTCAAACACAAAATCCCAGAGCACCTTCACCCAGGAGTGGTGCTGCGGCAGGTGGTCGTAGTACTCGGGCGCGATCTTCCGCACCTGTAGAGAGGAGGGCGGGGCTCAGGGGCTGGTTCTCCTCGGGGCCGCACCCGCGAGCACACACGCAGACACCTGAGCACACGCGGTGGGCATGCACATGCATATTCATGTACGAACATGTTTGCGCGCGCGCACACCCACACACACACATGGGTGTACATAATGCAAACACACCGTCGCCTCTGGGGTGCCCATGTCCAGCTTGGCCAAACACAAGGCCACCCCTCTGGTCCTCCCTGCCAACCACCACTTCCTGGGTGCCTGGAAGCGTGGCGCTGGCTGCTGGAGGGCCTGGTGGCCTGAACTGCGCCCAGGACGCTGTGGCAGAGGCACCCACGGGCTCAGCTCAGAGCGCCTGCCCCAAGTGGTAGTTGCAGAATTCATTGCACCACTCCACTCGGCCCCGCCTTCTGACCCGGCAGACCCCACTGCTCGGGGGAGTTCTCCCGCAGCGCCTGCGCAGTGCTGAGTGCCCGCCTGAGTCCTACCAGGCCACAGTGTCACACCCATGCATCTCAGCCCTGTGATCCGCCAACCTTGGCCTCAGCCAGCCTCACTGCTTGTCATGTTCCAAGGGCCTCTTGAGCACCTGCTGTCCCCTCCAGCCTTTGCTCTACACAGACACCCCCACCAACTTCCTCCAGGAAGTGCTCCCAGCTTCAGCGCCCGCAACTGCGCCACCACCACGCCGCCCCACTGCTCAACGGCATGCAGCCTTGGCCCAGCTCCCATCACAGGGATGCCCTCCCTGCCCCCCCCCCCCAGGATGCCTTTCCTGCCCCCTCTTTGCCCTGTCACCTCCTAAGGATGCTCTCAGGACGCAGGGAGCCTGGCCGCAAAACCAGGACAGCGGGGCCAGCACCAGGCACCCAGAGCCTCTCACTTTGCTCAGGAAAGGTAAAGGCTCATGGCTCACGGCAGGCACTCTTGCCAACTTGCTCTGCCATCTCCTGAGGCGGGCACCTCTCCCCTCCGCCCCGTCACCTCCTGAGGCGGGCACCTCTCCCCCGTGCCTCTGCCTTATCTATACAACAGGGATAATGGATGAGGAGGCAGCTGCCTCCTGGGCTGTGGTGAAGTTCAAGTGAGATGGTCCCTGGTGCAGAGCACCGCCTTGGTACTGCCAGCCGGAATGGAGGGCACAGGCCACGGCCCAGGCTTGGAATTTGGTCTGATTCCAGAGTCACACGGGCCACAGTGCACACGCATACAGGGACGTGTGCACAAACACCTGCACAACCAGGTAAATACATAACCACACACAGATGCGTGTGCGCACGCCCAGGCACACATGCAAATGCCTGCGCACGTGGGCAGGCACCCACACATAATCACAGGGCAAACATGCTCACACACAGACACGTGCACACCCCGGTGCACACAGAGGCGTGCGCTCAGGCGCTCGAACACCTCCCCAGTGCCACCTCCTCCCGCCCCCTTTGCCACAGGTAACTCCAGCTCTTTCCAGGCAGCCAGAGGCTACCAAGGCACAGGCTGGCAATGGCTGAGGGACGGCTCCTCCTCCCCCTTCCCCTTCCTCCTTTCTCATTCAGAAATTCTCCAGCTCCCAGTCTCCTAAGGCAAAGATGCCCATACCCGGGGCTTCCACTCCCCATCAGCTCTGCCCAAGCCCCTTGGGCTGCGAAGGGCAAGGCCCACCCTGTCCTCTCTGGCCCCTGGAGGGTCACAGGGCAATGACAAGGAATGAGCAGGGAAAGAGCCTGCAGACGGGAAGGATGGTGCTTCCCGTGCAGTGTTGCTAATGCTGCCCCTCTTCAAGGAAGACACCCTGTCAGTATCATGGCGGCATCAAGCAGCCTGGACTGTGAAATGCCTCTCAGACCCCACCTCCCTGAATTTGCTTCAGCCTCCAGCAGAGGACTCGCCTGTGTTGTGTGGCCTTTCCTCCTGCCCTGGGGACAAGTGCAAGTGGCCATGCCATGACTAGCACAAAAAGGGAGAGGCTGCTGGGCATGGCCCAAGGCCCTTCCAGGGCCCCCACCTCCTCCGATGGCTGTGCAGCCCTGCCCCGCCGCAGCCCTGCCAGCCCAGCCACATACCAGCGGCAGGTTGTAGCCCGGGATGCTGGGGAAGTCGTGGTGCTCCACGTGGTAGCCCACATTGAAGGTGATCCAGTTGAGAGGCCCATAGTAGGAGTAGGTCTCGTGGCCCTTGAGGAACATGTAGTGCTCGGCCACGAAGTGGCCCGAGATGGGGTGCAGGCCCAGGCCCAGGAAGGAGCTGGCCAGCAGGTAGACCACGGGCTTGAGCCCCCAAAGGGCAAAGATGGCCAGGTCGGCCGCCAGCTGCACCAGCGTGTTGAGCACCTCCATGCGGGTCACGGCCTTGGGGTGGACGCAGA
Source organism: Homo sapiens (assembly GCF_000001405.40). Taxonomy (NCBI): domain Eukaryota; kingdom Metazoa; phylum Chordata; class Mammalia; order Primates; family Hominidae; genus Homo; species Homo sapiens. The sequence goes on from NC_000014.9 coordinate 100,149,270, forward strand.
GCGGCCGTAGTGAGTAGAAGAAGGGCTGCAGCACCAGCCAGAGCAGCTTGCGGGCGGGTGTGCAGAAGAACCAGCCCTCCAGACGCGTGGGCACGTCCACGTCCAGCCCGTCGCCGCCCAGGTAGCGGTGGTGGTCCACGTGGTACTTCTTGAAGGAGGCGGCGTAGGGCACACCCACGGGCAGGTTGGCGAACACGGCCAGCCAGCGGTTGCGTGCCGCACGGCCCGTGCCGAAGGCCGCGTTGTGCGAGATGTCGTGGATGGCCAGCGTCAGCGAGTGGTTCACGCAGCCACCAAAGGCGTAGGCCCAGAACAGCAGCCAGCGCCAGGCCAGCCCGCGCACCAGCCAGCAGGCCAGCATCTGCACCAGCACCAGCACCAGCACCGCCCACTTGAGGCGCGGGTCTGGCCGCATCAGGGCCTTGATGGCCGGGTACTTGGCTGCAAGGAAGACAGGGAGGTATGAGGCCCCGCTCGGTGGGGCTGCACCCCGCCCTCCTCCGCTCCCACTGCAGTGGCCGAGGGGTGAGAAGGTGGGAGTGGCCAGCAAACCTCGCTGGTCCCTTTGCCCCTGCACACAGGCCCTGTCCCTCGAGGGCCCGCTGGCCCCCACCCTGGCCGAGCCTCATCCCACCAGACTCAGAGGGCAGGACTCCAGCAGGGGCACATGTGGCCCACGCTGGCAGATGGGCCCTGCTGCTCCCCGAGCCAGGCCTCATCCCAGCTTGTTCCCACCCAGCAGGTCTGGGCCAGCGAAGACGATTCAGAGGCTGTGCCTTGATGCCGTCTGTGTACTCAAGCACACGGGGAGCCTCAGCCAGGAGGTGGGGACCCAGCGCCCGCAGCAAAGTGGTCCCAGGCAGGGAAGCAATGTCTCCTGTCAGGCAGGGCAAGGAGGACCTGCTGGCAGCTCCCACTCAGGAAGGCTCTGGCCCAGGCGCAGGGCCAAGGAAGTCGCATGCAAAGTCCCCTTTGTGTGTCTGTATGTAGGCTGAGACCGCAGGTCCGAAGGCACCACTGCCCACTGCCTCCCTCTTACCCAGGGACGCCCCTGCCCCCAGGGCAGTAGCCAATCCGCCTGGGGGCCGGCCAGCTCCAGCCCCACTCCCACCCCAACACCCCCCCCCGCCCCGCCCCCATTCCACAGGCAACCAGCCGCTGCTTCCCCTTGGAAAGAGACCAAACCTTGGGGCAAGAGGGAGGGGCAGGCCACACCTGTGCCAGGTGAGCCACAAGCAGGCAGCTCTGGGGAGGGCCAGCCCAGGCCTCCAGCTTTTGGGTGCAGGCAAGCATCAGCCACTTCTGCACCCCTCAGAGGTGAGAGCCATGACAGAGCCTGGCAGCCCTGACCTTGGAGAATGGGCCTCACTTTCCCCATCTGCTGAACAAAGATGCTAAGTTCTGCCTACATGGTGCGCCCTCAGGGTCCCTCCCTGTGCCCTGTGCAGCCGCCTTTCAGGGAGCCCCGTGCCCTTCCCGCTTTCCTCAGCACCTCCTAGGACTCAGCTGCCCCTCCAAGCCCCAGCCTTCCCTCAGGGGCCCCACTGTGGACCACTGGAGAGAGGAGAAACCTGCACACAGAAGGACAGCAGCGCCCACCCTACCAGCCCCTCACCCGGCCCCAGCTATGGGCTGGTCCTATCTCCCATGGGTGTGCTGGGGCCTCCGGAGCCACTGGGACCCCAGAAACAGGCACTGGGCTGGCCCATCCAACAGGCATGCCCCTAAGTCCCCTCTGAGTGGACTCTGGGCTGTTTCCAGTGTGGCACATCTGGCAAGAGGCCTAGTGCAGGCGGGTCCCAACAAGCCTCAGGGGCCCAACCCCAGCCATCACCTGGCCAATAGCAGGGGCCCACCAGCCTGCGTCTTCCCATCTGGGAAATGGGGACGCCATTCCTCTATGCCCGTCAGGCTGTGGAGTGGCCAGCACATTAGTCTGAGCCCTGGGGGTGCCAGCACTCAGTAGGCACAAGCTGGTACTATTGTCATTAAAGGAAGTGCTCTGATCTAAGAGGAAAAGCTGGTCTTGGGGCGATGGCCTGGCCCTGGCTTGTTTCAACAAGAGCAGGCCCAAAGCTTGCAGGCTTGGGAGCCACCAACTGGAAGTAACTAAAAACTGAGCAGTGCACGAGGCAGCTGAGCATGGGCAGCACAGGGCGCGACTCAAGGAGGGAACAGATGCAGGGAGCCCCAGGTCACCTCACCTGCCTGCAGGCACCTGCTGGACTGCAGCACGTGGCTGAGGGACCCCCAAGGAGCTGAACGAGCAGAGAATGGCACTCAGGGAGCCCGAGACACCCACACTGCAGGTACAGGGGGCTCCTGCCAAAGGCCTGAGGCCCAGAGAAGCTTTGCTGGAGCAGGAGCTCCATGACAGTTCTGAAAACAGCAGCTGCTGGAGCTTTGCACCCAAGGAGTTCCAGAGGTGGCACAGGCTGGGAGTCCCAACCCACTGGGCAGAAAGGCCTCACTGAACACCCCAGCCTCCAGTGGGCCCCCCGGAAGCCCTGTCTTAGGAGTGGGTCTACTCTGCACCCACCCAAGGTCAGTTGACTGACTCCTTGACAGGAGAAAACAACCCACGCTTTTTGCAAAGATTGCAAAGATCTACCATCTTCAGCTCCAGAGCGCCCAGGTCCCTGGGGGAGTGGGAGTGGGGACGTGCCAGGAACACTCGGGACCACGCCATGCAGACTGGATGTGCAGGAGAGGGTCGTGGCTGAGGTCACCCTGGGTACGGTCAGGATGGAGTAGTAACTGAAGCCAGGGCTTGGAGGTGGTCAGCTGCCAGGGGTCACAGAGGTTCAGGGACAAGAAGAGAGAGCAGGTGTCCCTCGACTTAGCCAGGTCATGGTGTCTCAGCAGGAGCCATTCCGGCACAGCCCGAGGCAAGGCGAGGGTGAGATGAGGTAGCGAGGGTGGGTCTGCCTAGGGCATGGGGCAGGGAGGGCAACAGGGAGGCACCAGAGGACGGCAGGATGGGAAGGAGATGCCAGGGTGGGCGTCATGGAGATGCCAGGGTGGGCGTCATGGAGATGCCAGGGTGGGCATCATGGAGAAGGCAAGGGTCACTGGAGCTGGGTGCCAAGGGGACTCAGGAACTCCTCGAGAGCTATGGAGCATTATTTCTGGGTGTCTGTCAAGGTGTTTCCAGACTGGCAGAGGGTAAGTGGACTGAGTGAGGAAGGCCCGCCCACAATGTGGGCCAGCACCATCCAATCAGCTAGGGCCCCGATAGAACAAAAAGGCAGAGACAAGGGTCTCCCTCCTGTCTTTCCCTCCCTCTCTCCTCCCATCCTTCTCTACTTCTCCCACCACTTCCCTCTCTTGGAGCTGCAACACACACTTCTCTAGTCCTTGGATATCAAAACTCCAGCCTTTGGACTCCAGGAACTACACCAGCACCCTCCACCCTCCGCCTGCTTTCAGGCCTTCAATATCATACTGAGGGTTCCACCGTCGAGTTCCCTGGTTCTGAGGCCCTCAGACTCAGACTGAACCACGCTACCCCTACTGCCACCCCTGGGTCTCCAGCTTGCAGACAGTCTGTCATGGGACTTTACAGCCTCCATAATCACATGAGCCAATTCCCCTAATAAATCCCCTCTTCGAATGGATGGATGGATGGATGGAAGGAAAGAAGGAAGGGAGGGAGGGAGGGAAAGGGAAGGAAGGAAGATAGGAAGATAGATCGATATATCGATTGATCCAGGCATGGTGGCTTACATTGTAATCTCAGCACTTTGGGAGGCTGAGGCAGGAGGTTTCCTTGAGCCCAGGAGGTCAGGATCAGCCTGGGCAATATAGCAAGGCCTTATTATGCAAAAAGTTTAAAAATCAGCCAGGTGTGGTGGTGTGTGCCTGTGGTCCCAGCTACTTGGGAGGCTGAGGTGGGAAGATCGCTTGAGCCCAGGAGTTCGGGGCTGCAGTGAGCCGCAATTGCACCACTGCACTCCAGCCTGGGCGACAGTAATGGCAAAAACAGATAGATAGATAGATAGATAGATAGATAGATAGATAGATAGATAGATAGATAATAGATGTGAGAGATAGATACATAGATCCTATCAGTTCTGTCTCTCTGGAGAACACTAATACAGGGCCTCTTCCAGGGCCTCAAAGAAAGGGGGACAGGGAGAATGGGTGGGGCTGGGGAGTGGGAGTCAATGGGTTCCATGGCCTTGGGCCCCATCTTCTCTGGGCCACAAGAGAGGGGGAAAGCCCAAGGCAGAGAAGGACAGGGAGAGACACAGCTCCCTGGCAGCCCCATGAGGAATTGCAGGCCTGCATGGGCTCTGGCTAGACACCCAAACCTGGCCCAGCCTGGGAACTCTGTCCTGCTGTGGGCACTCAGCTGACCTCAGGTGTGACTCTGCCCTTCCACACCTCCAGCCTGGATGGCAGGAGTAGCTGGGAGACACATGTGCCTTGAGGGCTCTCTGCTCCGTGGGGCAGCACAGAGCCCGACGTGCACAGCCACCTGGAACCAAGATACACAGACCCACACAGACGGTTTCCAGCAGCGGCCCCAGGTGAGGCACAAGGCATCTGGGCAGGTGGCCATGAACAACAGCTGTTGCTAGAAGTCACCCTGTCCAGGCAGGACTCAGGAAGGGTCTGAGGTCAAGGGAGGTGCAAAGAAGGGCCCACCAAGGTGCAACAAGGCTGACCGAGCCAAGACTTGAACTCAGGACCCCCGACTCCAGGCCTGCACAATGGTGAGCAAGGCCCCGATGTGGACTCAGACTCCATCAGCACCGATCTAGTGCTTGGCTACACTGCCACAGAGCACCCAGAGAAAATTCTGGATCAGATCTGGGCGCAGTGGCTCACACCTGTAATCCCAGCACTTTGGGAGGCTGAGACGGGCAGATCACTTGAGGTCAGGAGTTCAAAACCAGCCTGGCCAACATGGTGAAACCCCGTCTCTACTAAAAATACAAAAATCAGCTGGACAAGGTGGCGTGCGCCTGTAGTTCCAGCTACTTAGGAGGCTGAGGCAGGAGAATTGCTTGAACCTGGGAGGCAGAGGTTGCAGTGAGCCAAAATCACACCACTGGACTCCAGCCTGGCAACAAAGCGTCTCAAAAAAAAAAAAAAAAAGAAAGAAAAAATCATGGATCAGGCTCAGTCAGACTCCTGTGTGCCCTTGGGCAAGCCCCTGTCCCTCTCTGGACCTGTCTCCTCAGTCTCCATCTGTAAGGCATCTGCTCTGACAGCCTCTGTGGCTGGGAGCCCATGGAGGTGGGGTCTTCCCTAGGGGCCTATGGAGAAGAAGGGGCAGCAGATGCCAAGGTGTGAAACGTCTGCACACTTATACCAGTTAGCAGGCTCACTCATAAAATGCCAGAGGGCAGAGCCAGAGGCAGGGCCTGCTGAAGGGAGGCCAGCCCAAAGCCCCCTGCACCCACAGGACAGTTGCATCACCCTGGTGCGACTCTGATGGGTTACAGCCTTTGCCCAGAAATGCTCCTGACAAATCTGCTGAGCCATTGAGCAGAGGGACCGCATCAGAAACAGGCAGCCAGGCCAGAGAGGCTGCTGTACCCTTGCCTCCAAGAGTAGCAGAGACAGGGCCCCCCCACGCCACACCCCTACTCCCAGTCACAGGCCACTCCACCCCTGCCCCTCCTGACTAGCTGGCAATAAAGTCACTTTTGTCTTGTCCCCAGCAGGGCTCCCAAAAGCAAAGGGGCCTCTTATCTCTTCCACACTGGGCCCCAGTGAGCCCCCAAGCCCTGGCTCTGGCAACATCTAGGGAGACCTGCTGTATCACCTTCCCAGGGAGGCCAAATGCCATCATATGACAGTCACTCACTGGCCACATGGGAGGTGCCCGTCACTGCCCATCATCCCTCCAACATTCCACCTCTGCCGCCACCTGCTTCCCAGCTCCCTGTTCCACCACAAACCTGCTCAGGGTTGACGATGCCACCTGGTGGCCACAGCAGGAAATGCTTCCATACAACGTGGCCTCTTCCCCACCCATCCACAGCTGAGTAACCTGACCTGGGACAAGCTTCTCCTCACAAAGGCAGCAAAGCCCTCCTAATCCCCTCCTTCCTAAACTTCTTCCTCCCAGCCCTGGCCTAATGCTCTGGGAAGCCACCTACCCACAGCTTCCATCCCTGCCACCTGAGGTTTTGTGCCAAGAGACAAGCCTGACCCTGTCCAGTGTGGGAGGCACCCTGGGACCTAGTTGGATCTGGAAAGTGTGGCAAGTGTCCAGCTTCTCACCAGCCGCTCACTAAACCTGCCTTTCATTTCCAGTGACAAATATATACTGAAGATCTGGGAGCAGCCAGGCCCCCGTACGTTACAGAGATGGGTTTACCCTGCAGCCGGGCAGCTCTGTGGCTGGGAGATGGAGCCCCAGGATCCCCTTGTGGCTCTGGCAGTTTGGTCCTGGATTTTACCAGTTACCACTGACAGAGCCTCAGCCCCGGCCTTTCTGAAGCAAATAATCCAGCAACAGCCAGCAGTTTCGCTTCCGGGATTTCCTCTTTTGTTTTTCTTTATTTGAATTTTTGTATTACCATGTGTGCCCTGCTTTCATAATTTAAAAACAAACAAAATTACAAAGCTATTCATTTTCAAAAAAAAAACAAACCCAGAGCTTGCCTCTTACTCCACCGGCCACGCCTGGCTGGGTCTCTGATGGGGCCAGTCTCGCTGGCTCCGGTCCTGCCCTTTCAGGTCAGGGAGCCTCAGCCCTGGCCTAGGAGACCCCACTTTCTTAGGAAGTTATGTTCTAGGGAGCATGTCCCCCTCCCCGGCAGGAGCTGGAGATGGACTTTGGCCCCAACCCACAGAGCTCCTGGAGCCAGCTCTTTGCAAGGACTTCCTGGATTCTGACTGTCAGATTATGATCTTTATTGAACATCCCTGGGCACCCAGGAGCTTGGCATAGGCTGCAGGAGCCAGCTGGGTGGGGCAGGAGGCTGCCTGAGCACCAGCCTGGCCTGTGTGTTCCCCGGCAAGTTGCTTCCCCTCTCTCAGCCTCACTCCTGCCTCTTCTATAAAGAGATGCTGGCAGTTACACAGAGCATTTCTCCAAGGCCTGGGAATAGCATAGGCATGGAGGAAGCAGAGAGTATTCCCTGTCCTTAGGGAAACGACAGCCCTTGCCAGGTCTCTGAGACATTAATCATTATCATCGCAGCTGATACTCATCGAGTCCTGGAATAAGCACTTTACATATCACCTCGTTTAATCTGCACAGCAGCCCCATTAGGAAGGTATGATTTATTAACCCCTTTTCATTTGCCCAGGCCCCAACTCCTTCATCTGTTTACAGACTCACCCGTGGCTAATAAGTGGGTGTCAGGGTCCTTGCCAGGGGTTCAGCTCCACAGCCAAGCTCTTGAACTGTGCCCCAAAGAGCCCAGAGCCCAGAGGGCTTGGAGCCATGGAGGGGAACCCAGAGGAGGGGTCCCCATCCAGCTGGGCCAGGTCTGGGAGCAGTGGAGGGGCTTTCTGCAGGAGGTGGGACTGAACTGAGCGAGCAAGGCTAAGCAAGACAGAGCCTGGCAGAGCAGGGAGGAGGGACATTCACCTGGGGGAACAGCTTGTGCCGGGGAGGGAGGGAATGGCACATTCCAAATTTATTAGCTGAAAACAACAGGTGGAAAGGAAGCCCCTGCTTCCGCCCTGCAGGAAAGGGAGCGTGGACCAAGCTGGAGGGCCCGCCCTGAGGACTTGTGCTCCCCAAGCCCTGGCCCCAGGTGCCTCTCCCTTTTCCAAGTCTTTCAACCTTCCTAGCCACCACCTCCAGAAAGCCTCCTGGATTGGTTCCAGGGCCTGTGGCTTCCCTCTTTAGAGAGAGCTCCTTCCCCACGTCCTGGAGGGCCAGGTACCACCTCGGGCACCTTCCCAGCTGAGATATCATCTCATCCTCACACCTACTCTGCCTGGTAGGACGACTGCCCGTTTTGCAGATTGGGAAAGTGAGGCCACAGCCCAGAGTGTCTGGATCCCTCCAGGTGGCCCTGAGGTAGGCCCAGCTCCTATTCTATGGATATGAGCTCCTAGGGACCAGGACACTGGCTGCCATGTGCCTCTTGCCTTTTCCACATGGTGCCAGATACCCAATGAGTCCTGTGAAGTGAAGCTGGGGATAGCCAGGGGAGGGGACAGAAATGCAAACAGGGCCAAGGAGGCCCCTGCTCCAGCCTCAGCCCCACCTCAGACCTGCTGAGGGGCAGTAGCCAGGACACCTGCCCTGTTCACATGATGAGCAGGGAGGGAGGGTCAGATGACCCCCAAGGTTCCTCCCAGCCCTCCCCAGGAGTTCCACAGCATACGGGAGGCAGCTACCACTGCTGGGACCAGACGATGCTGGGCTGCAGCTCACCTCCCAGGAGAAACCACAGCAGTCACAAACCCACATAGAGGCTTCCAGCTCCTGAGGCCCCAGTTACCCCGGGATGCAGTCACAGGCTAGCCACCCAATGTATCTTGGGTTTCAAACATTTAAAAGTCATGGTATCTCAGTATGCTGCCATGGGATTAAAAAAAGAGGAAGAAAGAAAAAGTTGGCTGGGCGCAGTGGCTCACACCTGTAATCCCAACAGTTTGGGAGGCAGAGGCGGGTGAATCACCTGAGGTCAGGAGTTTGAGACCAGCCTAGCCAACATGGTGAAACCCCATCTCTACTACAAATACAAAATTAGCCGGGTGTGGTGGCGGGTGCCTGTAATCCCAGCTACTCAGAAGGCTGAGGCAGGAGAATCGCTTGAACCTGGGAGGCGGAGGTTGCGGTGAGTGGAGATCGCATCACTGCACTCCGGTCTGGGCGACAGAGCAAGACTTCCTCTCAAAAAAAAAAAAAAAAAAAAAAAAAGTTGTTCAGGCCAGGCGTGGTGGCTCATGGCCCATGCCTGTAGTCCCAACACTTTGGGAGGCTGAGATGGGTGGATCCCTCGAGCTCGGAAGTTTGAGACCAGCCTGGGCAACATGGCAAGACCCTGTTTCTAGTAAAAATACAAAAAAAATAGCCGGGCATAGTGGTACACACCTGCAGTCTCAACTACTCAGGAGGCTGAGGTAGGAGGATCAGTTGAGCCCAGTGGGGAGAGGTTGCAGTGAGCTAAGATCGCGCCTAGCCAACATGGTGAAACTCCATCTCACTACAAATACAAAAATTAGCCGGGTGTGGTGGCAGGTGCCTGTAATCCCAGCTACTCAGAAGGCTGAGGCAGGAGAATCGCTTGAACCTGGGAGGCGGGGGTCGCAGTGAGCCGAGATCGCGAGACTCTGTCTCTAAATAAATAAATTAATTAAATTAAATAAAACGCCCGATTAAAATGTGAAACCTCCATCAAATAAGTGCAAATTAAAGCCACAGTGAAATGGTATTGTTTCCCCAATCTGACTGAAGATTACAAAGTGTGGCAACGCGCGGTGCTGACTTAGGCAGGGCGGGAGGGGCGGGCCTGTCTCAGCCTGTGGCGATTTGGTGGCATCTGGCAAAAGCCACTCTCCAGACGCAGGCCCTTTAACCCCGTAAGCCCGGGCCAAGGACGACTCACCGGGGCCACCTTGCTTGTGGGTGGGATGGGGCCTCTGGCATGAACGAGAGTGACTCCGAGTGGGTAAAGATGCCCTCCTCGCAGAGGACACGAAGCAACAAGGAAAACAGCCACCACGTAATAAGCGACATGCCAGAATAGAAGGATTCTTTAGTACAATCTTTGCTTTTTTCAAAGAAAACACGCGCGCCTCTCATTCGCGTTTGCTCCCTTCCCGGCGCTCATCCGCCCTGAACTCCAGCCTGGGGCGCCCGTGGCCGCGAGACCCAGGGGCTCTGAGCGCAGCAGGCGCCCAGTGACTGCGGGTGGAGGCCCCGCGTCGCGCAAGCTGCCTCCGCGCCAGGGAGCGCGTGCGCCTCGTAGCGCGTCCCGGGGCCGCCCCTGCGCCCTCGCGTCCCAGCATCCCAGAGCCCCGGCCCTGGCCCCGGGAGTGGCTCGCGAGGAACAGCTGGGACGCGCTCCCTGGCGCTCGGACCCGTACTGGGGTCCTCGGAATCCTCAGGTCCCAGGGAGTTTCAGACCCGGCCAGGGTGGGGGACCCTCGGGGAGCCGGCCGGGGACCCCAGGGAGGGGAGCGGCAATGGCGGAACGCCCACTGGAATTTGGGCCAGAGCTGGAGCGGCCCGTCTGGGCTCGACCCCACGACGCGACTCCAGACGGGCCAACGGGGCGGTCCCCACCGGGGTGGGCCCCGCGCGGCGCTCACCCAGTATCTCCTTGCGCCGCTGCGTGTGCGGCTGGTCGGTGTAGACCCACTCGAAGTCGCTGCGGCTCGCGCTGTTGCCCATGGTGGGGCGGGAGGCGCCGTTCGGAGCGCGGCCGGCTCGGCTCTGCTGCACCTGTCGCGGCGGCCGCGGCGCGGAACCAGCTCTGATTAGGGCGGGGGCGGGGTCCCGGCGGGGCGGGGCCAGGTGCGCCAGGCTTGGGGCGGGGCACCTCTGGCTGGGCGGGGCGGCCGGGCCCCGGCGCTCTCCAGACCCCGGCGGGTAGCTGGCGCTTTGGGAACCTCAGTTGCCTCGGTTGGAAATGGGGCTCCCCGGCAGGACCGAGGTGGCCGCGTGCCATCTGCGCGAGTCCCTGGGTCCCTCGATGCGCGGGGGCGACTGCTGCCACCGCGGCCTCCCACCGGCTCTGCGCGCCCCGCCCACCCGCGGGCAGCCGTCGGGTTTTTACCCCGGCCCGTTCTCTCCGCAGCCCCGACCCGCTCGCGGGCACGCCCCTGTGGCTCGCGCCGCCCCTGCCCCAAGGAGGAGCGGCTGGCAGGATAGGGGGACTGCGGAGGATCGGCGTGGAATGGATGCGACGGTGCCAGTAAACAGGCGCCGAGGAAAGGTTGGTGCAGCAATCCTCCCTTCCTCCACCCGGCCCTTTCACCAATAATGCAAAGGGGAGATAATGCGTCTGCAGCAACCTCACAGGGATGAGTCAGACCCACTCCTGCCTTCAGGGAACTTGAGTTCTGGATGGGGACACAGGTACAGAAGTGGCTGTTATGATTCAGGGTGATACGTGCCATGACACAGGTAGGCCCTGAAGCAGCTAGGATCCAATAGAAGGAACTTTTGCATTGGGCCTTGAGGGGTGGGTAGGAGTTCAACAGCTAGAAAAGGGAAAGGCATTGGTGCTAGGGGGAACAGCAGATGCAAACGCTTGGAAACAAGGCAGAACCTGAATGTTCTCAAATGGAAAGTCTAGTTTTGGGGAGGTAAGGGCACAGGGCCCCTCATCTTCACCCTCTCAGTGATGCCTCTGTTCCTTCTCCCACTCCCTTGGAGTTTTGGAGGGTGGACCTGCTGTGCCTGTGGGCCAGAGCCTGGCCTCGGCTGGCAGTTGCCTGGGAGCTGACTGACACATCAGCCAGCGCTGCCACAGGCTCGCACATAGTGAGGGCGTGCTTCTGTGCGTCCCATGGAAGTCCATGGCCCGGGGTTTGGTACACTTGGCAGGCCTTCCTTAGCTCAGGGCCAAAGGCAGTCCTGAGTGAGCCAGGAAGGAAGGCATGGGTGTCCTGCAGCCGCCAGCCACCATCCCCTGAATTAGCCATGGGAAAGGTGGACACAGAGGCCAGATTTTCCATCAGCAGGGGGACCCACATGCCACCATGGCCATCACCCCTTGCCACACCCAGGAGGCCTCCCGGCCCAGCTTGCACCCTTGGGAGAAGACTCATTGCTCCCAGGGCAGCCTGCTCTGTTCCCAGCCAGAAGGGTCCTCAGAAGTCATCCCACCAGCCATCACTTTACAGATCAGGAGACTGAGGCCCAGAGATGAGGAGCGCCTTGCCTGAGGCACAGAGGAATTAACAGCAAGGCTGGGGCATGACTTTGGCCCCTGACCTTTGAATTAAAAAGCTTCCAAAATCAGAGCCTTCGCCCCTGTGTTGAACTCCGTGAGATCTGCCGCCCTGAGCCCCAGCTCCACCCTCAGGACAACACCAAGCCTGCCAGTTCCCTCTGCCCCAGGCCACCGCCTATCCAGAGGAAACTCACCAAGGCCCTCATTTTCCAGATGAGGAAACTGAGGCCAGAGAGGGGACAAGTCAGAGGACATGCTGAAGAAGACCTGGGAGTGGAACAGACACCCAGGATGCATGAAATCAAGTCTGATGCCCTTGCCAAGTGCTCCCCAAGTCCCTGGGGAGCCAGAAACCCAGCTTCACGGTGTTGACGAGCCAGGAGCACATACTGTTGCGTCCCCACCCTGTCCGTTGTCCCAGAAATGACAGAAAATACATTTTCGTTTGTAATGTGGTGTCTTGAATGGGATCCTGGAGCAGAAAAAGGACATTAGGTAAAGCTAAGGAAAGCCTAGTAAAGCTGGACCATAGTTAATCATAGTGTATCAATATTGGTCCATCAAAGGCAACAAATGCACCATATTATAAGATATTAAAATAAAGGAAACTGGGTGTGGCATATATGTGAACTTTCTAAACTATCATCACAGTTTTTCTGTAAATATAAAGCTGTTCTGAAAAATAAAGTTTATGGCCGGGCATGGTGGCTCACGCCTGTAATCCCAGCACTTTGGGAGGCTGAGGTAGGCAGATCACCTGAGCTCAGGAGTTCGAGACCAGTCTGGCCAACATAGTGAAATCCCGTCTCTACTAAAAATACAAAAATTAGCTGGGCGTGGTGGCAGGCACCTGTAATCGAGGCAGGAGAATTGCTTGAACCTGGGAGGCAGAGGTTGCAGTGAGCTGAGATTGCACCATTGCACTCCAGCCTGGGCGACAGAGCGAGACTGCATCTCAAAAAATATAAATAGGCCGGGCACGGTGGCTCACACCTGTAATCCCAGCACTTTGGGAGGCCGAGGCAGGTGGATCACGAGGTCAGGAGATCGAGACTATCCTGGCTAACACAGTGAAACCCCGTCTCTACTAAAAATACAAAAAAAATTAGCTGGGCATGGTGGCGGGCACCTGTAGTCCCAGCTACTCGGGAGGCTGAGGCAGAATGGCATGAACCCGGGAGGCGGAGCTTGCAGTGAGCCGAGTTTGCGCCACTGCACTCCAGAGCCTGGGCAACAGAGCAAGACTCCGTCTCAAAAATAAATAAATAAAAATAAATAAAATAAATAAATAAATAATAAAATAAAATGAAGTTTATTAGGCCAGGTGCAGTGGCTCACACCTGTAATCCCAGCACTTTGGGAAGTCGAGGCAGGCAGATCACCAGGCTGGTCTTGAACTCCTGGACTCAAGGAATCCACCCACCTTGGCCTCCCAAAGTGCTGGGATCACAGGCATGAGCCACCGCGCTCAGCCAAAATATAGTTTCTTTTAAATATAAAGTTTGGGAGTGTACACACACACACGCGCACACAGCATTGGAAAGCAGGGACTCTTTGGACTGGAAACTGAGAGGGAGCCCACCACGGCCAGCTACTCTTCAGTGGCCCCTTGGCCTCCCTCCACACCCCCATTTCCCCTGGGCCAGGCAGCAGCAGGGGTGGGGTGCTGGTTACCTCTCAAGAGGGCCCTGATTGTAAGCCCCCTGGCCGGAGTGCTGTGCCAGGAGCAGGATGGGCCTCCACCCAAAAGCCTCAATGACAGTATTAGCTGCCCCATGCAAAAAGGCCTCCACTGCCTCGTGTTTGCAGAAAACAGGCCAGAAGACATTTCACACTGCCCCTCCCACACCTCCCAGGAGCCAGCAAGGAGTCAGACAGCCCATGACCCAGAGACAGCACACGTCGGAGGAAAGCCACAGAATGAAAGGGCAACCGACCCAAGAAGGAGCAGAGCCTGACAAACAGATGTTGAGGAAAGCAGACTCGATGGAGGAGTGAGAGCAGTGCCCCCAAGACTGAGCTAGAGATAGACATTTAAAAAGTGCTCATTTAAAAACCACACCCGAGCCGGGCGAGGTGGCTCACGCCTGTAATCCCAGCACTTTGGGATGCCGAGGCGGGTGGATTATCTGAGGTCAGGACTTGAAACCAGCCTGGCCAACATGATGAAACCCTGTCTCTACTAAAAATACAAAAATTAGCCAGGCGTGGTGGCACACGCCTGTAAATCCCAGCTAGTTGGGAGGCCGAGGCAGGAGAATCGCTTGAATCCAGGAGGCAGAGGTTGCGGTGAGCTGAGATTTCGCTACTGCACTCCAGCCTGGGAGACAAGAGCCGAACTCCATCTCAAAAAATAAAATAAAAATAAAAAAATAAAAACCACACCCCTCTATTGAAACGGAGCCCGTGGAGGAATCGAGACATGAGGACAGTTTCAGGATCCAAGCGGCCTCATAGCCAGACTGCTAGGAAAGGATGGAGAAGAGGCAACACTGGTCCCTACCCAGCCTTGTTTCCTTCATAGAAGTCATCCCACTGAAATTGTAATTACAATTTAATTATATGTAATTAGGGGTTATCCCTACAGGAAGTAAATTATTATAGCAGGTACTTATTTACTTGTTTATTTTATTATTACTTTTTAAAGATAGGATCTCACTCTGTCATCCAGGTGAAGTGCAGTGGTGCAGTCTCAGCTCACTGCAACCTCTGCCTCCCGGGCTCAGGTGATCCTCCTACCTCAGCCTCCTGAGTAGCTGGGACTATAGGTGCGCCCACCACACCCAGCTTATTTTTGTTCTTTTGGGGTTTTTTTTGCAGAGACCGGGTTTTGTGGCCCGGCGAGGTGGCTCATGCCCGCCCATAATCCCAACACTTTGGAAGGCTGAGGTAGGCAGATTAACTTAAGCCCCGGAGTTTGAGACCAGCCGGGACAACATGGCAAAACCCTGTCTCCACAAAAAATACAAAAATTAGCCAGGTGTGGTGGCTCGCGCCTGTGGTCCCAGGCGCGATGTAGGAGGATGGCTTGAGCCTCCATGTTCCCCAGGCTGGTCTGGAACTCCTGGGCTCAAGCACTCTTCCTGCCTCGGCCTCCCAAAGTGCTGGGATTCCAGGGGTGAGCCCCCGCGCCCAGCCGTCCTTGTCTATCGTAACAGGGCCTCCTCTAGAATGCCCTGTTCTCTGGGGATCACCCCTGGTATCACCAATGCCTAGAACATTTTCTGGCAAAGGAGTTGCTGTTAATAATGATTTGCTGGGCTGGGCGTGGTGACTCACCCCTGTGATCCTAGCACATTGGGAGGCCGAGGCGGGTGGATTGCTTGAGGCCAGGAGTTCAAAACCAGCCTGGCCAACATGCTGCAACCCCGTCTCTACTAAAAATACAAAAAATTAGCTGGGCATGGTGGCGGGCACCTGTAATCCCAGCTACTCAGGAGGCTGAGGCAGGAGAATCACTTGTACCAGGGAGGCAGGGGTTGCAGTGAGCCAAGATCGTGCCACTGCACTCCAGCCTGGGCAACAAGAGCGAAACTCCGTCTCAAAAACTAATAATAATAATAGTAATAATAAAACAGTGATTTGCTGAATGAATGACAGAAGGAAGGCATGAGTCTTCAGACCGAAAGGCTTAAGGGTGCCAACAACATTAAAATTTGGCTTAATCACTTTGGAAAACTCTTCAGTAATATCTATGAAAGCTGCGCATGCCAGGGTCTATACCCAGGAGTAGTGAACATGTGTGGCCACCAAATACATGTGCGAGAATAGTCCTGGCAGCTTTATTAGTAAAAGCCAAAGCTGGAGGTAACTCCAATGTCCAACAACAACAAAAAACGAAGAATGGATAAGCCGCTTATGCTATCTCCTTACACTGCAATGGTGGGTGGTAATAAAAAATGAATTACTGCCACCCACAGAACATTTTTATTTTCTGTGTCTGATGCTTTTATTTTCTGTGTCCTGGGGCCTAGCTGACCCTAGAGAGGCTGCCCCTCCTAGGACTAGAGATTCCTTCTCAGATGCCAGTGACCACCTCACAGCCCACAGCCCACTACCTCCTCTGTCTCTCACACTCAGGGCCAATATTCCCCTGCCCTGATCACACCAGGGCCAGGTATCAGACAACTCCGGACAGCCCCTCTGTCCCAGAGCCCTGAAATTACTCAAACCAGCCAGTCCAAAGCCTGCTCACCCTGCCTTGACTGTTTCTTCCCACAGAAACCCCAATAAAGGCTCTTGCTCACGTTTCCCTCTCCTCCCCCTGACTTCAGCAGACCCCAGCGTTCGCCCGTGTGTCCCCGACCCGCGCCGTGTGGCGCAGCCCCTGCTCTTGAGAACTGTGAGTGACAAACCATCTTTTCAACGGCAACATCCCCTGATTTGTGGGCCTCACTACACCTGCCTGCATTTCAAGCAGTGGGCGCAGCTAGCAGGGTGGAGTGAGGCGCCACTGCGCTGCTCTCGGTAACTGGTTCCACCGGGCGGCCGCGGACGGGCGGTGCCCCCGCCTGCGCCGCCTGGTGCTGCTGCTGTGGACGCCTCTCCGCTCCGAACTCAGGACCTGGGTCCTCTGAGCTCTGATCTGAGCTGTGCCTGCCTCCTTCCGGGCTGGCTGGCCAGGTTCCCCAAGGCTCCTCCAAAGGGAGCCACGGGAGGGACTTCCTCCTAGTGTTTGGGGGTGCCCCGCAGGCGGCCCTGCTAAGTGGGGGCAAACAGAGCTGCTGTTTGGGGGGCTTTTCAGGCTGCCTGGGGGAATTGGGGGAGACTGCATCAAAGAGTAGGGGGAGGCTGCGGGGCGAAGGAGGCCCCCTGAAGTGGGGTGGGGGGAGCCTGCCCGGAGAGTCAGGGGAGCCTGCCTGGGAGAGTGGGGGGAGCCTGTCTGGGGGAGTAGGGGGAGCCTGCCCGGGAGAGTGGGGGGAGCCTGTCTGGGGGAGTGGGGGGAGCCTGCCCGGGAGAGTGGGGGGAGCCTGTCTGGGGGAGTTGGGGGAGCCTGCCCGGGAGAGTGGGGGTAGCCTGCCCGGGAGGGTCGGGGGAGCCTGTCTCGGGGAGTGGGGGGAGCCTGTCTGGGGGAGTGGGGGGAGCCTGTCTGGGGCAGTCGGGGTAACCTCTCTGGGGGAGTGGGGGAAGCCCATCCAGGAGAGTGGGGGGAGCCTGTCCGGGGGAGTGGGGGGAGCCTGTCTGGGGGAGTGGGGGGAGCCTGCCCGGGGCTGTGGGGGAGCCTGCCCGGGGCTGTGGGGGAGCCTGCCCGGGGCTGTGGGGGGAGCCTGCCCGGGGCTGTGGGGGAGGCTGCTCTTCACTCTCAGGAGCTCAGTGTGAGGACCCCCGCCCCCACAGGGACCTAGTGGGCAGGAGGCGCCCTACCCTCAGGACCAGGGGCACAATGTTTCATAGAAGAACAGAGCACTCTATCCCTGCCCTTCCTGAGACCCCGGAGGAGGTCGCCAGTGGATTCGGGAGCATGAAATGCTCCGGTGATGCCGCGTGGGTCTCCCTGAGCACGAGCTTACCAGGGGGCCGCGCTCAAAGCAGCCTCAAAAATACCGACAGGGTCATTCTCCCGCAGCGGCTGCAGAGCCCTCGGAGGTCGGGTAAGACGCCACCTAAAGACAGGGCCATGAGGGGTCAGCAGGACTTTATCTGATAAACACCGGAAAGACAGAATGGGGAACAGAAATCAAAAGGAAAAATGTTACCCACCTCGAGATCCAAGCCATTCTAACAGGCTTTGCTTAAAAAAGAAGGAAGTCCGGGCGCCGTGGCTCACGCCTGTAATCCCAGCACTTTGAGATGCCGAGGCGGGAGGGCGGATCACGAGGTCAGGAGATCAAGACCATCCTGGCTAACACGGTGAAAACCCCGTCTCTACTAAAAATACAAAAAATTAGCTGGGCGTGGTGGCGGGCGCCTGTGGTCCCAGCTACTGAGTTAGGAGAATGGCGTGAACCCGGGAGGCAGAGGTTGCAGTGAGCCGAGATCGCGCCACTGCGCTCCAGCCTGGGTGACAGAGCGAGACTCCGTCTCAAAAAAACAAAAAAAAAGAACAAAAAGAAAAAGGAAAGGGGGAGGCAAACACTGGCTGCAGACAGGGCAGTCTCCCCCACACACACACCCGCTCCCACACACCCACCCGCTCCAACACACACACCCGCCCCAACACACACACACCCCCAACACATACACACACCCCCAACACACACCCCACCCCCTACAGGCCCCCAACACACACACACACACACACCCCAACACACACACACCCCCAACACACACACATCCCCAACACACACCCCGCCCCCCCACAGGCCCCCAACACACACACACACGCCCCCACACACACACACCCGCCCCAACACACACCTGCCCAACACACACACCCCCACCCAAACACACCCCCACCCCAACACACACACACATGCCCCCAACACACACACCCCCGCCCCAACACACACATGCCCCAACACACACACACCCAACACACAACACCCCCACCCCCACACACACACACACACATGCCCCAACCCACACACACATGCCCCAACACACACACCCACCCCAACACACACACCTGCCCCAACACACACACACCCATCCCAACACACACACAACCGTCCCAACACACACACACCCGCCCCAACACACACCCCAACACACACCCGCCCCAACACACACACACATGCCCCAACACACACACACACCCCACCCCAACCACAGACACACATGCCCCAACACACACACACACCAACACACACACACCCCAACACACACACACCTGCCCCAACACATACACCCCCAACACACACACACACTCACCCCAACACACACACACCTGCCCCAACACACACACACCCGCCCCAACATACACACCCACCCCAACACTCACACACACCCGCCCCAACACACACACCCCCACCCCAACACAGACAACCCTGCCCCCAACACACACACGCTCAACACACACACCCCCCAACACACACACTCCCTCGCCCCTAACACACACCCCCGCCCCCAACACACACGCACCCCCAACACACACATACCCCCACCCCCAACACACACACCGCTCCCCCAACACACACACCCCCACCCCAACACACCCACACACCCCTGCCCCCAACACACACACATCCCAATACACACACATCCCAACACACACAACCCCAACACACACAGCCCCGCCCCAACACACACACCCCAACACACACATCCCAACACACACAACCCCAACACACACAGCCCCGCCCCAACACACACACCCCAACACATACCACTGCCCCCAACACACGCACCCCAACACACACACCCCCCAACCCTCAACACACACACCCAACACACACCCACACCCACCCCAACACACATGCACCCCTGCCCCCAACACACACACCCCAACACACGCACACCCCCAACCCTCAACACACACACCCAACACATGCCCACACCCACACACCCCTGCACTAACACACACACCCCTGCCCTCAACACACACACACCCTTGCCCCCAACACACACACACCCCTGCCCCCAACACACACACACCCCTGCCCTCAACACACACACACCCCTGCCCCCAACACACACCCACACCCACCCCCAACACATACCCCTGCCGCCACCACTTCCTCTTATCAGCCTGAGACAAAACCCAAAAACTTGAGGTGGCCAAAAGCCTAAAAGGGAACAAAAGGGGGTGGAGAAGAAGGACAAAAACACCCTAGATATAGGAGAGGGAGAAAAGAGGAGCCAATAAATTATATATATAAATATACTTATAAAATATACAATAAATAGATTATGTATTATATAAATTAAAACAAGTGTCCATAATTCAACCCAATTAGAAATCCAAAATGTGTATGTAAAAATGTATATGACAAATGATATATATAACAAATATATGACAAAATGCATATACCAAAAGGATTCACATAAAAGGATTAAAAGGGCACTGACTGGCTTTTGTGCCTCTAAACAAAATAGGCTGTAAGTTAACTTTAGCATTTGCTAAAATGCACCGATTAACAAATCTTCATGGACTTAATCTATACTGTGGTTCAAATTATAGTTATACCTGAAGGTCCTATTAAATTTATTTTATTTATTTATTTGTTAGTGTTTCAATTTTTTCGAGATGAAGTCTCACTCTGTTGCCCAGGCTACGGTGTAGTGGCATGATCATAGCTCATTGCAGCCTTAAACTCTTGGACTCAAGTGATCCTTCCACTTCAGCCTCCCAAGCAGCTAGGACTACAGGTATGCACCACCACAGCTAGGCTAATTTTATTTTATTTTATTTATTTTGTTTATTTATTTATTTATTTTGTAGAGATTGGATCTCATTATGTCATCCAGGCTGGTCTCAAACTCCTGGCCTCAAGCAATTCTCCTGACTCAGCCTCCCAAAGCACTGAGATTATATGATACCTATAAAGCACTGATACTATATGAGCCAGTGCACCTGGCCCCCAACTCAATTTAAACATTGTACCCCCCTTATAATATGGAGGTAACTTAATATAAAATAGAGGGAAAATAGATATGCCTAAGTGTAATGGCAGCCCTGCCTAAATTTCCTGTAGTTATAGTACCCGTTGCCTTAAAATATCACACACTGGGTATAGATGCTCTAACACAATGAATAATAAAATTAAAGTAAGTCTTTAATTTTAAATTTTAAGCACTTACTTTACAATTAAAGTACTTACTTTACAATTAAAGTTAAGTGCTTACAGATTTGCTCAATAAAATGGGACCCCGTGGACCTCCAGTTGAAATTTAATTTGGGCCGGGTGAGGTGGCTCACACCTGTAATCCCAGCACTTTGAGAGGCCGAGGCGGGAGGATTGCTTGAGCCCAGGAATTCAAGACCAGCCTGGGCAACATAGTAAGACACCGTCTCTACAAAAAAAATTTAAAAATTAGCCAGGTATGGTGGTGCACACCAGTGGTCCCAGATACTTGGGAGGCTGAGAAGGGAAAATCGCTTGAGCCTAGGAGGTTGAGGCTGCAGTGAGCCAAGATCACGCCACTGCACTCAGCATGGGAGACAGAGCAAGGTCTTGTCTCAAAAACTAAGTTAATTAATTACATAGTTAATTTGGTTCAATATAAGTTAAAATAGGCCCTCAGGGAGTGATGCTTATTATCTAAAGCCTAACTAATAAGGCAGTGATTGTCCCCATTGCTGCTCTGTTTAACAGTCTACTTTCACCTGTTCTTGAACCCAGGAGAAACAAAGGGCTCCCGGTGGTAGATTTCTACAATCTTCAGGCTGTGGTCCCACCCGCTAAGGCCCCCACACCCAACAGCCAAAGGCATTAAAATTATTATTATTACTATTTTGAGACAGAGTCTCGCTCTGTCGCCCAGGCTGGAGTGCAGTGGCGCGATCTCGGCTCACTGCAAGCTCCGCCTCCCGGGGTCACACCATTCTCCTACCTCAGCATCCCGAGTAGCTGGGACTACAGGCGCCCGCCACCACGCCAGGCTAATTTTTTGTATTTTTAGTAGAGATGGGGTTTCACCGTGTTAGCCAGGATGGACTCGATCTCCTGACCTCGTGATCCGCCTGCCTGCCTCAGCCTCTCAAAGTGCTGGGATTACAGGCGTGAGCCACCGCGCCCGGCCCAAAGGCATTAAAATTAACTCCACCCCAGTCAACAACCATGAAGTATTTTGCGCTGACAGCTTTGGCTACTACATTATATTTGATGCCTGTTTCAACAGGCTTTCAGCCACAGTTTGCCTCTGCCTCCAGAGGGACACACTGCAGCTGGACCAGGCTGCCCTGGGGGACCCCCACAGCTCTGCCAGGGCACACTGTTATGCAGACAATACTTCCCTACATCCACCTGCTCCAGGGGCACTGGCCTGGCATGACACTGATAGCAAAAGACGTTGGACGTGGCAAAAGATGTTGGCATGATATTGATGGGAAGATGTTGGCATGACATTGATGGGAAGATGTTGGCATGACATTGATGGGAAGAGATGTTGACATGACATTGATGGGAAGAGATGTTGGCATGACATTGATTGGAAGAGATGTTGGCATGACACTGATGGGAAGAAGATGTTGGCATGGCATTGATGAGAAGAGATGTTGGCATGACACTGATGGCAAAACATGTTGGACATCCAAGTCCAACATCTTTTAGTTCTCTTTGGGTTCTGATGGCAATACATTCATCATTTACAAATTTTTACTTATGCTACTGATGCTGCTACTTATACGGTGGCCCACGTGAAGCAGGACTCCCTCACACAAAAGGCTCTAAATCCGTTCAAGTAAAAATCAGCAGGCACTCCTGTTAGAGCCCTCGGAGACTCCTGCACTGTGGATGGGCTTTGGCAACCCCTCGCAGGCCCCCTGCAGTCTCTGGACCACCTAGCATGGCCATTAGTTGCTCAAGGTTTGATAATGCAAGACACCGCTTCTCTTAACAAAATTGCTGGGCTGAGCGCGATGGCACATGCCTGCAGTCCCAGCTACTGGGGAAGCTGAGGTGGGAGGATCGCTTGTGCCTGAGAGGTCGAGACTGCGGTGAGCCGTGGTCGCACCACTGCGCTATACCCAGCTGCCCATTTTGCTTTGGGTCATGGCAGCAGCACCCCCACAAACTTGGTGTGGCTACCAAGGCCTTTATAAGACGCAAAGGAACCAAACCTGAGCCCTCTGGCGTATTCCTCCTGCAGGAGGAAATCCTCCCAACTCCCTTGTAGGTGCTGAAGGAACTCACCTTCTCTCAGACCTCGTGGCTACCTGGAGAGCCCCTGGGATTAGCTGAGTGAACACAGATGGTAGGAACCACACTGCCAACCATTGTAAGAATGAGGAAGCTCAGTGGATGATGGCTGCTTTCCATCTCTCAGTCAGAATGTCCCCAGTGAAGGACAGGACTCAAGGGTCAACACAATTGGCCAAACTCCAGGCAGTCACCTTAGTACTGGCTGCCTGACTGACACAGGGCCGCATCTTCATATTTGTTACAAACTATGGTGCCACTGGCTGAGTTGTCCCTTTGAGGGTCAAGGACTCTGGGACTCTTGCCTCACAGAGACCCAAACTTAAATCAAAA
Organism: Homo sapiens; assembly: GCF_000001405.40. Taxonomy (NCBI): domain Eukaryota; kingdom Metazoa; phylum Chordata; class Mammalia; order Primates; family Hominidae; genus Homo; species Homo sapiens. The sequence continues at coordinate 100,172,167 of NC_000014.9, forward strand.
CCAGAGGGCTGGGCATGGTGGCTCACACCTGTAATCCCAGCATTTTGGGAGGCCGAGGCGGGTGGATCACCTAAGGTCAGGAGTTCGAGAAGAGCCTGGCCAACATGGTGAAACCCCAGCTCTACTAAAAATACCAAAAAAATGGCTGGGCACGGTGGCTTATGCCTGTAATCCCAGCACTTTGGGAGGCCGAGGCAGGTGGATCACCTGAGCTCAGGAGTTCAAGACCAGCCTTGGCAACATGGTGAAACCCCATCTCTGCTAAAATACAAAAATTTAGCCAGGTGTGGCAGCATGCACCTGTAGTCCCAGCTACTCAGGAGGCTGAGGCAGGAGAATTGCTTGAACCCGGGAGGCAGAGGTTGCAGTGAGCTGAGATCATGCCACTGCACTCCAGCCTGGGCGACAGAGCGAGACTCCACCTGCAAAAAAAAAAAAAAAATTAGCCAGTCATGGTGGCAGGCACCTGTAATTCCAGCTATTTGGGAGGCTGACGCAGGAAACTGCTTGTACCCAGGAGGCGGAGGTTGCAGTAAGTGGAAATCGCACCATTGCACTCCAGCCTGGGTGACAGAGCAAGACTCTGTCTCAAAAAAAAAAACCCAAACAAACAAATAAACAAAAACCTTTCCTATTACCCTTTCCTGTGTTTAAAGGGGGATTTGTCTAATCTCTAAGATATATTGTTGAAACAAAATATCTTATGCTTTTAACACACTTTACAACTCCACCAAGATACTGTTAGAGACCTTGGAAATTTCAGATCTCTCTTCTTGGGTTATGCCATGTAAATGGGAAACTTGGTTACAAGCCAGACCATGAGGACACCTCATACGTCTCCTTGTGCCACCCCTTCCCACTCTCACATTGAAATGTTCCATGCTGTTTACGCTAATCTATGCCTTACTCTCTATCAGTCTCTGCTATCATCACCCCAAGGTTTCCTTAATACGATGTCAGCGCATCACAGGGCCAGTTGTATTCGCCATGCCTTTTTCTTTTCTGTAATTGTGATGCTGTGACATCTTGGGGCTTTGCTGACCCTGGAGGGACTGCCCCTCCTAGGGCTAGCCAATTCCTAGAGATTGCAAATGACCAGCTTAGGAGCAAGCCTTTCGGATGCAAGCTAGCCAATCCTAGCCCATACCCCACTATCCCCTCCATTGGCCTGTCACAGTCACGTCCAGTATTCCCCTGCCCTAATCACCGGAGGGTCAGTACCAGGCAGTCTAGACAGCTCTACACCCCCAGCCTCCTGAAATGATTCAAACCTACCAATCCCAAGCCTGCTCACCCTGCCTCACCCATTCCTTCCCGTGGAAACCTCAAGAAGGGCTTTCCCACATTTCCCCTCACTCCCCTGCCCTCCAGCCTGGCCTGGTGCGCCCCAGGTGGCCGTGTGTGGCAAGGTGTGCCCTCTCCTCTTGGGAACTGTAAGTAACAAATTCTTTCCAATGGCAGTCGAGTCCTGCTCTGTCGGTCGCACTATGCCAGAATCATAATAAAACCCATTTTAAAACATGATGGATCTCATAGCTACTATACTTGTTACACAGGTATAATCTTAAGATGTGTGCAGTTTAATTGAAAAGTGAGCATAGGCTGGGCACAGTGGCTCACACCTGTAATCCCAGCACTTTGGGAGGCCCAGGCAGTTGGATCACTTGAGGTCAGGAGTTCAAGACCAGCCTGGCCAACATGGTGAAAATGTAAAAACTAGCTGGGCGAGGTGGCAGGAGCCTGTAATCCCAGCTACTCAGGAGGCTGAAGCAGGAGAATCATTTGAACCCAGGAGGCGGAGGTTGCAGTGAGCTGAGATTGCACCACTGCACTCCAGCCTGGCGAGAGAGCAAGACTCTGTGTCCAAAAAAAAAAAAAAGAAGAAAGAAAGAGAACTGAGCACAACTTGAAACAATAACAGCAAAACCCAAAGTTACCATCTAGAAACATTGTAGAGAAATTTTTGAGTAAGGAGATGAAAACAAAAATCCCAAAGCCATAGAGCACGGTGGCTCATGCCTGCAATCCCAGCGCTTTGGGAGGCTGAGGTGGGAGGATCACTTGAGCTCAGGAGTTTGAGACCAACCTGGACAACATGGAGAAACCCTGTCTCTACAAAAAATAAAATAAAATAAAATAGTTGGCCTGGTGGCTCATGCCTATAGTCCCAGCTACTTGGGAGGCCAAGGTGGGAGGATCACCTGAGCCTGGGAGGCCAAGGCTTCAGTGAGTCGTGATCGTGCCACTGCACTCCAGCCTGGGCAACAGAGTGAGATCCTGTCTCAAAAAAAGAAAACGAGGGAGGGAAGGAAGGAAGGGAGGGAGGGAGGGAGGGAGGGAGGGAAAGGAAATCCCTAGAGCTTCCAAGAAGAAACAGAAATAAACTGCCTGCAGATGAATAAGTGAGACTGTCCACAGACTTCTCAGTGAAGCTGTGCACAGAAAGGCCATGCCGCAGCCTCGTGCATGTCCACCCCACTGCGGCCTCTCCTGTCTCCCACTATAGCCCACTATAGCCTGCCCCCGTAAGGCATGGCCCAGACCAGCCCTCCGTGCCTGCACGGCTGCATCTGGCTAGTCCACCTGAATGCACTCCTCCAACCCTGACTCCACGCTGGTCTCCACTCCCTCCCTGTATCCCCAGGCCTCTCATCCTGCATGCCTGCCCCAACTCTTTCCAAACCCTCATGTCAAGACCAAGTGCCACCTGCTCTGAGAGGCCTCCCTGATTTGTCAGCCTGAACTGATGACTTGTCCTTCTTTCCCCCTCTCCCCAACTCTGCTCACTACCTCGGTGGTCTTGTCTAATTCTCTGTCTTTCCTTTTTGGCCCAAGGGGCAGCACAGCCCCTGGACACAGACCCAGCTGAGATGGCATCTCAGCCTCTTACCCGCCAGCTGAGCTTGGGCAAATCACTTCGCCTCTGTGCCTCAGTCTCTTCCCCTGTAAAGTGGAGATAGCTACCCTACTTCCTGGAGTTCTCAGGAGCAGGAGCCTGTGTGTCAAACACCCACAGCCTTGCCTGGCACACAGTGGGCCCTCAGGCCACAGCAGTTGTCATCTGGGAGAACCAGGTGTCGGGGGCCATGGGCTGCTGGGTGATTTCCACAGGGTTGCTGGGAGCCTCCCTCTTGGGGCCCTCAGCCTTATGCCATCCCCTGAGCACTCTTGTCGCTATTTCATTTATGACACCTCGTTGATTAGGTCACTTTCAAACATGTGTCTTAAGGATAAAATAAAAACTGGTGGGTGGGGCTGAGGGGGTGCGGAATCCCAATTGCAGACCACACACAAACACACCCAAGCAGGTGCAGGCATTCGGAGCAGGGGACGTGGTGCCAGCCCCACAGGCAAGAGCCAACACCAAGGCAGAACCGGGCTCTACTCTGAATTGTGCCACCTTCATCCCTGGGCCGACAAATACAGTGCTTCCCGTGCCGTCAGCTGGGAGCCCAGGCCACCACATTTCAGCGCTTTACAGTGGAGGGCAAAGGGACTCCTCAGGAGTGGAGGTGCGCTCTGGCCCTGGCACATCTGGCTCGGGCGCTCCATGGGATATCCACGTCCCAAACCACAGCTCTGAAATACTCTTGGTTTCCCCAGCCAGGTCCCCAGCCCAGGCCCAAGAAAGACTGAGCATGGCAGCCAGGCACAGAGGCAGCCGGGCTTCTGGCCCCACCAGCATACAGAGACGCATTCTGAAGCTCGGATAGTGCGTGAGGTGTGAGGCTGCCTCTGCTGCCGGTGCCACCCAGTGGGAACCCCCTCCATGCCGGTGCAGCCCATGGACACAGGATGCTGGGGATGAAATGCTGACAGACAGGCAGGAGCCCACTCAGCTCCCCCCACTGACCTAAGGATCCTCCAAGGGGCTATTTCCGGTTGAATGTGATTGCATTTTCAGTGGATAATCAATGTTTGTTGTGGACACAAATCTGGAGAGCCCCAAAGACCTCAAACATGTCCCTCAAGAATGTCAAGGACGCAAAAGATAAATGCTTGAACTGGCTGGGCGCGATGGCTCACGTCTGTAATCCCAGCACTCTGGGAGGCTGAGGCAGGTGGATCACTCTGAGGTCAGAAACTCGAGACCAGTCTGGCCAACACGGTGAAAACGTTTCTCTACTAAAAATACAAAAATGAGCTGGGCGTGGTGGCGCACGCCTGTGATCCCAGCTGCTCAGGAGGCTGAGGCAGGAGAATCACCTGAACCCAGGAGATGGAGGCTTCAGTGAGCAGAGATCGCACCATTGCACTCCAGCCCGGGCAACAAAAAAAGACTCCATCTCAAAAAAAAAAAAAAAAAAAAAAAAAACTTGACCTGTTGGGTACCCTGATGTGGTTATTATGCATTGCATGCCTGTATCAAGATATCTCATGTAATCTCATGTACACCGTAAATATATACACCTAGTATGTACCCACAAAAATTAAATTTTTAAAAAATGGCAAGGAGGGCCAGGTAGGGTGGCTCAGGCCTGTAATCCTAGCAATTTGGGAGGCTATCGCTTGAGCTCAGGGGTTCAAGGCCAGCCTAGCAGCCTGAGCAACACAGCAAGACCCAGTCTCTGCAAAACACAAAACAAGAAGAAGAAAGTCAAGTCTGTCCCCAGTTCAGCGGCTCACGTCTGACTTCTCTCCTTGGCCTCATGCCCAGGGCACCTTCCTGAATCCCAGAGGTGAGCAAAACTCCACCTCCACAACCCCAGGGCACCCCATTGCCACCACCCCTCAGCCTTGGAAATGGAGTCACCAGGCATGAAGTTTAGATGTGCACAACCTGGCACCGAGTCCCTACGGTGGGACCATGCCCGCAGCGGCAGTGTGGAAGATGGGACAGACACAGCGAAATGCCTCCAGGGCGTGGTGGGAGGGGCCGGAACAGGGAGATGGCGCGTGAGTAGCATCTGTTCTTACAGCAAAACCTGTAAAAGTAAAATATACGTAGGTTTGTCACTAAAGACGTGTCTGCATAAATACACCCACGCCGAAGACTGTTCTGATCACCTTTTTATATAATTACCGTGTGTCCTTGTGGCTGTGTGGGTGGCTGTGTGTGTCTGTGCAAAGGTGTGCCTGTGTGCATCTGTCTGTCTGCAGAGGTATCTGTGTGTGTTTGTGTGTGAGTGGAGGTTCTGGAGAAGGCCTGGAAGGATCCTGTCAAACTGGAGGGGGGCTGCGGGATGAGGATTTTTCTTTTAATGCATCTGCCCAGTTTGAGTTTTACGAATGTTAATCATTTAAAGGCAGAAAAGATATCTTTGGGGGTTTTGGGTTTTTGTTTTTTGTTTGGGTACAGGGTCTTGCTCTGTTGCCCAGGCTGGATTGCAGTGGTGTGATCATAGCTCACTATAGCCTTCTAAGCCCTGGGTTCAAGTAATCCTCCCTCCTCAGCATTCCCAGTAGCTAGGAATACAGGCATGTGCCACCACGCCCAGCTAATTAAAAAAAATATATATATCTCTTTTTTCTTTTTTAGGGATGGGGTCTCGGGGTCTTGCTGTGTTGCCCAGGCTGGTCTCAAACTCCTGGGCTCAAGGGATCCTCCCAACTTAGCCTCCCAAAGTGCTGGGATTACAGGTGTGAGCCACCGGGCCGGTATAAAAAGATATCTAATTAAATTTTTTTGAATTAGTGGACTCCTCCCAGGCTCGTCCTCCTTCGCCACCCATTCCCAGCGCATTGCCCCCCGCCAGCCAGGTCCCCAGGCCTCCCAATCCTGCACTGTCCGCGGCGGCGGGGGTGGGGAGAGGAGGGTGCTTTGCACTCGCGGTTCCCCCCCCGGGAGCATTGATACCCCCGCCCCTGGGAGCATTGATCCTCCTGCCCCTGCAGCCCGGAGCCCGGAGCAGCCCACGTTGCTCCCGCTGCGGCCCAGCCCAGCCCAGCCCAGCCCAGCCCAGCCCAGTGCCGCGCCTGTCCTCGAACCTGGCCCAACGCTCGCCGGGAGCAGGGACCTGCGTGCAGCTATGGAACCGAGGCGCGGGCTGCGGGATCCCGCCCTACCTCCCATAAACCAGGGCCCGAGATAAGGGAGTCCCAGAGGGCCAGGGGAGTCGCGGGCCCAGCGTCTCAGTGGGCACGAATTTCTTACTTTAACCTCTTTTCTGTCGACCCCATCTGTCCCCACCTGGGAGGAGGGGGAGCAACAGGCCCCTTCCCGGTCGAGTTCAGGGCTCGGTACAAAGGCTGCATGATGCCACAGAGGGTGAATGGCCTGGTGCCAAGGCTGGGAGTGCCCAGACAGAAGGGCCACAGGGCATCCAAGAAGTGTGAGTTCAGGCCTTGAGGGCCTTGAAGGACGGAGAGAGTTCCTGACCAGGGAGAGGAGAGATTCTCAGCTGCAGGCACGGCTGGGACACAGGCCTGGTGGTGGGAAGGAGCAAGGGCCACTGTGGCTGGGGAAGGGGAGTGGAGCAGGGCTCAGAGGCTTAGTGCCCTGGGGAGCCTGGGAGTGTTGAGGTCTGGGAGGGCCTCAGGGAGTTGGGACGTGGGGTGGGGAGGATGTGGATGAGGTGTCCGCACAAGGGAGAGCCTTTTAAGCGGAATCCTCCTTGGGTCACTGGCCTGGTCCCAGCTCTGAAGAGGCTGGGGCAGGACAAAGAGCAAGGGTGTGTGGGGGTGAGGCCTTGAAAGAGACAAGTGAACAAATCCATCACTGGCTGAGCCAAGCCTCTCGAAGGTCCCACCAGGGAAACTGAGGTTGGGCCCCTGGAGAGTGGGGTGCAGGAATGGTCTGCTCCAGGAGGTGAGAACAGAGCGCATGACTAATGCCACCAGGACTACTCACGGCACTGACTTCATCGCCCAGCTTGCGGACATAGGGGCCTGGCTCAATTCGCCCAACCTGCCTTTCTGGCCCTGACCCATAGCCTTCAAACCCCACTCCTGACTCACTGTACCCCACCTCCCTCCCACAGGGAAAAACATACTGAGTGCCTAGGCCCGGCGCTGCTGTGGGGAGACCAGTGTGGAGTCACACAGGGTGGAGGGGAGGACCTAGAGCTGGGGTCCTGCTCCTGCCTGGCGCTGGGACCCAGCTTAGACGTGGCCTCTCCTAAATCCCCTCTTCAGCTCAGGCAGCCTGGTCCCTGGTCCTTGACCACATTCACGCTGCAGGATTTCATTTATATAAAGTACAAAACAAAGGTAAAATTAATCTATGGTGGTAAAAGTCTAAATAGTAGTTGCCTTTGGAGGCTTCTGGGAGCTGGAAATTTGCTGTAATGCAATCTGGATGGAGCCGTAGGTGGACATAGAGAAAAATCATCTGGTTGCTCACTTAAGGTTTTGCACGTTACTATAAATACACAAATAAATGAATATAATAACACCACACTGTTACTAATCATAGTTCCCCCATGTTCAAGCCCCTTCGTGAAGGTAGGCCAGACATTTCTGATGCTGTGTCCCCAGCGCACAGCCCAGGGCAGCCGTCTATCCTCACAGTGGTGAACAACTATCAATATCCCCATTTTATGACGACGGAAATTGCAGTTCAGGGGAACCAAGGAACCAACGTCTTGTCTGACTCCAAAACTCTTCCCAGAAAGCTCTGTGGCTGTTCTAGCTCTGTCCAGGGACGTTCATGTCTTGGAGAGGAAGCAAAGACAAGAGTCAGAGGATGCAGGGAAGCCAGGGTTTCTAGGAGTGGCACCATGGCTAGTTACCATCGTCAGGCTGTGATAGGGCCTTGGGAGGAGGGACGGGTGCTCTCCAGAAGGAAGTGATGTCAGTCTGAGTCTTAGAGAATGGATGAGGTCTAGAGCTGCAAAAACTGGACAGTGAGCCAGGCGCGGTGGCTCATGCTTGTAATCCTAGCACTTTGGGAGGCCGAGGCAGGTGGATCACCTGAGGTCAGGAGTTCGAGACCAGCCTTACCAACATGGCAAAACCCTGTCTCTACTAAAAATACAAAAATTAGCTGGGCATGGTGGTGCATGCCTGTAATCCCATCTACTCGGGAGGCTGAAGCAGGAGAATCGCTTGAACCTGGGAAATGGAGGTTGCAGCGAGCCGAGATCACGCCACTGCACTCCGGCCTGGACGACAGAGCGAGACTCCATCTCAAAAAACAAAAACGAAAACAAAAAACAATCCCTCTCCCTCTCCCTCTCTGTCTCCCCACAGTCTCCCTCTCCCTCTCTTGCCACGGTCTCCCTCTGATGCGGAGCCAAAGCTGGACTGTACTGCTGCCATCTCGGCTCACTGCAACCTCCCTGCCTCATTCTCCTGCCTCAGCCTGCGGAGTGCCTGCGATTGCAGGCGCGCGCCGCCACGCCTGACTGGTTTTCGTATTTTTTTGGTGGAGACGGGGTTTCGCTGTGTTGGCCGGGCTGGTCTCCAGCTCCTAACCGCGAGTGATCCGCCAGCCTCGGCCTCCCGAGGTGCCGGGATGGCAGACGGAGTTGCGTTCACTCAGTGCTCAATGGTGCCCAGGCTGGAGTGCAGTGGCATGATCTCGGCTCACTACAACCTCCACCTCCTAGCTGCCTGCCTTGGCCCCCCAAAGTGCCGAGATTGCAGCTTCTGCCCGGCCGCCACCCCGTCTGGGAAGTGAGGAGCGTCTCTGCCTGGCCGCCCATCGTCTGGGATGTGAGGAGCCCCTCTGTCTGGCTGCCCAGTCTGGAAAGTGAGGAGCGTCTCTGCCCGGCCGCCATCCCATCTAGGAAGTGAGGAGCGTCTCTGCCCGGCCGCCCCGTCTGGGATGTGAGGAGACCCTCTGCCTGGCAACCGCCCGTCTGAGAAGTGAGAAGCCCCTCCGCCCGGCAGCCACACCGTCTGAGAAGTGAGGAGCCCCTCCGCCTGGCCAGCCGCCCGTCCGGGAGGGAGGTGGGGGGGTCAGCCCCCCGCCCGGCCAGCCGCCCCGTCCGGGAGGTGAGGGGCGCCTCTGCCTGGCCGCCCCTACTGGGAAGTGAGGAGCCCCTCTGCCTGGCCAGCCGCCCCGTCCGGGAGGGAGGTGGGGGGGGTCAGCCCCCCGCCCGGCCAGCCGCCCCGTCCGGGAGGGAGGTGGGGGGGTCAGCCCCCCGCCCGGCCAGCCGCCCCATCCGGGAGGTGAGGGGCGCCTCTGCCCAGCCGCCCCTACTGGGAAGTGAGGAGCCCCTCTGCCCGGCCAGCCGCCCCGTCCGGGAGGGAGGCGGGGGGGGTCAGCCCCCCGCCCAGCCAGCCGCCCCATCCGGGAGGTGAGGGGCGCCTCTGCCCGGCCTCCCCTACTAGGAAGTGAGGAGCCCCTCTGCCCGGCCACCACCCCGTCTGGGAGGTGTACCCAACAGCTCATTGAGAACGGGCCAGGATGACAATGGCGGCTTTGTGGAATAGAAAGGCGGGAAAGGTGGGGAAAAGATTGAGAAATCGGATGGTTGCCGTGTCTGTGTAGAAAGAGGTAGACATGGGAGACTTCTCATTTTGTTCTGTACTAAGAAAAATTCTTCTGCCTTGGGATCCTGTTGATCTGTGACCTTACCCCCAACCCTGTGCTCTCTGAAACATGTGCTGTGTCCACTCAGGGTTGAATGGATTAAGGGTGGTGCAAGATGTGCTTTGTTAAACAGATGCTTGAAGGCAGCATGCTCGTTAAGAGTCATCGCCACTCCCTAATCTCAAGTACCCAGGGACACAAACACTGCGGAAGGCCGCAGGGTCCTCTGCCTAGGAAAACCAGAGACCTTTGTTCACTTGTTTATCTGCTGACCTTCCCTCCACTATTGTCCTGTGACCCTGCCAAATCCCCCTCTGCGAGAAACACCCAAGAATGATCAATTAAAAAAAAGAAAAGAAAACAAAAAACAAAACAAACAAACAAAAACTGGACAGTGGATGGTATCCCAGGTTGAAGAAACAGCAGAAACAAAGACTGGGAGGGAGTACTGTACAAGTTGTGGTCTGGATAGTTGGGCTGGAGCAGAGGATGCTGGAGGAGGCTCAGCAGGGCAGGTATGACCGTCACAGCCACTGGCTGGCACTAGCCAATGCAGGGTTCTTCTGGGAACTCTGGGGTCCTGAAACTAAGGCAGCTGAGGAACTTCCAGAATGCTTTAATAAATTAATATCAAACATGATTTGCTTTTGAGCTAACGTCAGCCGTGCCAAGATTCACAAAAGAGGCTGGAGAAAGGAGATTCTGGCAGGGCAGATCTGATGTCATCCACTAAGCATGGAGCCTTGTGCTATCTGGAATCTGGGATGACACAGCCTGAGCCTCCCCACCCAGGTGGCTCCCACTGAGATACCCACACTGTGATCATTGCCAAGGACACCAGACACTTCAAGCAACCCAAGGGAAGGAGGGCAGAACTCTGCTGGGTGGCCAGGGCAGTCCAGGCAGGCACATAGGGTCCAGAGGGAAGAAAATCAAGATGTCCTCCAATTCCATCCTAGATATTGTAACTGAACCTAGGTTTGATTGCTCAACCCTCAAAAGCCAGACACAAGAGATGAGGGTTGGTGGGAGGAAAAGCAGGCTTATTCAGAGAGCCGGCAAAACTGAGATGGGGAACTCGTGCTCTAACGTACCATCTTAAGGCCTGGGGTGGTGGCTCATGCCTGTAATCCCAGCACTTTAGGAGGCTGAAGTGGGTGGATCACTTGAAGTCAGGAGTTCAAGACCAGCCTGGCCAACATGGTGAAACCCCGTCTTTACTAAGAATACAAAAATTAGCCAGGCATGGTTGGGCGTGGTGGCTCATGCCTGTAATCCCAGAACTTTGGGAGGCCGAGGCAGGTGGATCACCTGAGGTCAGGAGTTACAGACCAGCCTGGCCAACATGGTGAAACCCTTTCTCTACTAAAAATACAAAAATTAGGTGGGGCGCGGTGGCTCACACCTGTAATCCCAGCACTTTGGGAGGCCAAGGTGGGCGGATCACCTGAGGTCAGCCTGACCAACATGGCGAAATCCTGGCTCTACTAAAAATACAAAATTAGCTGGGCGTGGTGGTGGGTGCCAGTAATCACAGTTACTTGGGAGGCTGAGGCAAGAGAATCGCTTGAACCTGGGAGGTAGAGGTTGTAGTGAGCCGAGATGGCACCACTGTACTCCAGCCTGAGCGACAGAGTGAGACTCTATCTCAAAAATATAAATAAATAAAAAATAAAGTCCCATCTTCAGTATTTCAGGCTGGTCAGAGGCTTTTTGTGGGAGGGGGGATATGGGGAAACCATGTGCAGGGCTTGGGATCAAGAGGTGACCGAGGACCACAGACATCTAGGAGCCAGCGAGGGTCTGAAGAGGTTGGGAACTTCTTTGTCCTTAGTCAAGGGTCATGATGCTCCTATAAATCCTTAACAAAACGTAGTTCCTGGCTTACCTACTTCCCCTCTAATCCCAGAGTTAGTTTTACGAACTACATGATTGCTGTTTGTGCATTTTATCTCAGTGCTGTAAATTATCCCGGCTTACAAACGGGAATGGGTAAAGGCCCCTTGAAAAAAAAAAAAAAGGACTGGGCATGGTGGCTCACACCTGTAATCCCAGCACTTTGGGAGGCTGAGGCAGGCAGATCACTTGAGGTCAGGAGTTTAAGACCAGCCTGGCCAACCAACATGGTAAAACCCCATCTCTACTAAAAATACAAAAATTGCCCAGTCGCGGTGGCATGAGCCTGTAATCCTAGCTACTTGGGAGGCTGAGACAGGAGAATCACTTGAACATGGGAGATGGAGGTTGCAGTGAGCTGAGATCGTGCCACTCCACTCCAGCCTGGGCGACAGAGCAAGACTCCATCTCAAAAACAAAACAAAACAACAACAACAACAAAAAATAGAGTTAGTTGTGTCCGTTCTTTTCCACTGTTACAGTATGACCACTGGTGAACCTCTGCAGAGATTGTTTGAGGGACAGAGTTTCATTTTCATTGAAAAAGTTGTTCAGGGCCTGGCTCGGTGGCTCACGCCTGTAATCCCAGTGCTTTGGGAGGCCGAGGCGGGCAGATCATGATGTCAAGAGATTGAGACCATCCTGGTCAACAAGGTGAAGACCTGTCTTTACTAAAAATACAAAAATTAGCTGGGCATGGTGCCACATGCCTGTAGTCCCAGCTACTCGGGAGACTGAGGCAGGAGAATCGCTTGAACCTGGGAGGCGGAGGTTGCGGTGAGTGGAGATCGCATCACTGCACTCCAGCCTGGGTGACAGAGCGAGACTTCATCTCAAAAAAAAAAAAAAAAGTTGTTCAGGCCAGGCGTGGTGGCTCATGGCCCATGCCTGTAGTCCCAACACTTTGGGAGGCTGAGATGGGTGGATCCCTCGAGCTCAGATGTTTGAGACCAGCCTGGGCAACATGGCAAGACCCTGTCTCTAGTAAAAATACAAAAAAATAGCTGGGCATAGTGGTACACACCTGTACTCAGGAGGCTGAGGCAGGAGGATCAGTTGAGCCCAGGGGGCAGAGGTTGCAGTGAGCTGAGATCATGCCACTGCACTCCAGCCTGGATGATAGAACGAAATCCTGTGTCCAAAAAAAAAGAGATGATCTAGTAACTAGGACCACAGGCATGTGCTACCACACCCAGCTAATTTTTTATTTTTATTTTTATTTTTTATTTTTTGAGACGGAGTTTCACTCTTTCACCCAGGCTGGAGTGAAGTGGCGTGATCTCGGCTCATTGCAACCTCCGCCCTGCCTGGTTCAAGCGATTCTCCTGCCTCAGCCTCCTGAGTAGCTGGGATTATAGGCACTTGCCACCACGCCTGGCTAATTTTTGTATTTTCTGTAGAGATGGGGTTTCATCATGTTGGCCAGGCTGGTCTTGAACTCCTGACCTCAGGGGATCCACCTGCCTTGGCCTCTCAAAGTGCTAGGATTACAGACATGAGCCACCACGCCCAGCCTCACAGCCAGCTAATTTTTTTAAAATTATTTGTAGAGATGGAGTCTCACTATGTTGCCCAGGCTGGTCTCAAACTCCTAGGATTAAGCAATCCTCCTGCCTCCGCCTCCCAATGTGCTGGGGGTACAGGCGTGAGCCACCATGCCTGGATCATCAGTGGATCATCTTAAAATCAATGACATTTTACACACAAGTGTGACCGGAAAGGGGTCTGATCCAGACCCCAAGAGACAGTTCTTGGATCTCATGCAAGAAGGAATTCGGGCAAGCCCACAGAGTCAAATGAAAGCAAGTTTCTTAAAAAAGTAAAGGAATAGGCCAGGCGCGGTGGCTCATGCCTGTAATCCCAGCATTTTGGGAAGCTGAGGAGGGAGAATAAAAGAATGACTACTCCACAGGCAGAGCAGTGGCACGGGCTGCTCTACTGAGCATACTTATGGTTATTTCTTGATTAGATGCTAAACAAAGGGTGGATTCTTCATGAGTTTTCCAGGAGAGGGGCAGGCAATTCCTAGAACTGAGGGTTCTTTCACTTTTTAAACCATATCAGGTAATTTCTGGGCATTACCATGGCATCTGTAAACTGTCATGGCACTGGTTGGAGTGTCTTTTAGCATGCTAATCCTAATGCTAATGTATTGTAGTTATTGTATAATGAGCAGTGAGGATGACCAGGTCACTTTCGTCACCATCTTGGTCTTCGTGGGTTTTTGCTGGCTTCTTTATTGCATCCTGGTTTATTTATTTATTTATTTATTTTTATTTATTTATTTATTTATTTTGAGATGGAGTCTTGCTCTGTCGCCCAGGCTGGAGTGCAGTGGTGCGATCTCAGCTCACTGCAAGCTCCGCCCCCCGGGTTCACACATTCTCCTGCCTCAGCCTCTCGAGTAGCTGGGACTACAGGTGTCCGCCGCCATACCCGTCTAATTTTTTGTATTTTTAGTAGAGACGGGGTTTCACTGTGTTAGCCAGGATGGTCTTGATCTCCTGACCTCGTGATCCGCCCACCTCAGCCTCCCAAAGTGCTGGGATTACAGGTGTGAGCCACCGCGCCTGGCCTGCATCCTGTTTTATCAGCTGGGCCTTTGTGACCTGTCTCTCTTGTGACCTCTTATCTCTCACCCTGTGACTTAGAATGCCTAACCTCCTGGGATGAGGCCAGCAGGTGTCAGTCTCATTTTACCCATTTCCTATTCAAGATGGAATCACTCTGGTTCAAACACCTCTGACACAAGGATATATGATAGATATCTATATATATATATATTATATGTGATGTCTTAGTCTTCTTTCTGTTGCTCACAACAGAACATCTAAAACTGGCTAAATTATTTTATTTTATTACTTGAGACACAGTCTCTCTGTCTCCCAGGCTGGAATGCAGTGCTGTGATCTTGGCTCACTGCAACCTCTGCCTCCCTGGTTCAAGCAATTCTCGTGCCTCAGCTTCCCAAGTAGCTGAGACCATAGCCCCACGCCACCACACCTGGCTAATTTTTGTATTTTTAGTAGAGATGGGGTCTTGCCATGGGTGGCTAGGCTGGTCTCGAACTCCTGGGCTCAAGTGATCCACCCACCTCAGCTTCCCAAAGTGCTGGGATTACAGATGTGAGTCACCGCGCCCGGCCACTAATTACTCTTAGTACAAGATTCAGGAGGCCGGCTGCAGTGGCTCACGCCTGTAATTCCAGCACTTTGGGAGGCTGAGGCGGGCGGATCACGAGGTCAGGAGTTCAAGACCAGCCTGGCCAATATGGTGAAACCCCGTCTCTACTAAAAATACAAAAATTAGCCAGGCATGGTGGCATGTGCCTGTAGTCCCAGCTACTTGGGAGGCTGAGGTAGAAGAATCCCTTGAACCCGGGAGGCAGAGGTTACAGGAGCCAAGATTGCATCACTGCACTCCAACCTGGGTGACAGAGGGAGACTCTGTCTCAAAAAAAAAAAAAAAAAAGAAAAAGACAAAGATTTAGGAGCAGAGGAATAATCTAAAGACAGAATTTAATCATTGAAAGGAAAGCAGAGGGGGGGCCCTGTGGCTCACACCTGTAATCCCAACACTTGGGAGGGGGAGGTGGGTGGAACCCTTGAATCCAGGAGTTTGAGACCAGCCTGGGCAACATGGCAAAACCTCGTCTCTACTAAAAATACAAAAAATTAGCCGGGTGCGGTGGTGTGCGCCTGTAGTCTCAGCTATTCTGGAGGCTGAGGTGGGAGGATCGCTTGAGCCCAGGAGGTTGAGGCTGTAGTGGGCTGAGATCACACCACTGCACGGCAGCCTGGACGACACAGTGAGACCCTGTCTCAAAAAAAAAAAAAAAAAAAAAAAAATGGCAAGCAGAGCAGAAGGATTTGGAGTACTCTCAGCCTGGCCATATAGAGGGTGGAAAAGTACGTTCAGGAGAGGAAACCATGGGTGTAGCCTGGTGAATATTTGCTAAGGAGATTAGCATGTAGAAGGAAGCCAGGTGCCATGCCTCAAGACAACAAAAGACACTGCCAAAGAGGCATGCAGAGAGCCTGGAGCACGGAGGCCGCCCCTCCTGTCACAGGCCTAGAGACCGAGGAGGGAGAGTGGTGTCAGGGGACAAGCCTGGGGGTGGAGGTGGCTCTCCATAGGCTTGCTGCCCAGGGCTGCCTTGGGACTCTGATCCCCACACCCCCGCACAGCGCTCCATGCTTGGTTCACCTGTGGCTCAAGAGGGCCCCAGGTGCGGCTCCTGTTGCAGTACCAGAAGGTACAGGTCGTAAACCTTGGCAGAGGTTCACACGGTGCTCATTCTGCAGACTTTTTTTTTTTGGAGACAGAGTTCAGCTCTTGTTGCGCAGGTTGGAGTGTAATGATGCGATCTCTACTCACTGCAACCTCTGCCTCTCAGGGTTCAAGCGAGTCTCCTGCTTCACTGCTTCAGCCTCCCAAGTAGCTGGGACTTCAGGTGCCCACCACCATGCTCAGCTAATTTTTGTTTGTTTGTTTTTTGAGATGGAGTCTTGCTCTGTCACCCAGGCTGGAGTGCAGTGGTGCAATCTTGGTTCACTGCAACCTCTTCTGCCCAGGTTCACGCCATTATCCTGCCTCAGCCTCCCGAGTAGCTGGGACTACAGGTGCCTGCCACCAACCCTGGCTATTTTTTTTTTTTTGTATTTTTAGTAGAGACGGGTTCTCACCATGTTAGCCAGGATGGTCTCACTCTCCTGACCTCATGATCAGCCCACCTTGGCCTCCCAAAGTGCTGGGATTACAGGCGTGAGCCACCGTGCCCAGCCTCATTCTGCAGACTTGCAAAACACAAGAGCTGTGAAGCTTGGCAGCCTCCACCCAGATTGCAAAAGAAAGCCTGGGGACCCAGGAAGAGACTTGTCACAAGGGCAGAGCCACCACAGAGAGCCCCCCATAGAGCAAGGCCCAGAGGCAATGTGTGGTCTGAGCTGCAGCACAGAGTCCCCACCAGGCTAATGGCTAGTGTGGCCATGGGAGTGGGACCACTGTGGGCCCCCAGAACTGCAGAGCCCGGGCAGCATGCCACATCCACCTGGGAAAACCTCAGGCACCGCACTCCAACCCAGACAGCCAGACGTGCCCCCAGCAAAGCCATAGGAGTCGGGCTGCCTGGGCCTCGGGCCCAACCTGCCCTAGTGTATCCAGGGTGCAGGACATGGAGTCCAAAGAGATCATTCTCCAGCTTTAACCCTTAATGTCTGCCCTGCCCGGTTGCAGACCTGCAAGGGGCCTGTTCCTCCTTTCATGTTGCCTCTTCCTACCTTTTGAATGGGAGTGTCCGCCTTATGCCCGTGCCACCATTGTATCTGGGAAGTAGATAACTTGCTTTGATTTCATGGGATTACAGATGAGACTCTGGACTTTGGACTTTTGAGTTGGTGCTGGAATTAGTTACAGCACTGGGGCTACGAGGATGGAATAACTATATTTGTACGTGAGAAGGACATGAGTTTTGGGGAACTTAGGGGCAGAATGCTATGGTTTGAATATTTGTCCCCTCCAAAATGCATGTTCAGACCGGGCGTGGTGGCTCACGCCTGTAATCCCGGCACTTTAGGAGCCCGAGGTGGGCAGATCATTTGAGGTCAGAAGTTCAAAACTAGCCTGGTGAGCATGGTGAAACCCCACCTCTACTAAAAACACTAAAATTAACCGGGCATGGTGGTGGGCACCTGTAATCCCAGCTACTCAGGAGCCTGAGGCAGGAGAACCACTTGAGCCGGGGAGGCGGAGGTTCCAGTGAGCCAAGATCTCGCCACTGCACTCCAGCCTGAGTGATGGAGTAAGACTCTGTCTCAAAAAAAAAAAAAAATTCATGTTCGAATTTAATTCTCAATGTAGCAATATTGAGAGGTAGGGCATTTAGGGTGTGACTGGGTCATGAGGGCTTAGTGTGCCATTGGATTGACGGGTTATCATGAGAGTGGGCTAGCATGCTCAGCCCTCACCATGTGATACCCTGCACTGCCTCAGGACTCTGCAGAGAGCCCCCACCAACATGAAGGCCCTCACCAGATGTGGCCCCTCGACCTGGGACTTCTCAGCCTCTGTAACTGTAAGAAATAAATTCCTTTTTAAAATAAATTAGGCAGGGCTGGGCACCATGTCCCAGCGTGTAGTCCCAGCATTTTGAGAGGCTGAGGCAGGTGGATCACTTGAGCCCAGGAGTTCAAGACCAGCCTGGCCACCATGGTGAGGCCCCATCTCTACTAAAAATACAAAAATCAGCCAGGTGTGGTGGCACTGGCTGAATTCACGCCACTGCACTCCAGCCTGGGTGACAAGAGTGAAACTTCATCTCAAAAAAAAAAAAAAAAGGGCCGGGCGCAGTGGCTCATGCCTGTAATCCCAGCACTTTGGGAGGCCGAGGCGGGCAGATCACGAGGTCAGGAGATCGAGACCATCCTGGCTAACACGGTGAAACCCCGTCTCTACTAAAAATACAAAAAATTAGCCAGGCATGGTGGCAGGCACCTGTAGTCCCAGCTACTTGGGAGGCTGAGGCAGGAGAATGGCGTGAACCCAGGAGGCAGAGCTTGCAGTGAGCGGAGATCATGCCACTACACTCTAGCATGGGCGACAGAGCGAAACTCTGTCTCAAAAAAAAAAAAAAAGAATTATTAGTATAAGTCATCATGCAGCTTCATCTCTGTTTTGCTAATGTGAAAGTTGATCATACAACCAGGTTACTGTTGTCAGACCCAACTAAAACAGAGTTGAGAGGCCAGGAGGAAAAAGCACTGGGGTCACATAACATTGCTCCAAGAATGTCATTCTCTGCAAACCTGGCTGCTGAAACTGCCTGCTGTAACATGACACCAGTTTACCCACCTGTTACTGAAACAACCTGGTGCAACTCTAAGACTAGTTTTACCTGCGGCATCATCATTGCTCACCAGAGCTTGTCAGCTCCCCAAAACTTTACTAATAGCCATGAACTTCCTTTTAAAACAATGCATAATATTTCTTTTTTATAAAACCTCCAACCTTCTCTTTGTTCTTCAGACATACTGAAAACTACCTGGTCTGTTTATATGCCCCAAATTGCCATTCTTGCTTTTCAAATAAAACTTTTTCAATTTAGAGATTTGTCTCTATATTTTATTTCACTTCACACTTAGAAATTTCTTCTGGCCAGGCAAGGTGGCTCAAGCCTATAATCCCAGCGCTTTGGGAGGCCAAGGTGGGAAGATCACTTGAGCCCAGGGGTTCCATACCAGCCTGGGCAACATGGCAAGACCCCGTCTCTACTAAAAATATAAAAAATTAGCCAGCCATGGTGGCATGTACCTGTAGTCCCAGCTACTGGGAGGCTGAGGTGAGAGGATCACTTGAGCCCAGGAGGCAGAGGTTGCAGTGAGCCAAGATTGTGCCACTGCACTCCAGCCTGGGCAACAGAGCTAGACTCTCTCTCAAAAAAAGAAAAAGAAAAGAAAAGAAAGAGAAAGAAATAAATTTCTTCTGCCAGATACCTTAATTAATCAAGGTCGGCCTTCCATCAAGCCCTCAGGCATGTATGTAGTTCTACTCACATGCTAACCCATTAATTTATTAACCCACAAATGGATTAGTCTATTCTTTTTTTTTTTTTCTTTGAGATGGAGTCTCGCTCTGTCGCCCAGGCTGAAGTGCAGCGGCACGATCTTGGCTCACTGCAACCTCCGCCTCCCAGGTTCAAGCGATTCTTCCGCCTCAGCCTCCAGAGTAGCGGGGACTACAGGCGTGCACCACCACGCCCGGCTAATTTCTTGTATTTTTAGTAGAGACGGGGTTTCACCCTGTTAGCCAGGATGGTCTCGATCTCCTGACCTTGCGATCCACCCGCCTCAGCCTCCCAAAGTGCTGGGATTACAGGCGTGAGCCCCGCGCTCGGGCTGTCTTTTTTGTTTTTTGCTTTTTTTTTTTGAGACGGAGTCTCGTTCTGTTGCCCAGGCTGGAGTGCGGTGGCGCGACCTCGGCTTACCAAAACCTCTGCCTCCTGGATTTATATTTTATTCCTTTTTTTTTCTTGACTAGCTAAAGGAATAAAATATAAAATACTACACTCAATAAAATGATAACAGGCCGGGCGCGGTGGCTCATGCCTCTAATCCCAGCACTTTGGGAGGCTGAAGTGGACGGGTCACCTGAGGTCAGGAGTTTGAGACCAGCCTGGCCAACATGGTGAAACCCCGTGTGTACTAAAAATACAAAAAAATTAGCTGGACGTGGTGGCAGGTGCCTGTAATGCCAGCTACTCGGAAGGCTGAGGCAGGAGAATCGCTTGAACCCGGAAGGCGGAGCTTGCAGTGAGCCAAGACTGCGCCACTGCACTAGAGCCTGGGCAACATAGTGAGACTCTGTCTCAAAGGAAAAAAAAGAATTATAACTGGGGACAGACTTTTCTTCCCTTTTAGAGCTGACCTTCTCTGGGAGAGGCTATCACCAAGATAAATCGGTAAGGCTTAATTCCATGTCCAGTGTTTTTGGCAAAACCCTTGTTCCCGAGGGGGTGAGTGGCCTTCCCAGCAGGCTCTGCTGAATTCTGGAAGAGCCTGTTTCCAGAAACTTTGTTTTGTACATGTCTTGGCAAATGATCACCACCCCCCTCCCCCCACCACCCACCCACTTCCGAAGTGGTCTAGGGCTTAAGTCCAGATGCGGATGGGCTCAGGGCGGGGTGGGAGAAGTCAGGGGAAAAAAAAAAAGAAAAGAAAAAAAAGATAAAGAAATAAATTTCTTCTGCCAGATACCTTAATTAATCAAGGTCGGCCTTCCATCAAGGTCGGCTTCTCGGCTCCCCAGCCCCCGCGCCTCACGGGGACCTCAGGCCTCGGCAGGGTCCTCTCCCTTTGCATCTCCTACTAGTCAGCTGTCGGTGGTGATGGCCCGTGCCAAGTTCACGGTCTCAGCCTGACGAAAGGCGGCCTTTACCAGCCTCAGGACCCCCAACGAACCTGGGGCCATGGCTGGGGAGGGGGCTCTGCCCAGGCTCTGCGTTCTGGGACAGGGGTCCCCAGATGGCCATGCGTCAAGGCCCAGGGACCTGTTTGTGGGCCCGAGAGCACGGGGGTCAGGGGTGGGGCTCGAGTCTCGTCCCAGGGCTCCGGGACAAGCTTCCTGGAGGAGGCAGCGTGAGCTCTGGGAGGTAGAGGTCAAGACCTCAAAAAATGGGGGGACATGGGCGGAGGGGGCATTTTGTAACTCCTACGTCCCTGCAGAAGCCCAGACCCTCAGAGACTAGGAACTGAGGCCTGGCAGAGTGGGGTGGGCCAGCAATCACGCGCCAGGCCACACGAGGAGAGCCCACTGCCCCGGGGATGTCAGACGCGGGGCGGCCTCGGCGACCGCACACGCCATAGAAAGGTCACCGAACTTGGCCGCCCGGCCGTCCCGGAAATCGCTACTGCCCGGCAGCCCTGGGGCCTCCACAACCGCGTCCCGGCGGCTCAAGTTGCCCTTTGTCGCCCCCTGCCGACCAGTCTCCCTGCGGCTCCCGCGCGGGACAATCAGGCGGGCCGGGCTCGGAAATAGTGGGCATGGGTCCCTGAGGCGCGGGGATTGGCCGCTCTGTGTCATGTGTCCTCGGCTCGGGCCAACCAGCGAGGGAGGCAAAGTCCCATCCCGCGCGTCCCGTAGCCCTTCAGCGAGCTGTGGGCGGGGCGTCAGGCCTGACACCTCGGCCAGAGGGCGGGGCCGGAGACCTGAGCGGCGCCGCTTCCGCTCTTTCGCCCAGGTGCCTTGGAGCCGCTGCTCTCGCCTCCCTTCTCCACCTAGCGGCGGTGTTTCACACCCCGGAGTGGCTTTTTGGGGATAAAGGCACAAATCTTTGCCAGACCTCCCGCCAGGCCCCCTGGCCTGCCACGTGCTCCTTGCCGGCCTAGACTCACCCAGGCTGTGCCCTCTGCTCAGAACGACCTTTCCCCCCTTCCTCTCCCCCTCGCTTGCTCCGACTGTTCTTTGCAATCCCGGCTGGGGTTGGGTTAAGGGCCTTCTGGGGCTTCTTCATACCCTGTGCATCTTCCTCCTACTGGCACCGACCACCCCACACTGGGCTGCCATCTGCTTGTCTACACCCACTGACTTTTCATCTCTGTATCTCCCCAGTAAGCAGGAGTGGCTCACAGAAGGCACGTTAATACCTGTGTGTTAATATAAACCAAGGAGCGGGACGATAGCTAGGAAGTAACATCCCTGGGCATCATCTGAGTACCAGGCCCCCTGCCAGGTACTTTAGAGGCTACTTGATGTTCAGGCCCATGGCAGCCCTGGGAGGGAGGCACAAAGGCTCTTTTGTTCCTGGGGAGTCAGTGGAGGCCCCTAGAGGCTGAATGACTGTCTGGGTCCCCCAGCTGGACTGTTTGGGGACAGGCCTGGGGAGCTGAGGGCACCCTCATACCAGGCAGCCTTGCGCCTGAAGCTCTGCTGGTGAAAACTGATGGGCAGGGCCCTGGAAGGGAGAGTCAGCGCCTGCGGGGGCGGGGGTGGGGGTGGGGGTGGGAAGGCAAGCGGAGGGGAAAGGTGAGCATAGACAGGCATTTGTGATGGCCACAGGCCTTCACTGCTACCCTGACATCAGGGCCAATGGCAACCTGCAAGGCCCTTCAAAGCCCTGCTTCCACCTCTGCCCATCTCTGGCTGCAACCTCCTGGTTCTCCCACCCTGTGCTCTATTCTCCAGCTACACTGACCCATGTCAGCTCCCAGGCCATGCATCTGGGCCTTTCACATGCTGCTCTCTCCAGGGTCCATCCAGCCCCACCTCCACCACATTGCCAAGACCAGGCCTTACTTTCCAGACTCCATGTACTTCTCAGCACTGGCCCCACCATTTGTGCTGAGGATCATCAGCTACTGAGACCTGAATTCAACCCCAGGCCCTGGGTTTGAATTCTGACACATTTGTGGCTGACCTTGGAGAACAGCTCATCCATGGGCTCGCAAAACAATGCCGCTGACTTAGACAACACTCTACTGATTTGCTGGCACTGGGCTGGGGCTTTGGTGGACACTGAATCCCCACAAACCAGCCTGCAAGGTCAGACATGTGAAAAGTCCTTTCTGTTTCATCAAGGCTCATCAGGTGAACGTCTCCAACAGGCTCTCACTTCAGCAACATTTCATAGCAGAAGGTGATCTGTCTTCAAGGTTGGAGGCTGGTCCCATAGACCCCAACTCCAGCATCAGGCCAAGGGCTGGGCAAGGCTGCAGGGTTGTGGCTATCCCAAATATGAACTCAGACACACTTAGTTCTGAATCCTGTGTTACCTTGGGCGAATTACTTCACCTCTTTGATCCTTCATTTTCTTCCTTTTTTCTTTTTTGCTTTAGCTTTTCTTTTCAATAAAATTAATAACACGTACATATTTTTAACAGACAAATAGAACTACAAGGCTTACAATGAAAAAAGGCAGTCCCTTGCCTTGCTTTGCCCACCCTGGGTCCTCCCCAAAGAGGCAGCCACTTTGTACTCCTCTAGATGTTTCTTCAGGTTCTCACCTCCATATGTGGAAGTGACAGGTTTACACAGTACTAATGGTTACTGATTTTTTCACATTGAGGTATTATCTAATCACTGCCTACCACTGAGAGGTGAGGGCTTAAATAAACCTTCACATAGGCCAGGCTCACACCTGTAATCCTAGCACTTTGGGAGGCCAAGGCGGGTGGATCACTTGAGGTCAGGAGTTCGAAATGAGCCTGGCCAACATGGTGAAACCCTGTCTCTACTAAAAATACAAAAAAAATTAGCTGGGCATGCTGGGCGCAGTGGCTCAGGCCTGTAATCCCAGCACTCTGGGAGGCCGAGGCGGGCGGATCACCTGAGGTTGGGAGTTCGAGACCACCCTGACCAACATGGAGAAACCCCATCTCTACTAAAAATACAAAAAAAATTAGCCGGGTGTGGTGGCACATGCCTGTAATCCCAGCTACTTGGGAGGCTGAGGCAGGAGAATGGCTTGAACCTGGGAGGCAGAGGTTGCGGTGAGGCGGAGGTTGCGGTGAGCCAGAGATCACGCCATTGCACTCCAGCCTGGGCAACAAGAGTGAAACTCCATCTAAAAAAAAAAAAAAAAATTAGCTGGGCATCGTGGCAGGCTCCTGTAATCCCAGCTACTTGGGAGGCTGAGGCAAGGGAATCACTTGAACCCAGGAAGCAGAGGCTGCAGTGAGCCGAGATCATACCACTGCACTCCAGCCTGGGCAACAGAGCAAGACTGCATCTCAAAAAAAAGAAAAAAAAAAAGCCTTCAAGTACCTACACGTTTCCTTGCCTCGTCTACCACCTCTTAGACTCTGATCTGTAACCTGTATGCTCTCCTTGGGCCAGTGTGAGGATGAAATGACCTCCTGGATACTTGGAGCTCGTGGCACAGTGCTCAGCACCCAGCAGGCACTCAATCAATGCAGCTGCTCAGTCATAAACATCTGCTGAATTGTGTAAGTAAATTTTAAAAATGTTGGGCCAGGCACAGTGGCTCATGCTTATAATCTCAGCACTTTGGGAGGCCAAGGTGGGCAGATCACTTGAGGTCAGGAGTTCGATACCAGCCTGGCCAACATGGTGAAACCCACTCTCTACCAAAAAATACAAAAATTAGCTGGGTGTGGTGGCACGTGCCAGTAGAGCTACTGGGGAGGCTGAGGTGGCAGAATCACTTGAACCCAGGAGGCAGAGGTTCCAGTGAGCCGAGATCATGCCACTGCACTCCAGCCTGGGCAATGGAGTGAGACCCTGTCTGAAAAAAATAAATAAAATAAAATTTTTGTTATGAGCAGTTTCTTTTTGTTTTTTTTTTTTTTTTTTGATGGAGTCTCACTCTGTCGCCCAGGCTGGAGTGCAGTGACACAATCTCGGCTCACTGCAAACTCTGCCTCCCAGGTTCACGCCATTCTCCTGCCTCAGCCTCCTGAGTGGCTGGGACTACAGGCACCCACCACCATGCCCAGCTACTTTTTTTGTATTTTTAGTAGAGATGGGGTTTCACTGTGTTAGCCAGGATGGTCTTGATCTCTTGACCTTGTGATCTGCCCATCTCGGCCTCCCAAAGTGCTGGGATTACAGGCGTGAGCCACCACGCCCGGCCAAGCAGTTTCTTTTTATTTTTTATTATTTTTTATTTTTTTAGCAGAGACGGGGTTTCACCATGTTAGCCAGGATGTTCTCGATCTCCTGACCTCGTGATCCGCCCGCCTCTGCCTCCCAAAGTGCTAGGATTACAGGCGTGAGCCACCGCGCCTGGCCCAGTTTCTTATTTTTTAATTTCATTTATTTATTTATTTATTTATTTTTGAGACAGAGTCTCACTCTGTTGCCCAGGCTGGAGTGCAGTGGTACGATCTCAGCTCACCGCAACCTCTGCCTCCCAGGTTCAAGCGATTCTCCTGCCTCAGACTCCCAAGTAGCTGGGACTACAGGTACACGCCACCATGCCCAGCTAATTTTTGTATTTTTAGTAGAGTCAGCATTTCACTATGTTGGCCAGGCTGGTCTCAAACTCCTGAACTCATGATCTGCCCGCCTCGGCCTCCCAAAGTCCTGGGATTACAGGCATGAGCCACCGTGCTCGGCCTAGAGCAGTTTCAAACACAGGCAAAAGTAGAATCAAGAGTCTGATGAGGCTAGGCCTGGTGGCACCCATCTGTAATTCCAGCACTTTGGGAGGCTAAGGCAGGATGATGGCTTCAATCCAGAAGTTCGAGACCAGCCTGGGCAACACGGCGAGACCCTGTTTCTACAAACAATTCTAAAATGAGCTGGGTGAGGTAGAACACGACTGCCGTCCGGCTACTCAAGAGGCTAAGGTGGGAGGATTGGTTGAGCCCCAGGAATTCAAGGCTGCAGTGAGCTATGATTGCACCACTGCACTCCAGCCTGGACGACAGAGCGAGACCCTGTCTCAAAAAAAAAAAGAGGCTGATGGACCCCCCAGGACCCACTTCCAAGACAGCAGTCATAAGTCACAGGCCGCTGGGCAGCCACTTCATTTATATCCCGGTTTTCCCTTCTGCTATTTCTTTCTCTTTTTAAAAAGTGTTTTGTAGAGATGGAATCTCACTACGTTTCCCAGGCCAATCTCAAACTTTTGGGCTCCCAAAATGCTGGGATTAGAAACTGTTTCTTTCTCTATTAAGTAAAAATGTATCTGTTTGTATTCTCCTACCTCTTTGTATGTAAATTATAACATAATATACACAAGAATCGAGGCTTTTTTTGTTTGTTTTCTTGTTTGTTTTTGAGATGGAGTCTCGCTCTGTTACCCAGGGTGGAGTGCAGTGGCGTGATCTCAGCTCACTGAAGACTCCACCTCCGAGGTTCAAGTGATTCTTCTGCCTCAGCCCCCAGGGTAGCTGGGATTACAGGTGTGTGCCACCACACCCAGCTAATTTTTGAATTTTTAGTAGAGATGGGGTTTCACCATGTTGACCAGGCTGGTCTCAAACTTCTGGCCTCAAGAGATCTGCCCGCCTTGGCCTCCCAAAGTGCTGGGATTACAGGCGTGAGCCACCGTGCCCAGCCAGTTTGTTTTTTTCTTTTTACTGGTTACAGCAGCAACAGGAGAATCAAGGTTTTTGGGGTTTCTTAAAGTAAACTTTAAAAAACTGATTACATGCTTGAACCCAGGAGGTGGAGGTTGCAGTGAGCCGAGATCGTGCCACTGCACTCCAGTCTGGCAACACAGCAAGACTGTGTCTCACAAAAAAAAAAAAGAAAAAAGAGAAAAAATTACAAATATAGCACATATTTGTGGAAAATACACACAAACCTATAATCTCACTGCCCAGCTCTACGCAGGAACCACATTGCAGGAGCATATGGAAACTGACAAGAGAGGTGTGGAGATTTTGTACATACATTTTTAGAAAAACAAAACAAATTTATTATGGTAAATTGAAGAAGCCAGTTACAAAAGGCCACCTATTGTAGGATTCCACATATATGAAATGTCCAGATGAGGCATATCCATAGAAACAGAAAGAAGGCCGGGCGTGGTGGCTCACAGCTGTAATCCCAGCACTTTGGGAGGCTGAGGTGGGCAGATCACCTGAGGTCAGGAGTTGGAGACCAGCGTGGCCAACATGGTGAAACCCCGTCTCTACTAAAAATACAAAAATTAGCTGGGCGTGGTGGCACATGCCTGTAATCCCAGCTACTTGGGAGGCTGAGGCAGGAGGATCGCTTGAACCCTGGAGGCAGAGGTTGCAGGGAGCCGAGATTGTGCCACTGCACTCAAGCCTGGGCAACAAGAGTGAAACTCTGTCTCAAAAAAAAAAAAAAAAAAAAGAAAGAAACATAAAGTAGATGGTGGTTGCCAGGGTTTGGATGGAAGGGGGCATAGGAGTGACTACTAACAGTCCGAATTTCTCTTTGGGGTTTACAAAAACTGTCCAGAATTAAAGAGTGGTATTGGAAGTGGTATTTTCTCAATTAAACATAAAAATGCCCTGGCACAGTTGCTCATGTCTGTAGTCACTCCCAGCATTTCGAGAGGCTGGGAAGGAGGATTTCTTGAGCTCAGGAGTCCGAGACCAGCCTGGGCAACAAAGTGAGACCCTGTCTCTACAAAAAATAAAAAATTAGCTGAGTGTCGTGGCACAACCTGTAGTCCCAGCTACTAAGGAGGCTGAGGTGGCAGGATCACTTGAGTCAGGGAGGTCGAGGCTGCAGTGAGCCATGATCATGTCACTGTGTTCCAGCCTGGGCAACAGAGTGACTGAGACTGTTTCAAAAAAAAAAAAAAAAAAAAAAGAGAGAGAGAGAATAGAACCAAGGAACTGTCCTCTGTCCTCTTGTTTCCTCTCCTCTTCACTGTACTTCAGAATCATTCTGAACACTGGAGTCTTCATTGCTGTCACGCTCTGTCCATCAGGGCCCTCGACTGTAGGGAGTCACAGGCCCAAGTGTATAAAGAGCTGGGTTAGAGATCCCAAGCCCTGATGAGACTTGCCTGCACATGTGCTATATGGACTCGGATCTGGAACCACACTGAAGCCACAGTGATGAAGCGATGAAGAATTTCAGAGAAATTCTTGCAGGAGATGGCTTTTCAGCTGGGCGTAGAGGCCTGGGTTTTGTGGCATGGTGGAGAGTTTCCCTTTTCATGCTGTTGGCTTCCCTCTGCTGCCCAGGTTGGGTCTAGGGCGGTGATCCTTGGAGGAGAGTGGGCATCCCCAGGAGGGCCTGACAAAGGGATGGCTGGGCCCCCTCCCAGAGTCTCTGACTCAGCAGCTCTGGGGTGGGGCCTGAGGGCTTGCATTCCCAGCAGGTCCCCAGTGATGCTGCTGGCCCCGGGGGCTACCCATTGAGGACACTGATGCTGGGAGGTGTCCCTCTGCTGCACCTGTGTCATTGAAGTGTGCTTCACTGGGCCCTGCGTGGGTTTCCCATTCTCAGGCAAACAGCCCTACACACTTTTTTTTTTTTTTTGAGATGGAGCCTTGCTCTGTTGCCCAGGCTGGAGTGCAGTGGTGCTATCTCGGCTCACTGCAACCTCCGCCTCCTGGGTTCAAGCAATTCTTCTGCCTCAGCCTCCTTGAATAGCTGGGACTACAGGCGCATGCCACCACGACCGGCTAATTTTTGTATTTCTAGTAGAGACACCTGCCTCAGCTTCCCAAAGTGCTGAGATTACAGGCATGAGCCACCACGCTCAGCCTAATTTTTGTATTTTTTTAGTAGAGACAGGGTTTCACCATGTTGGCCAGGCTGATCTTGAACTCCTGACCTCAAGTGATCCACCCGCCTCGGCCTCCCAAAGTGTGGGGATTACAGGCGTGAGCCACCTCGCCTGGCCTCTATACACTTTTGAATAACACATGTATTGAGATATAATTCTCATAGCCTAAAAGTCACCCTTTTAAAATGTGCAACTCAAGGATTTAGTATATTCAGAGTTGTGCAGCCATGACCATTTTCTCATTTTAGAACATTTTAAACTCCCCAACAAGAAACCTGGTACCTATTAGCAGTCACATCCTGTTATCTAACCCCACTCCCCATCCCCTGGGAAGCACTAATCTGCTTTCTGCCTCTATGGATTTGTTGATTCTGAGCATTTTGCATAAATGGGATAACACAGCCTTTTGTGTCTGGCTTTTTACTTAGCATAATGTTTTCTTTCTTTCTTTCTTTTGAGATGGTCTCCCTTCATCGCCAGGCTGGAGTGCAGTGGCACAATCTCAGCTCACTGCAACCTCCGCCTCCCGGGTTCAAGTGATTCTCCTACCTCAGCCTCCCGAGTAGCTGGGACTACAGGCGCCTGCCACCATGCCCGGCTAATTTTTTGTATTTTTAGTAGAGATGGGGTTTCACCATGTTGGCCAGGATGGTCTCCATCTCTTGACCTCGTGATCCACCCGCCTTGGCCTCCCAAAGTGCTGAGATGACAGGCGTGAGCCACCGCGCGCCCAGCCAGCATAATGTTTTCAAGTTTGATTTATATTGCAGCATGTATCCACACTTCTCTTTTTAGTCAAATAATATTCCATTGTAGTTACACATTGTTTTTAACTTGTTCTTAAAGATAAATTTTACTGGCCAGGTGCAGTGGCTCACGCCTATAATCCCAGCACTTTAGGAGGCCGAGGTGGGAGGATCACTTGAGGCCAGGAGTTCAAGACCAGCCTGGCCAACATGGTGAAACCCCATCTCTACTAAAAATACAAAAATTAGCCGGGTGTGGTGACCCACACCTGTAATCCCAGCTACTCGGGAGGCTGTGGCAGGAGACTCGCTTAAACCCGGGAGACAGATGTTACAGTGAGCGGAGACTGCACCACTGCACTCCAGCCTGGGCAACAGAGCAAGACTCTATCTCAAAAGTTATATACAAAAAAATATATATATATACACAAACAAAACAAAAACAGCCAGGCGTGGTGGTGTGCACCCATAATTCCAGCTGTCTGGGAGGCTGAGGCAAGAGAATTCCCTCTACCCGGGAGGTGGAGGTTGCAGTGAGCGGAGATTGCACCATTGCACTCAAGCCTGGGGGAAAGAGTGAGACTCTGTCTCAAAAAAAAAAAAGGTAAGTTTTACCAAAAAAAACTTATTATTTTTTTCTTCACAGGGAGAGGAGAGGGAGATAGGAAGTTCAAGTCTTTACTTTTTTAATTAATTAATTAATTATTATTATTATTTTTACTAATTCCTACTCAGAATGCAAAGATAACTTTTTAAAAACATATATTGTTAGTCTGGGCAACATAGTGAAAACCTGTCTCTACCAACAAAAAAAGAAAAAAGAAAAATCTAAAAATAGGGCCAAGCATGGTGCCACACACCTGTAATCCCAGTTACCTGGGATACTGATGGGGGAGGATAGCTTGAGCCCTGGAGTTCGAGGCTGCAGTAAGCTACGACTGCCACATTGCACTCCAGTCTGGGTGACAGATCAAGAACCTGTTTCAAAAAACAAACAAACCCATAGTAGGAAGGTGACATGTATATGTTATTGCAGGCAGCTGTCCCTGCAATGTGAGCCCAGGGAAGTGGGACCTTTGTTTTGTTCCGTGCTATGTCTCCGGAACCTGCCCAGCACAGTGCCAAGCACACAGTATCTGCTCAATGATGACCTGTCGAATGCATGAAATTTAGAAAAGAAAAACAACAAACAAAAACCCTTCCCAAATAGAATCACCATTAATACTTTCTCGTATATCTTTTCAATCTTTTTTTTTTTTTTTGAGATGGAGTCTCGCTCTTGTTGCTGGGGCTGGAGTATAATGGTGTGATCTCAGCTCACTGCAACCTCCGCCTCCTGGGTTCAAGTGATTCTCCTGCCTCCCAACTGGCTGGGATTACAGGTGCCTGCCACCATATCCGGCTCATTTTTTGGTATTTTTAGTAGAGATAGGGTTTCACCATGTTGGCCAGGCTGGTCTCGAACTCCTGACCTCAGGTGATCAGCCCGCCTTGGCCTCCCAAAGTGCTGGGATTACAGGCGTGAGCCACCGTACCCGGCGTTGATCTGTTCTTTTCTGTGCGTACTTGTTATCTTACATTAGAATCACACTGTAGGCCAGGCGCAGTAGCACATGCTTGTAATCCCAGCACTCTGGGAGGCCGAGGTGGGTGGATCACCTTAGGTCAGGAGTTCGAGACCGACCTGGCCAACATGGTGAAACCCCGTCTCTACTAAAAATACAAAAATTAGCTGGGTATAGTGGCACATCCCTGTAGTCCCAACTACTCGGGAGGCTGAGGCACGAGAATTGCTTGAACCCGGGAGGGAGAGGTTGCAGTGAGCTGAGATCACACCACTGTACTCCAGCCTGGGTGAGAGAGAGAGACTCTTTCTCAAAAAAAAAAAAAAAAAAAATCACATCGTATATACTATTTCGTAACCAGCCTTCTCTCTGGGGGCTTAAAACTCGATTATCTTTCTATTTATCCATTTCCTGCTCATGTTTCCCTCGTCCTAGGGGACCCAGTCCCAGGGCTACATCTCCATTTACTTAACCACAACCCCATTGCCTCTGTTCTGCACCCCCCCTTCTCCCCTTCTGTGGACACTGAGTTTTTTTCCAATTTGAGTGATTGGAAACAACCCTGGGGGAATATCTGAGTCCCTGGTTTATCACCCTGGAAAAGTCCTAGAAGTGGAATTGCTGGGCTGAAAAGTGCATGTGTTTTTAAGGTTTTGGACTCAAGAGTTCTTAAAATGAGCTTCACTTTATTCCAGGTTTTCTCTGCAGTTTGGGTGTCCTATCTACCAACTCCCAGCGGAGCTGCCCCATTTAGAATCAGGCTGTTTTTCTCCTGAGTTTTTACTATGGGAAATTGAAAGGATGAATTGTAGGCTTCAGTATCGCGGATTTCAGGGTATGAATTCAACATGGCCATTGCTCAGAGTCACAAGTCAATCACCAGTCAGCATCTGATACCTAAATTCTGTGCCAAGGAAGCTCTATAAATGAAAGACATCCATGGGTGATGAAGTTTCAGAAGCATCCCTGGGTCACACATTGTGAAAACAGTTTGTCTACACTCACACAGAGCACTTCTGATACCTTGTGTGCGAATTTTCCCCACTCTGACCAACACTGAGTGTCCTAGAATTCAATTCAATTCTGACACTATCTACCTGGAATTAACATCAGATTCCACAAATTAAAGGCTCAGTCCCACAAAACTGCCCCCATTTCAGAAGCCAAATGTAAATCCATCCTCACATATTTCTGACTGAGCGACTGTAAGCTGGAGGTTTCCAAGACCGCCTCCTCTGGTTCAGTTATGGGCTAGAATGACTCATATAACTTAAGGAAATAGGGCCAGGTGCGGTGGCTCATGCCTATAATCTCAGCACTTTGGGAGGCCGAGGCAGGTGGACCACTTGAGGTCAGGAGTTCGAGACCAGCCTGGCCAACGTGGCAAAATGCCGTCTCTACAAAAAATACAAAAATTATCCAGGCATGGTGGTGCACACGTGTAATCCCAGCTACTTGAGAGGCTGAGGCACGAGAATCGCTTGAACCCAGGAGGTGGAAGCTGCAGTAGCTGAGATTGCAGCACTGAACTCCAGCCTGGGTGACACAGCAAGACTCCTTCTCAAAAAAAAAAAAAAAAAAAAAAACTTAAGGAAATAGAGCCAGGCAGGCAGGCAGGCATGGGGGCACATGCCTGTAGTCATAGGTAACAGAGAAGGTGTGGGAGGATCACTCGAGCCTAGGAGTTTGAGACTACAGTCATTGTGCATGACCATGCCTGTGAATAACCACTGCACTCCAACCTGGGCAACATAGTGAGACCCCATCTCTAAAACAAACAAACTCAATGAAACACTTTATATATGCTGGTTTATTATTATGAAATTAAATAATTCAAACTTAAAGCTATTGGAACTTTGAATTATTATTATTATAGAGACAGGGTCTCACTCTGTTGCCCAGGCTGGAATGCAGAGGTGTGATCATAGCTCACTGCAACCTTGAACTCCTGGGCTCAAGCTATCCTCCCACCTTGGCCTCCAAAAGCATTGGGATTACAGGGTGAGGCACGGCACCCAGCCAAAACTATTTTGAGCCTTGAGAGGAATGTGGCTATGTGGCCTGAGTCAGGTAGCAGCTTCAACAGCCTCTGCCTTTTCCTATAAATGATTAGAAAAAGCACTGTGGCTCCAGAAATAGATCCCTTTGAATCAGCACCCCTCCTCACAGAATATTAAAGCAATCTTCCTTGGAATGTGACAAGCCATAACCAATCAAATTGCTAAAGCATATGTACTGACCTTGCATGGAAAATGTTGCAATCCTGTGAACTGCGTATGTAAACAAAACCTTCCCTTCTCCACTTTGGAAGCTGACCTGACCCATTCATTCTTCTGAAGTCAGTGTTCCCCAGGTGGACGGCCTCAAGCTTTGAGCTGGAGTAAACTTTTTTTTTTTTTCTTTTGAGACAGAATCTCACTCTGTCGCCAGGCTGGAGTGCAGTGGTGTGATCTTGGCTTACTGCAACCTCTACCTCCCGGGTTCAAGTGATTCTTCTGCCTCAGTCTCCCAGGTAGCTGGGACTACAGGCGCGCGCCACCATGTCCAGCTAATTTTTGTATTTTTAGTAAAAGACAGGGTTTCACCATGTTGGCCAAGCTGGTCCCAAACTCCTGACCTCATGATCCGCCTGCCTTGGCCTCCCAAAATGCTGGGATTATAGGTGTGAGCCACCACGCCTGGCCTGGAGTAGAGTCTTAATTCAACCATAATTTTTTTTCTTTTTTTGAGACAGAGTCTCACTCTATCACCCAGGCTGGAGTGCAATGGTATAATCTCGGCTCACTGCAACCTCCACTTCCCAGGCTCAAGAGATTCTCATGCCTCAGCCTCCCCAGTAGCTGGAATTACAGGCATGTGCGACCACACCCAGCTAATTTTTGTATTTTTAGTAGAGAAGAGGTTTCACCATGTTGGTCAGGCTAGTCTTGAACTCCTGATCTCAGGTGATCTCCCTGCCTCGGCCTCCCAAAGTACTGGGATTACAGGCCACCGTGCCTGGCCCAATCATAATTTCTCAATGTCATTAATTAGGGTTGAGATTATAAAGGATACAGATGAACACCCTATGAAGAGGTGCATAGGGCAAGGTCTGGAAGGGTCCCAAGTGCAAGAGCTTCTGTCCCCTTGGAGTTGGGGTTCACCACCCTACCACCCCAGTGTACCTCAGTGGCTGACACAGCCAGGAACAGTGAGGAACCTCTGTGCTATAATATGGAAAGATCTCCACCCCAGTGTTATGTGAAAAGCAAAGTGCAGAATATTATGTATGTGTTTTCATATATTTGTGAGGACTGTCTCTGGAGGGCATACCCAAGAAACTACTAGGAGTGGTCCTTCTGGAGAGGTGAGCTGGGGGACAAGAGTTGGGGGAAGACTGGCTTTTCACTGACTAGCTATGGTGTGATGAGAATACGTTTTGTTTTGTTTTGCTTTGTTTTTTTGAGACAGAATCTTACTCCCATGCCCAGGCTGGAGTGCAGTGGTGCGATCTTGGCCCACTGCAGCCCTGACCTCCAGGGCTCAGGGGATTCTCCCACCTCAGCCGCCCGAGTAGCTGGGACTACAGGTGCACCATCACACCCAGCTAATTTTTTTTTTTTTTTTGTACAGATGGGGTTTAGCCATGTTATCCATGGCTGTGTGTGTGTGTGATCCATGGTTCCTATCTCATAACTCCCAGAGCCCTTGTTAGTCTTTTGTTACAATGTTGGGAGTGTCAGCACCACTGAAAAGGTAAAAAATAAATAAAAAGAATAACTAAAAAAAGAACGTTGCGAGTGTTAGACCTCGGGAAACAGAATCTCTCTGACCTTTTCCTGCCTCCTTTCACCTGCCCAAGGCAGGACCCTAATCTGATCTTGGGTCATAAGACCCTTATTCCAGAGAAGGCTCCACCCCATACCCTGGGGGCAGAAATGCTGACATAAAGAAGCCTCCATAGAGACCCAAGAAGACAGGCTTGGGAGGGCTTCTGGATGACTGGGTGCATGGGGGCTCCTGGAGGGTGGTGTGCCAGCAGGGCATGAAGCTCTGCACCCCTACCCCAATACCGCGCCGATGCGTCTCTTCATTGTCTCCTTCATAATATCCTTCATAGTAAACTGGCAAATGTACAGGTTTTTCTGAGTTCTGTGAGCCACGCCAGTAAATTAAACCCAGGGCAGAGGTTGTGGGAACCCCAACTTGAAGCCAGAAGCTCCGGAGGCCCGGACTTGGCGACTGGTGTGAGAACGGGGGTGGCTACCTGTGGGATCTGATGCTAGCTCCAGGTAGATGGTGTCAGAATTGAATTGGAGGACACCCAGACGGCATCTGCTGCAGAATTGATTGCTTATTGCTTGCTTGCTGGTGGGGAGAAACCCCCATATATTTTGGGGTCACAGAAGTCTTATGTTGATTGTTGCTGTATTGGTGTGAGAGCAGAGAAAAACATGGCTTGAGTCTTTCTGAAACACTAGCCTTTTGTGCCTTTAAAACCGATGTCTCGTGAATACATTACCTTTTTCAGCCCAAGCTGGAGTGTAGTGGCACGATCTCGGCTTACTGAAACCTCCTCCTCCTGGCCTCAAGCATCCTCCCACCTCAGCCTTCTGAGTAGCTGGGACTACAGGTACATGCCACCACGCCTAATTTTTATATTTTTTGTAGAGACATGATGTTGCCCAAACTGGTCTTGAACTCCTGGGCTCAAGATATCCACAAGCCTCACCCTCCCAAAACATATTATCATTATTTTTTGAGATGGAGTCCTGCTCTGTTGCCCAGGCTGGGGTGCAGTGGCACAATCTCGGCTCACTGCAATCTCCCGCTCCTGGGTTCAAGCGATTCTTCTGCCTCAGCCTCCCAAGTAGTTGGGATTGTGTCCAGAATTCGCGGGTTCTTGGTCTCACTGACTTCAAGAATGAAGCCGCGGACCCTTGCAGTGAGTGTTACAGTTCTTAAAGGCGGCGTGTCTGGAATTTGTTCGCTCTGATATGTTCGGAGTTTCTTCCTTCTGGTGGGTTCGTGGTCTCGCTGGCTCAGGAGTGAAGTGGCAGACCTTCGCGGTGAGTGTTCCAGCTCTTGATGCCACGCGTCTGGAGTTGCTTGTTCTTCACGGTGGGTTCGTGGTCTCGCTGGCTTCAGGAATGAAGCTGCAGACTTTCGCGCACGTGAGTGCGACAGCTCATAACGGCAGTGTGGACCTAAAGAGCAAACAGTAGCAAGTTACTGCAAACAGCAAAAAAACAAAACCCCCACAAACTAGAAGAGACCCTAACCCAGTTACCACTGCAGGCTCCGGCAGCCTGCTTTTATTGTCTTATCTGGACCCACCCACATCCTGCTGATTGGTCCATTTTACAGAGAGCCGATTGGTCCATTTTACAGAGAGCCGATTGGTCCGTTTTGACAGGGTGCTGATTGGTGCATTTACAATCCCTGAGCTAGACACAAAAGTTCTCCACGTCCCCACTAGATTAGCTAGATAGAGTGTCAATTGGTGTATTTACAAACCCTGAGCTAGACAGAGTGCTGATTGGTGCATTTACAAACCTTGAGCTAGATACAGAGTGCGAACTGGTGCATTCACAATCCCTTAGCTAGACATAAAGGTTCTCCAAGTGCCCACCAGACTCAGGAGCCCAGCTGGCTTCACCCAGTGGCTCCTGCACTGGGGCTGGAGGTGGAGCTGCCTGCCAGTCCCGTGCCCTGTGCCTGCACTCCTCAGCCCTTGGGCGGTTGATGGGACCGGGCGCCCTGGAGCAGGGGACGGCGCTCGTCAGGGAGGCTCAGGCTGTGCAGGAGCCCCGGTGGGGAGCGGGTAGAGGGTCGGGGGAGGCTTAGGCATGGCGGGCTGCAGGTCCCGAGCCCTGCCCCGCGGGGAGGCAGCTAAGGCCCGGCAAGAAATCGAGCGGCCGGCACTGCTGGGGGACCCGGTGCGCCCTCCGCAGCTGCTGGCCCAGGTGCTAAGCCCCTCACTGCCTGCGCCGGCTGGCCGCTCCGAGTGTGGGGCCCGCCAAGCCCACGCCCACCCGGAACTCTATCTGGCCCGCAAGCGCGGCGTGCAGCCCCGGTTCCAGCCCATGCCTCTCCCTCCACACCTCCCGGCAAACCAAGGAAGCCGGCTCTGGCCTCGGCCAGCCCAGAGAAGGGCTCCCACGGTGCAGCGGTGGGCTGAAGGGCTCCTCAAGCCAAGGCCGAGGAGGAACCGAGAGCGAGCAAGGGCTGCCAGCACGCTGTCACCTCTCAGGATTATAGGTGCCTGTCACCATGCCTGGCTAATTTTTTTGTATTTTTAGTAGAGAAGGGGTTTTGCCATGTTGGCCAGGCTGGTCTTGAACTCCTCACCTCAGGTGATTCTCCTGCCTCGGCCTTCCAAAGTGTTGAGATTACAGGTGTGAGCCACCACACCCGGCCAAAACATATTATTTTTTAAGGAAATGGATGGATACTACTTTTGGTCCAGGCATTATGCCAGGCCTCCTACCAAGAGCCTGCTTCTCTCTCTTTTTTTTATTTTCTAAGAGGGAGTCTCACTCTGTCACCCAGGCTGGAGTGCAGTGGTGCAATCTAGGCTCACTGCAACCTCCGCCTCCCGGGTTCAAGTGATTCTCCTGCCTCAGCCTTCCAAGTAGTTGGGATTACAGGCGCCCACCACCACGCCCGGCTAATGTTTGTATTTTTAGTACAGATGGGGTTTCACCATGTTAGCTAGGCTGGTCTTGAACACCTGACCTCAGGTGATCCACCTGCCTCGGCCTCCCAAGGTGCTGGGATTACAGGCATGAGCCAGCATGCCCTGCCTTCTTTTTTCTTTTTTTGAGACGGTCTCATTCTGTCACTCAGACTTTAGTACCGTGGCGCAATTGTGGCTCACTGTAACCTCAAATTCCTGGGCTCAAGCATTCCTCCCACCTCAGCCTCCTAAGCTGGTGGACTACAGGTGTGCTCCACCATGCCCAACTAATTTAATGTCCTGTAGAGATGAAGTCTCACTATGTTGCCCAGGCTGGTCTCAAACTCCCGGTCTTAAGGGATCCTCTCACCCTGGCTCCCCAAATGCTTGGATTACAGGTGTGAGCCACTGCACTCAGCGAATGTGCTTGCTCTCTTTTAGTTACGTTTTTTTCCCTTTCAGTTGCTTTTCTATGGTTTTTAAGGAAAAAATGTATCAGCTGGATATGGTGGCTCCTGTATGGTGGCCAGGTATGTGGAGCCTGTCTATAAAAAATACAAAAATTAGGCGTGGTGGTGTGCGCCTGTGGTCCCAGTTACTCAGGAGGCTGAGGTGGGAGGGTTGCCTGAATCTGGGGAGTTGAAGGCTGAAGCCCACTGCACTCCAGCCTGGATGATGGATTGAGACTTTGTTACAAAAAGAAAAAAAAAGTATCAATTTGTGTCTTGTGTCATTCCAAAAGGAAGAGGCAGCTTCGGTAAAAATGAGTATAAAGTAAAATAAAGGTAGAGGAGTCAGGCAAAGGAGTATAGTTAATATGCAAAATTGCACGGCAGGCTGGGCTCGGGCGAGGCTCACGCCTGGAATCCCAGCACTTTGGGTGTCTGAGGTGGGTGAATCCCTGGAACACAGTTGTTTGAGACCAGCTTGGACGACATAGTAACCATGTCTCTAAAAACAAACAACAAAAGTACATGGCAGAAGGTCCTGCACAAATGCCAAGGGGGGAAGAGGCGAAATTCACATTTGACATCCTGCTTCCTGATGGCCAGTACAAAAGAGAAACAGGGTTAGATAGGGATCCTAAGGTTAAGAATCTTATTAATTACTTAGGAGGCTGAGGCAGGAGAATGGCGTGAACCTGGGAGGCGGACCTTGCAGTGAGCCGAGATTGCGCCACTGCACTCCAGCCTGGGCAACAGAGCAAGACTCCGTCTCAAAAAAAAAAAAAAAAAAAAAAAAAAGAATCTTATCAATTACTGAGAACTCAGGGAAACCTCTGCTGTGGGTCTCCATGAAGGGGCCTGTGTGAATGGAGAGGGTGTGCATTGTGATATTTGGATGTTTGGAAAATCCAGCTAATCTGGGGAGAGTCAACTTTGTATCCTAGTCCTGAATCTTTTTTTTTGAGATGGAGTCTCGGTGTGTTGCACAGGCTGGAGTGCAGTGGCGCAGTCTCGACTTACTGCAACCTCTACCTCTTCGGTTCAAGTGATTCTCCCACCTCAGCCTCTGGAGTAGCTGGGATTTGATTACAGGCATATGCCACCACACCCAGCTAATTTTTGTGTTTTCAGTAGAGATGGGGTTTCACCATGTTGGCCAGGCTGGTCTCGAACTCCTGACCTCAAGTGATTCGCCCACCTCGGCCTCCCAAAGTTAGTAGAGACAGGGTTTCACCATGTTAGCCAGGATGGTCTCGATCTCCTCACCTCATGATCCGCCTGCCTCAGCCTCCCAAAGTGCTGGGATTACAGGCTTGAGCCACTGTGCCTGACCTGGATCATTATTTTTTAAAAATCTTTATTGTCTTTTTTCTGATTATAAAGGTAATATATGCTCATTATCAAATTTTACAATAGTTTGGAAATATATAATACAGAATGTGAAAGTTCTCTGTCCAGCCTGGGCAGCATGGCAAGACCCCGTCTCTACAAAAAATACAAAAATTAGCTGGGTGTGGTGTGCACACCTGGACACCTGTAGTCCCAGCTACTAAGGAGGCTCAGGTGGGAGCATCACTTGAGCCCAGAAGTTGAGGCTGCAGCAATCCCTGATTGTGCTACTGCACTCCAGTCTGGGTGACAGAATGAGACCCTGTCAAAAAAGAAAGGAAAGGGAGAAGGAAGGAAGGGAGGGAGGGAAAAGTAAAAAGAAAATTCTGTTATTCCAGCTCAGATCTAAACGGATCATGTTTTTTGGATAAGTGAATAAACTTTTCTGCCTTCTTCATAAGATGTTGGGTGAATCCAATGAGATAAAAGGTCTGTACCCATTGGGTAGGTGGGTAGGTGTGGTTATTACCCAGGATCCCCATGCCGGGCTCAGGGGGCCTGTGCGAGCCTTTCTCCGCCATCCTCCACACAGTGCTAGAGTATCCAAAGGCCTCCGTGGCTCCCCCCGTACGCGCCCTCCTGCCCGCCAGCCCCAGGTGCCTCAGCCTGGTGCCTCAGGCTCTTCCCAGTGCCCCAGGCTCTTCCCAGTGTCCCAGGTGTCCTGCCCCAGCCCAGGTGTCCAGGCTCAGTTGTCATTCTTCCTCCAGCTCTGAGGCACCAGGCAGCCTCACTCCTCTACTCCCAATCCAGTCTCCACTTCTGTGTCCAGGTCGTGTCCTCTGCCTGGGGTGTCCTCCCTTCTCCCATCACTACCTTTCGCACCCGAGGTCTGGAGGCTCCCAGCCATGGACTGTGCTCCAGGATCCTCTCCGCAGGAAACCAGTTCACGGTTCTCTCAACTTTACCTGCATGGGTAGAAGAAACTTAACAACCACCTCCTGGTTTTGTGGCTGACTGGTTTCGTGTGCTGTACCGGAGGCTCCTAAGGGCCGAGCTCCCCAAGCTGAGCTCAGTTGTCCAAATGGGACTTGCAGGTTCACCCCTCGGGCCTTTGGACTACAGTGTCCTCCTACTCCCTTCCATCCTCTCCTGCATACAGGTAATTCCTACTGACCTTTAGGCCTCACCCAAGCAGCACCTCCTCCGTGAAGCCCTCCCAGCCTGCCCCAGTGGTCCTGCCCTCTCCTTCCCCCCTCCAACTCACACTCCTGGTGCCCCCACCATGCTGGGAGCATCGAGACAGTGGCTGCTTCTCAATCCCCTGCATCACCAAGTCTCCCTTGGCTGGGGTGACCACGGGTGCACAGGGTGAATGAAATCAGAAGTGTATTTGGTTTTTGTCTTAATGATGACTTAACCATTTTAAGAAGTGTTATCACTCAAAGTAGAGTTCCCTCCAGAGGGCATGGGCTTATTCTCACATGTGGCCAACTCTCCCATCACCTTGGCCTCTGCAGAGGCCCTTTGAGCTGATGTACCGGATAGCAGTGTGGCCAGGGCAGGCTGGATGGAATCCCTCATGCACCACTTGCCAGCTCCCAGACCAAGGGAGCCAGCCTTGACCTTTCCCAGGGCCAGGTTCCCCACTGGTGAAATGGGATCTTAGGACACGACCTGTGAGAAGGTATGCAAGACCCCCCTCAGGAGCCTGGTCGGAAGGGCTGGTGACACAGCCTTTGCTGTTGCCAGGGGAGGGTGCCCAAAGATGAGTCAGGCGGCTGCTGACTGCAAGATGCTTAGAAAACATGGTGGGCATGACCTTTTCCATCCATCCATCCATCCATCCATCCATCCATCCATCCATCCATCCAATAAACATGCGTTGAGCACCAGTATTGAAATGGGCCCTAGGGATGGAGCAGCCCCAGCCCAGGCCTTGCCTAGCTCAGCCCAGCAGGAGGCCAGGCCTGAACACAAACCCCTGAGATCAACACACAGGCTCTGTGTGGAGCTGGGAAGATACTAGACAGCAAGAGAAGAGAGGAAACCCCATGCTGGGGGTGGCATGGGGTAGGGTATTTTCAAGGAGACAGGAGGTTGGGGTGGCAGAGGGGGCAGGGGGATGGGAAGGCCCAGCAGAGGGAACAGCATGTGCAAAGGCCCAGAGTATGAAAACTGGCTCTGTGCTTCTCTTTAGGCAAACACCGGGGTCAGGGAGGCTCTTCCTCTCTGCCCCTCCCACTGAGCTCTTCACACCCCGTCACATGGGTGGGGGTTCTTAACCTGGGATC
This sequence comes from Homo sapiens, assembly GCF_000001405.40. Classification (NCBI taxonomy): domain Eukaryota; kingdom Metazoa; phylum Chordata; class Mammalia; order Primates; family Hominidae; genus Homo; species Homo sapiens. The sequence continues at coordinate 100,213,191 of NC_000014.9, forward strand.
CACAGAGAGAGGGGAGGGGAAGGGAGGTCAGAGGATAGAAGCCAGGGGGCTTCTGAATTTGGGTTGAAGGAATGTATGCGATCTCATTTTCACCCACCTCTGATATTAAAATTCCCACAGTAGTAGGTGTTAGCTGTCCCTGTGACTTTGTCACCAAGAGAAACCCAGATATATTCATATCACATTTCAGCTGTTGCAGAAATCTCTAAATATCATTTATACTCACTGGTATTTCAAAATCATGGTGAATATTAGACTTGCAACTTTAGTCTTGTTATTTAATGTGTGAGTAAAATACATTATTACATGTGTGTTAAGAATTTTATTAACTGTTACTGTATTTCTTTTCTCTCTTTCCTTCTGCAAGTCTCACTCTGTCGCCTAGGCTGGAGTGAAGTGGCACCCATCTCGGCTCACTGCAGCCTTGACTTCCCAGGCTTAAGGGATCCTCCTGCCTCAGCTCCCGAGTAGCTGGGCCCTCAGATGTGCTCCACCACGCCCGGCTAATTAAAAAAAAAAGTTTTTGTAGAGACGGTCTCACTATGTTGGCCAGGCTGGTCTCCAACTCCTAGGCTCAAGCGATCCTCCCGCCTCGGCCTCCCAAATTGTTGGGAAAACCGGCGTGAGCCCCGCGACCAGCCAACTATTTACCATAGTAGCCTTCCTTCCTAATCTTGTTATTTTATTCATCTAAAAATATTTTGAGAGGGGCTTTGTAGGCTTCCCCAGGCTGCGTCAGGGTCGGGATCTAGAGCGAGGACCAGGCTGGGGCGAGGGCGCCGTGTTCTCAACTGCAGGGCCTGAAGCGGGGCGGGAGGGTAAGGGCGCACACTACCCAGGCAGGGACAGGGACCCCGCAGAGCCTGCCAAGGGGCAGCCACGCGGCCCACGGAGCCGGAGATGAGGGAGGAGCCTGGCCCGCGCCCGGCCCCCGCTCGGGTCGGTGTAGCCCAGCCCCAGCCTCCCAACTGCTGAGGATGAGAGCAGGGCCGCGGCCTTCGCCCGGCGCAGCGCCTGCGTTCCCGCCGCCCTTCCCAGTGCCGCGAGGAAGCTGCGGCAGGAAGAAGGGCGGAGGTGCCCCGGGCGCCTGAGACGCCCGGCAATGGCCCCGCTACTCTCGCCGCGCACACGCAAAGCCGCTTCCCAGGCAGTTGCGGCGTTCGGGGCCCGCTTCCTCTCGGGCCGGGCCTTCGCCGGCCGCCTGCCCGTACAGGTGTCCCCCGGCTCCGTGACTGCGACTCTCCCAGCGGAGAGGGTCTCCCAGGAAGCAGGGGCGAGGAGCCCTCGAAGGTCTCGGGCGGCAGCGGCTCTCGGCGCAGAGGGCGGAGGGTACGACCGCGACACAGGCGGGGCGGCAGCTAGCTCGCGAGGTGCACCCGGCACAGGCCCCGCCCCGCGCTTCCGGCTCTCAGGGCCCTCGTGCCCCGCCCCGCCCTCCTCCCCGGGGCCCCTCGTCCCCCGCGCCCGCCTAGCCCCGCCCCGGCTGTGCTGGATCCTCGACGCCCATCGCCAGGGGTGGAATCCCAGCCCCGCCTAACACAGGTGGAAAGAGGCGCAGAGAGGCCTAGTGACGAGCTGGGATCACAGGGAGTTGATGGCAGCGCCGGGAGAGCCCAGGCTCCGAACTCCCGGGCTGGGTTCTGCCCCTACAGCCCGAAAAGAAAGCAAGGGAGCCGGTGAGGGTGACACCCAGATAGGGGCGAGATGCACATTTCGTGTTCCCAAGGTGGTGTCTGTAGTAAGATAAGTGAAACTCGAGGCCCAAACGAGGACAGAGCTCAACACACATTCTATTTTTTCAAGAAGGCAGGGAGGCTCCGAGTCAACCTGCTGAGTCAAAATCCAGACCCCAAGCATTCCTAAGCCGGGCCAGCTTCAGCCTCAGTGCCCCACGCCTCGGTTTCCTTATCCGTAAATTAGCGTAGTGTGTAGCTTGTACTTACTCAGGTAGATAATTATACGCCTTTTTAAAGCGGAGAAGAGAAGAAATGCTCTCATCCATTAGCAGTGGGATTCTGGGTGATTAAAACTCGTTTTTCAGTGCTCACCTGTCGAGTGAAAGCTGTCTTATTTCCACTCACTGGAGAGCTCTGGAGACTGGAAGCTGTGAGTCTTGGTTACTGATGTATTCCAGCTCCATATGGTGCCTGGTGCTTCGTATGTTTTGTTGACCGAATAAGCAAGTAACTGGAAGCATATACCCATCCTCTCGGATCACTCACTTGGGTAGGGAGTGATTATAATTCTACCCCAGAGCGGTCTTGATCATACGTGGAAATTGGGAGCTATAGGAGACAGGGCCCTGCAGTTAAAGGGAAGGGCAGGCTTCCCGGAAGAAGTGGCCCTAGTGGCAGGAGGAGTCTGGATGGGCCACACGTGGGCGGAGGCTCCAGCACAGGAGGCCCAGGCGTGCCTCCAGTTCAGCAGGACACAGCAGAAGGGTAGGATAGGCAAGTGGTTTGGCCACAGGTGAGGGCCCTGAGTCTGACAGTAAATCTACATTTTATCAGGGGACAGTGGGGACCGGTGGAGAGAGCTGGGAACAGGAAGACTGGCTGGGGAGGAGGCCTGGGGCAGTGCTCCTTAGGGTGCCACTATGGTCCACCGGTGAGGTGGTCTGGTCTGGAAGGATGGGAGGTTCATGAAAGACCAAGTTAATCAGGAGTCGACCTTCCTGCAGAGCAAACTCCAGGCCCAGATGGCATCCTCCGTGAGTTTTAATATACATGTATGGAACAAAGAGTTCCGCTTTTATACAAACTCAGAACACAGAAAAAGAGGGGACTGCCCAACTGGTTCGGTGAGGCAATGATAACCTTGACACCAACACCTAATAAGGGAAATATGAAAAAGAAAAAGGACAGGGCAATCTCATTCATGAAAAATAGACACAAAAATCCTACACGAGTAACAAACTGAATCTGGCAGCTTCTAAAAAAGACAATACAACACAGTCAAGCCTGTTTCTCTCAGGAGCGCAGGGTCCGTCAGCATTGGAAAACTCAGCATCATCTATCACTTTAATGGAAAAAAGGAAAAGACATACCATCCTCTCTAGGCTCGTAGAGAAAACTAAAGATCCACTCATGAGAAAAACTCTTAGCAACCTAAGAATGGAAGGGACTTCCTTGCCCTGACAAAGGGTAGCTGTAAAACCCCATAACAAACATCGTAGATAGTGGAGGAACAATGATAGCTTTCCCTGTGAGAATGGAAACATGGCAACGATGCCCACTGTCACCACCTCCAGTAGGGTGCAAACTGTACGGGAAGTCCAGGCCAGGGAAGAAAGGCAAGGAAAAAGAAAAGGATATAAAGATCTGAAAGGAAAAAAACAAACTGTCATTATTTAGAGATGATATAAAAGCCAAAGAATCACAAGGTAAGTTACCATGAGAGTTTAGTGAGCTTGCTAGATATAAAAATCAATATACACAAACCCACTGCATTTTCATTTAAAAAATTTTTATTTATCTTTTGAGATGGGGTTTTGCTATGTTGCCCAGGCTGGAATGCAGCCTCCTGGGCCCAAGCAATACTCCCACCTCAGCCTTCTGAGTACCTGGGACTATAGGCACTCTCAGCTGCATTTTAAAATTCCAGCTGTAACAGTTAAAACATCCAGCAAGAAAAATCATTTATAGGCTGGGTGCGGTGGCTCACACTCCCAGCACTTTGGGAGGCCGAGGTGGGCAGATCATGAGGTCAGGAGATCAAGACCATCCTGGCTAACACGGTGAAACCCTGTCTCTACTAAAAAATACAAAAAAAGTTAGCCGGGCGTGGTGGCACACACCTGTAGCCCTAGCTACTCAGGAGGCTGAGGCAGGAGAATCGCTTGAACCCAGGAGACGGAAGTTGCAGTGAGCCGAGATTGTGCCACTGCACTCCAGCCTGGGCGACAGGGCGAGACTGTGTCTCAAAAAAGAAAAAAAAAAATTTATAATAATATCACAGACCTCTTAATAAAACAAGTACATACAGAGATCTCAGGAAAGAAATAAAATAAAACAATTTTTTTTTCTTTTTTGAAACAGTCTTGCTCTGTCACCCAGGCTGGAGTGCAATGGCACGATCTGGGCTCACTGCAACCTCTGCCTCCTGGGTTCAAGTAATTCTCCTGCCTCGGCCTCCCAAGTAGCTGGGATTACAGGCGCCCGCCATGACGCCCAGCCAATTTTTGTATTTTTGTAGAGACAGGATTTCACCATGTTGGCCAGGCTGGTCTCAAACTCCTGACCTCAAGTAATCTGCCTGCCTTGGCCTCCCAAAGTGCTGGGATTACAGGCACGAGCCACCGCACCTAGCCAAGAAAACAATTTTTTTAAAAGTACAAGATCTCTATGGAGAAAATCAGAAACCCTGATTGTGAGACAAAGGGGACATTGTAACTAGAGAGATATACCGCGTCCATGGATTAACATTAAAAGAAGTCCACTTTCTCCATGTGATTTATAAGATCCATGCAATCCCAATTAAAACCCCAATGGTGCAAAGCAATAAAGAAATGCAAGGCTGTATCA